>NC_000004.12:364839-719679 GCF_000001405.40 Homo sapiens
TGGGAGAACCACGATTCTCTTCAGAGCCATCATACAGGACGATTAAATCTGCAGAAGTTTCTGCTGCCTTTTGTTCAGCTATGCCCTCCCCCCAGAGGTGGAATCTACAGAGGCAACTGGCCTTGTTGAGATGCAGTGGGCTTCGCCCAGTTCAAGCTTCCCTGGCTGCTTTGTTTACTTACTCAAGCCTCAGCAATGGTGGACGCTCCTCCCCCTGCCAGGCTGCTGCCTGGCAGGTCAATCTCAGACTGCTGTGCTAGCAGTGAGCAAGGCTCTGTGGGTGTGGGACCTGGCAAGCCAGGCGTGGGATATAATCTCCTGGTGTGCCGTTTGCTAAGACCATTGGAAAAACACAGTATTTGGGCAGGAGATCCCGATTTTCCAGATACAGTCTGTCACAGCTTCCCTTGGCTAGGAGAGGGAAATCCCCCAACCCCTTGTGCTTCCCAGGTGAGGTGATGCCCCACCCTGTTTCAGCTTGCCCTCAGTGGGCTGCACTGCACCCACTGTCCAACCAGTCCCAATGAGATGAACCAGGTACCTCAGTTGGAAGTGCAGAAATCACCCGTCTTTTACGTCAGTCACGCTGTGAGCTGCAAACCAGAGCCGTTCCTATTCAGCCATCTTGGAACGGGAGGTCTCTGCTCTATTTTTAAATTGTGTGTTATTTTTGTTGTTAAGTTTGTTAAATATTCTATAAGTTTATCTTTTGTTGTGTATATTTCACAAATATTTTCTTTCATTCTGTAGATTATCTCTTCACTTTGTTAACGTTTTCTTTGCTGTGCAAAACATTTTTAGTTTGTTGTAATCCCATTTGCATAATGTTACTTCTTTTGCCTGTGCTTTTGAGGTCTTACTTAAAAATTCTTTGCTCTGTAATATGTGGTAAAGCATTCCTCTATGTTTATCCAAATAGCTTTATAGGTTTGGGTTTCACATTTAAATCTTTATTTGCGATTGAGTTTTTTATACTGTAAGAGCTAGGGGCCTAGTTTCATTTTTTGATTATCATGTAGGTAATCAATTTTCCTAGCACCAATTATTGAAAAGACTGTCTTTTTCCAAATGTGTGTTCTTGACATCTTTGTTGAAAATCACTTGCCTCTAGTTTCATGAATTTATTACTGGGCTCACTGGATAGTTTGATCTGTCTGTTTTTATGCCAGTATCATGTTGTTTTGCTTATTATAGCTTTATAGCATATTTCGGAGTCAGGTAGTGTAATGCCTCCAGCTTGATTCTTTTTGCCCAGGATTACCTTTGCTATTTGGGGGTCTTTGGTTGGTCCTGGTTAATTTTAAGCTTGTTTATTCCATTGCTGTGAAAAAAGTCTTTGGTATTTTGATAGAGATGGCATTGAATCTGTAGATCACCTTGGGTAGTATGGCCACTTTCGTAATGTTTTTTCAATTCATGAGGAAAAATATCTTTCAATTTTTATGTCTTTTTCAGTTTTTTATCAATTTTGTTGTTGTTTGCTTTTTGAGACAAAGTCTCACCCTGTTGCCCAGGCTGGAGTGCAATGGCACAATATCAGTGCACCACAACCTCTGCCTCCTGGGTTCAAATGATTCTCCTGTCTCAACCTCCTGAGTAGCTGGGATGACAGGCGTGTGCCGCCCCACTAATTTTTGTATTTTTAGTAGTGACGGGGTTTCACCATGTTGGTCAGGCTGCTCTCGAACTACTGACCTCGTGATCTGCCCACCTTGGCCTACCAAAGTGCTAGGATTACAGGCGTGAGCCACCACACCCAGCATTATCAATGTTTTATAATTATCAGTGTAGAGAGTGTTCACCTTTTCAATTCGGTTTGCTGCTAGACATATTTTATTTTATTTATTTAATTTGGGATGGAGTCCTGCTTTGTCGCTCAGACTGGAGCGCACTGGTGCGATCTTGGCTCACCACAACCTCTGCCTCCTAGGTTCAAGCAATTCTCCTGCCTCAGCCTCCTGAGTAGCTGGGAGTAGCTGGACTGCACCTGGTTAATTTTTGTATTTTTAGGAGAGACAGTGTTTCGCCATGTTGACCAGGCTGGTCTTGAGCTCTGGACCTCAGGTAATCCTCCTGCCTCAGCCTCCCAAAATGCTAGGATTACAGGCGTGAGCCACTGAACCTGGCCAACTGGTGGATGTAGAAGCAACACTGGCAAAATTGAACATGGCTTTGTGATTTAAGAAACTCAACGAATTAGGTATAGATCATATGTACCTCAATACAGTAAAGACCCTATATGACAGATTAATAGCTGATATCATACTGGATAGGAAAGAGCAGAAATCTTCTTTTTTTGAGATCTGGAACAGGACAAGTATGTTTTTATTTTATATTATAATTGTGTATGACAGCATTCAGCTGTGTACACTGTAAGACTGGAGCACAAGTGAAATATGGATCACTGATATGTCTATTTCCAATATGAGTCTATCTGTATGTGTATTGGTTTTGTATTGTTTATGAGTTGTTTACTTGTTCTGTTTATGTGTGTTCAATGGTGGTTTTGAATAGTCATTGAAATCCTCCTAATTTTACTTTCTATTTATTTGTAAATCTATATTTGTGTGTGGGAGAAACACTTTTGCGACTTGAAGATAAGTTCAAAAACTGTCATATGTCTGTATCTCAGATTTTAGATACTATTTTTAATTGTCAAAAACACATAAACTTTACAATCTTTTTTTTTTTTTTTGATGTGGAGTCTCACTCTGTCACCCAGGCTGGAGTGCAGTGGTGCGATATCAGTTCACTGCAACCTCTGCCTCCCAGGTTCAAGCGATTCTTCTGCCTCAGCCTCCTGAGTAGCTGGGATTACAGGTGCGCACCACCATGCCCAACTAATTTTTGTATTTTTTGTAGAGACGGGGTTTCACCATATTGGCCAGGCTAGTCTTGATCTCCTGACCTCATGATCTGTCCGCCACGGCCTCCCAACATGCTGAGATTACACCGCGCCCAGCCAAAACTTTACAATCTTAAATACTGTTTTTTTCCAAAGTTTGTTGTCATAATTTAAGTTCTGGGGTACACGTGCAGAACATCCAGATTTTGTTACATAGGTATACACGTGCCATAAATACTTTTAAGTATTTACCTTAGTCATATTATATCGATATTCTTATGCACTCTGTCTGGAATATGTTTATCTTGCAAGGCTAACACTCATACACATTAAACAACTACCTACTTTTTCTGTTTTCTGGCCCTTTACAAAAACAATTCTGTTTTCTATTTTAGAGTCAGACTGCTTTATATATCTCATGTAAGTTGACTCATGCAATTTTTGTCTCTTCATGGCTGACTTATTTTGTGTTACACAGTGCCATCAACATTTATCTTTATTATACATATTAGGATACTTTTTGCTTTTTATAAACAGTAATGTTTCATTTTTTTAAAGGATTTTTTTTTTGAGACAGAGTCTTGCTCTGTCACCCAGTCAGAATGTAAGTGCAGTGGCACCATCTCAGCTCACTGCAACCTCCACGTCCCAGGTTCAAGCAATTCTTGTGCCTCAACCACCCAAGTAGCTGGGATTACAGACGTGCACCACCACACCCATCTAATTTTTGTATTTTTAGTAGAGACAGGGTTTCACCACATTGGTCAAGCTGATCTCGAACACCTGACCTCAAGCGATCCACCTGTCTCGGCCTCCCAAACTGCTGGGATTACAGGCATGAGCCACCATGCCTGGCCAATCGGCCAATGTTTCATTATTTTAATATTTCAAATTATATTTATCCATTGATTTGGTGAGAGAAATTTTCATTACTTTCATTTATTTGCTTTCAGTAACAATGCTACAATAATTGTGAGTGTCCAAATTACTCTTTATATGACCATATGTGTGAGAGTTCATATTTTTGCCGGATTTTATTGATTTAGGTGTTCACCTTCATACTCATACCAAATTGCTTTAATTCTTTAGCTTTGTATGTTTTTTGAAATCAAGAACTGTAGTGTTTCTGACATTGTTACTCTTTTTGAAGATTGTTGAGTGCTTCATTGTTTCTTGAAATTCCATATAATTTGGGGGTTGCTGTTTCTTTTTCTGGAAGAATTTAATTAGAAATTTGACAGGGATTGCATTTAATCTGGAGATTGCATTAAGGAATTTAGACATCTTCTTTTTAGGCAAAATTGTTTTATACTGCTTTCAAGTCTTCTATTCCTTTATGAATATTCTGTCTTGTTTCATTATTCATTATAGAAATTGGGGTATTGAAATATCCTACTACAATTACATTGCTCCCTATATCTTGCTTTAATTCTGTCAGTATTTGCTTTGTATATTTTGAACCCTAGTGTAAGATACACACACACACACACACTCACACACACACATTAATATATGTATACCCACATTTATCATGGGTTCTAAGTAAATGAACTTGTTTATTATTGTTTAATGTCTTCCTTTGCCCCTTATGAGCTTTTAGTTAAAGTATATTTTATGAAATAGAGTTTTTGACTTAAGATGTACTTTGTGTTATATAACTTGGACCTGTTCTCCTCTTATTTGGTTATTTCCATGAAATGTCTTCTTTCATCTTGCCTTTTTCAGTCTCCTTTAATCATTAGACCTCAAGTGACTCTTGTAGAAAAACAAGTTGGATCTTGTTTTTTAATTTTTGCAATCAGTCCCTTTATTTGGTGCATGTATTTTGAATGGAAAGTTTACTTCATAAATATTTGAATAATTTGCTGAAATAGAAAGGCTTACCTGTTTTATAAATTGTTTTACTGGATTATTTTATCTCTGTCCCTTATTTTCTTTTTCTGTCTTCCTGTTTGTCTTTTAGATTTTTGTGTTGATAGGACTTTACTTCTTATACTTTTGTGTATCTATACCTTTGTGGTATCTTGGGAATTCTGAAAAATTTCTTAAAGAGATATATATATATATATATATATATATATTTTTTTTTTTTTTTTTTTTGAGAGGGAGTCTCACTGTGTCGCCCAGGCTGAAGTGCAATGGCATGATCTCAGCTCACTGCAACTTCTGCCTCTTGGGTTCAAGCGATTCTCCTGCCTCAGCCTCCTGAGTAGCTGGGACTACAGGCACACGCCACCATGCCCAGCTAATTTTTGTATTTTTAGTAGAGACGGGGTTTCACCATGTTGGCCAGGATGATCTCGATCTCCTGACCTCGTGATCCACCTGCCTCAGCCGCTCAAAGTGCTGGGATCACAGGCATGAGCCACTGGGCCTGGCCAAAATAATATATTTTAAACTCTTAAAAATGTAACTTGAATTGCATTTGAAAATTCTTCCTCTTTACATCTGCCCTGAATGTTGTTATTGATGTCACTAATCATATTTTTTTGCTGTATATTTATTACCAGATTATGATGAATAGTTTATAATCATTTTTATGCTTTTATCCTTTAAATTTTAGAGAAAAACTTTTTTGCACTATTATAATGATACAGAACTTTATATTTGTGTTTGTGCATATGTTTTTCAGAAAGTTATGTATTTTCATATCATCATATTTTTTTTCTTGCATCCTGTTATTTTCAATGGAAGATAGTTCAGCATTTTTTTTTATAAGGCAGGTGTTGTGCTAATATACTTTTCAGCATTTGGTTATCTTGAAAGGCCTTTACTTTTTCTTCATTTTTAGGACTGTTTTACTGGTTATATTATTCCTACTTAGAAGCTATTTTTCCTTCAGCACGTTAACTATATCGCAACTTTCTCTTGTCTGAAAAAATGTTGACAGATTCACTTGTTATCTTATAAGAGCATACTTACAAATCACACATCACTTTTATCTTGCCGCTTCTAAGATTCCATTTTTGCCTTTGACTTTTAAAACTTTGCTTATTATGTGCTTTGTTATAAATCTCCTTGTATATCCTAGTTGAAGTTTGTTGAGCTCCTTCTTTTTTTTTTGAAATGAAAGTCTTGCTCTGTTGCCCAGGCTGGAATGCAGTGGCACAATCTTGGCTCACTGCAAGCTCCGCCTCCCAGGTTCACACCATTCTCCTGCCTCAGCCTCCCGCATAGCTGGGACTACAGGTGCCCACCACCACGCCCAGCTAATTTTTTTTGTATTTTTAGTAGAGACAGGGTTTCACCGTGTTAGCCAGGATGGTCTCACTCTCCTGACCTCCTGATCCACCAGCCTCGGCCTCTCAAAGTGCTGGGATTACAGGCATGAGCCACCATGCCTGGCCACATCTTTTTTTAACTTTTGAAAATTTCTCAGGCATTATTTTTGTATTTTTCACCTCCATGTTTTTTATATTTTTAATGTTTTCATTTATATATATATATATATTTTAATTATATTTAGTTTTGTTACCATTTAGCTCATTGAGTTTTATTCAGGTCAAATTTTAAAACTTTGTACATCTTCATTTTTAATTTTTGTTCTGGAATTTTTTTTTTTTTTGAGATGGAGTCTCATTCTGTCACCCAGGCTGGAGTGCAATGGTGCAATCTTGGCTCACTGCAACCTCCACCTCCCGGGTTCAAGCAATTCTCCTGCCTCAGCCTTCCGAGTAGCTGGGACTACAGGCATGGGCCACCATGCCCAGCACATTTTTGTAGTTTTAGTAGAGACAGAGTTTCACCATTTGGGCCAGGATGTTTTCAATCTCTTGACCTCGTGATCTGCCCTCCTCGGCCTCCCAAAGTGCTGGGATTACAGGCATGAGCCACCATGCCTCACCTTTTGTGATAATTTGTGTGTGTGTGTGTGTGTCAGAGTCTCGCTGTGTCTCCCAGGCTGGAGTGCAGTGGCATGATCTCGGCTCACTGCAAGCTTTGCCTCCTGTGTTTACGCCATTCTCCTGCCTCAGCCTCCCGCATAGCTAGGACTACAGGCACCCATCACCACGTCTGGCTAGTTTTTTTGTATTTTTAGTAGGGACGGTGATTCACCATGTTAGCCAAGATGGTCTCTATCTCCTGACCTCGTGATCCACCCGCCTCAGCCTCCCAAAGTGCTGGGATTACAGGTGTGAGCCACCATGCCCGTTCCCTTTTCTGAAAATTTTTAAATTGTTGGACTGTGTTGTTCTAATATTTTGTATACATTGTCATGTTTGGTTGTTATTTGTACATTAACAAAAAGCTATTTGTCACAATCTTTACAATGTAGCTTTTTCCTGACATAGTCTGAAACCAATTGTCCTTGATAGAGATTATGGTAACCTCTCATACATGTTCTAAGGATGTGTCCTCTCTGGAATTTTGTGTTTATTTTTCAGTTAAAAGGGTTTGTTCATGTTTCTTCTTAACAGTCTCTAATCACTTGTTCTACGTGTTGCCTGTATTTAGCACTGCAGTCTGCTCCTGAAACATTTACATTTGCTTTCAGCAGACCCAATCCCTCCCAAAGTGTATCACCATTTCTATCAGCACTCTGTGGTATTGGAGACAGAAACCAGGTTTTGTAAAGACACTCAAAAGCCAGAAGTAAGGATATGTGTATCAGTATTTTTCTTCTCTTTAAAGGAAGAAGCCAGGAGTTGATACTTCACTCCTAATGGCACAGTGCTATATTGGGGAGGAGGAAGAGCTGTTGGTGGGTAAATGTAACAAACATTCCTTCCTGTTCTATGTGGCTCTTGGCATTTTGCTTACCTGAGGCATTGCATACAATTAACTCATTTATAGATTTCACAGAAAGGTGTCTTTGTTAGTATATGTTTGCTACATGTATATGTCTGTGAAGAAGTTATGGCCTGTGGGATTTTGTTATGCCATCTTACTAATGTATTTTGAATAATTTCATAAGATTTGTAAAGTATATTTATATGAATCTACTAAGTGGGATAATTTGTAATTTTTATTTCTTTCAGCTATGTGTTCTCATTTCACCCAAGACCATTGGCCAGTGCAGGGCATAGAAGATTCATTCCACAAACTTATACTGAGAAGATATGAGAAATGTGGACATGATAATTTACAATTAAGAAAAGGCTGTAAAAGTTTGAATGAGTGTAAGTTGCAGAAAGGAGGTTATAATGAATTTAATGAATGCTTGTCAACTACCCAGAGCAAAATACTTCAGTGTAAAGCAAGTGTCAAAGTTGTTAGTAAATTTTCAAATTCAAACAAACGTAAGACAAGACATACTGGAGAGAAACACTTTAAAGAATGTGGCAAATCATTTCAGAAGTTTTCACACCTAACTCAACATAAGGTAATTCATGCTGGAGAGAAACCCTACACTTGTGAAGAATGTGGCAAAGCCTTTAAATGGTCTTTAATATTTAATGAACATAAGAGAATTCATACTGGAGAGAAACCTTTTACTTGTGAAGAATGTGGCAGCATCTTTACCACATCCTCACACTTTGCTAAGCATAAAATAATTCATACTGGAGAAAAACCCTATAAATGTGAAGAATGTGGCAAAGCCTTTAATAGGTTCACAACCCTTACTAAACATAAGAGAATTCATGCTGGAGAGAAACCCATCACATGTGAAGAATGTAGGAAAATCTTTACCTCATCCTCAAACTTTGCCAAACATAAGCGAATTCATACTGGAGAGAAACCCTACAAATGTGAAGAATGTGGCAAAGCCTTTAATAGGTCCACAACCCTTACTAAACATAAGAGAATTCATACTGGAGAGAAACCCTACACATGTGAAGAATGTGGCAAAGCTTTTAGACAGTCCTCAAAACTGAATGAACATAAGAAAGTTCATACTGGAGAGCGGCCCTACAAATGTGATGAATGTGGCAAAGCCTTTGGACGGTCCAGGGTCCTGAATGAACATAAAAAAATTCATACTGGAGAGAAACCCTACAAATGTGAAGAATGTGGCAAAGCCTTTAGACGGTCCACAGATCGGAGTCAACATAAGAAAATTCATAGTGCAGATAAACCCTACAAATGTAAAGAATGTGACAAAGCCTTTAAACAATTTTCGCTCCTGAGTCAACATAAGAAAATTCATACTGTAGATAAACCCTACAAATGTAAAGATTGTGACAAAGCCTTTAAACGGTTCTCACACCTGAATAAACATAAGAAAATTCATACTTGAGAGAAATCCTACAAATGTAAAGAATGTGGCAAACCTTTGGATGATCCACAAACCTTAATGAACATGAGAAAATTTATACTGTAGAGAAACCCTGGAAATGTGAAGAACGTGGCAAAGTTCTTTACCTCATTCTCAAACCTTGATAAACATAAGAGAATTCATACCGGAGAGAAACTGTACAAATGTGAAGAATATGGCAAAGCCTGTGAATGGTCCACAAACCTGAATGAGCAGAAGAAAATTATTACTGGAGATAAACCCTGCAAATGTAAAGAGTGTAACAAAACCTTTAAACAGCCCTCACCGGTGAATAAACATAAGAAAAATCATGCTGGAGGGAAGCCCTACACATGTGGCAGAATGTGGCAAAGCATTTAATTGGTCCTCAATGCTTAATAAATATAATTCATGCTGGAGAGAAACTTCACATGTGAACCGTGTGGCAAAGCCTTTAAATGGTCCTCAACCCTTAATGAACGTAAGTGAATTCATGCTGGAGCAAAATGCTTCACATGCGAAGAATGTGGCACAGTCTTTACCACATCCTCAAACTTTGTTAAACATAAGAGAATTTATACCAGAGAGAAACCCTACACATGTAAAGAATGTGGCAAAGCCTTCAATAGGTTCTCAACCCTTACTGTGCACAAGATAATTCATTCTGGGGAAAAAAATGCTACAAATGTGAAAAACGTGGCAGAGCCTTCAGACCATCCACAAACCTTTATGAAAATTCATATTTGAGAGTAGAAGATTCATTCCACAAACTTACATTGAGAAGATATGAAAGATGAATATAAGAATTCATCCTAGATATAAAACCATAGAAATGTAAAAGATGTGACAAAACCTTTAAGCCATACTCCAGGCTTCTTAAACATAATGAGAACTCATACTGGAGGAAAGTCTTACAAATGTGAAGAATGTGGCAGTCTTTAAATCTTCCTCAGTCTTTTCTAATCATAAGATAATTCACACTGAAGAGAAACTGCAAACGTGGAAAGTGTGACAAAGCTTGCAACCACACTCAATCTATTCTAAATATAAGAGAAATGATATTGGTGAGAAGCCACAAAAATATGAAAAATGTGGCAAAGCCTTCAAATGCTTGTCACATCTTACTGTATATATATAATTCCTACTGAAGAAATCCCCTGGAAATGCAAAAAATGTGGCAGGATTTTTACCAATGCTCATCTTTTTGCACATGATATCCTTTATATTCGAGAAAAGTTATAGAAATATAAAAAATATAGAAAAGTCATATCTCCTCACATTTTACTAACTAGCAATGTTCATACTTAATAAAAACATTATAAATGTAATTTCTGTTGAAAGACTTCAGAAAATATAGGCCTTTAAAGTGAAGAAGAGTATTCTTAAGACAAACAATACAAATATAAAGAGGGTTGTAGTACCTGTACTTCTCTCATGGATTTTGTTGTACACATTTTATAATAGGGGAAAACACTGAAGGAGACTTTCTTCAACATCAGAAAATTTATATTGGAGAGAAATCCTACAAATGTAATAAATGTGGAAAAACATTTGTTCAAAAACTGCAGCTTAAACAGTTTACACTAGAAAATATTTTGTAGATGCAGTAAATGTGAAGAAATATTTAGTCTAAAAAGAAGAGTATGTAAACATCAGAGGATTTACAGTAGAAAGAACTAAGGAACTAACACTTTAGACACTGCAGTAAATCAGAGTATTAAGTATTAAAAAAATCCAAAGTTGAACCTATTAGAGAATTTCTTTGTATATAAGTTGAAAAGAAGATTTTTGAAGAGATACTACATTTAAAGTATATTTTTTCACTTGAAAAAAGTATAGATTTTTTGAAAAGCATATAATAGTTAATTCAACTCAAATTATTTCATACTGTTTCAACATTCCTGTTTATGTGAAAGCATGTGATGAATTGTTGCTGCATCAGAGATAAGAGAGATTCTTTTTCATTAGGTGGGCATTATTTGTGAATTTTTACAAGAAAGAGTGAGGACAGAAATGAAAGATCCATGATGAAAATCTAGCAGAGAGGCTTTTTTGTAGTTGACAATATTGAGTGATGCATGAGGTAGGTGTTCAGAGTAATATTCTTCTGCATTATAGTGAGAGAAAATCTGTTTTAGTAGTAAATTGTTTTACCAATTATACATTTATGTAATAAGATACAGTAAATTTTAAAATTATTTTAAGATTATGTGGGAACATAATTTTTTAACTAAACAAAATTTTTAACGTGTTGAAATAATTGTTGCTTGAATGAAGTGTCATTATGCCACCAACTTAAACCTATCCCACCTTACTCAATGGTGTAGGTAAAAGATGGTAACAATGGTAACATAGTTGAATGACATTTTTAGTATTCTCTTTTTCCAGTGGCTTTAAATAGCAAATACATTGAAGAATATCATTCCCATATGTTGTATTTTCACTCTTGTTATTTTCCGAAATTTTTGTGGGTACATAGTATGCATATTTATCTATGGCATATATGGGTTATTTTCTTATACAGGCATACAACATGTAATATACCAGAGTAAATGAGTTATTCATCACCTCAAGCATTCATCCTTTGTATTACACACAATCCAATTATACACTTTAATTATTTCTAAATGTACAATTATGATTGTAGTATTATATCAGTATAATTATAATTCATACATTTATGCATCCTGAATACTTCTAAAAAATGTTTTACATTTCTCTTTGAACATGTGGCATCTTTTCCTGCAAACTTATACAAACTTTAGTTCCATTTACATGAAGTTAAGTATGTAAATGTGTTGCTGTAAAGATAAACCTTAGGTGTAAGAAAATTATAGAGCAAGCAATTGTGTTTATGTGAGTTTGTACCTATTTTCCAAAGAAAATAGCAATATTAGAACAAAGAAGATTATGTTAATACCATGGATAATTTACTGGAAATCTAGAAGCCTGAAACATTCTATATTTTCTTCTTTTTATTTAATGACTCTAGAATCTAATGGATTGTCGTTGAGAATCTCCCCATACAAACTCCTTGTTTTTATTTGTCTGGTGCTCATGCTAGAGCTATAATTTCTTTGATTCTCTTTTTTGTTTTCACTTCATGAAGTGTTTATTATGTGAGCTGGTCAGAAATTATAAGAATGATTTTTATAAAATGTAGTGAATGTAAAATTTTTAGATGTAATTTCATAATATATGTATTAAGTTATTTTAGTTAGAACATTTCATTTTGTTGTTTTAATTTAAGAACCCTATATAAGCTGTTTTCTTTAGTTATTGTTCCTTTCAGTTTTTGTAATTGACATAAATGAGTTTATTTTGCCAATTTGTTCAGGTAAGTACTTGGAAAACTTTGTCAGTCATGGGGATGTTTTGATCTATTATTGTAGTGAACAAACAAAGTTCTGGGTGTGTAATAGATGCTTCATAATTAGCCATAAATATTCCTGGAGTTAGTTTGTAGCTCCAAGTAAGAGATTGAAAATAATCTGTGGCGAACAAATGGCATTAATTGTGCATGTGGAGAGGACGTCTGTTCTCAGGCTGCAGAACCAACTCATTATGAATGTAAAGAGGATTTCTTTTCTTATTTTCTAATTATCTTCAGTTTTGTGATATCTTTATGATTTATCCCCAGCTATGTATGCCTCAGAGCCTTTCTTCATTTTTGCGTTATGGCTAGTTTGTCACTGTTCTCTTCATTCCACGTAATTTCACGTGGACTTTAGGTTAACTGGGGTGTTTGAGGTTATTTATAGGTTATCAGTGCAACATTTAGATCACTTGAGATAAGAGTAATTCACTATCAACAGGTAAGAGGATTAAGTCAGTTGGCATTGTTTTTCTGTGTTTGTAAAAGAAAAATTGTATGAGATTCTATCATAAAGTGTGTAAAATGTAACAAAAGTTAGAATAAGTAAAACATTAATATAAGTGGGTTGTATATTGTACCACCATATGAAGAAACATCAGAATTTTGAAATTTCTTAAGAGGAAATATATCTTAGAAATAAAATTTTTAGGCCAGGTGGCGGTGGTTCACACCTGTAATCCCAGCACTTTGGGAGGCCGAGATGGGTGGGTCATGAAGTCAAGAGAGCAAGATCATCCTGGCAAACATGGTGAAACCCCATCTCTACTAAAAATACAAAAATTAGCAGGGCGTGGTGGCATGTGCCTGTAGTCCCAGCTACTCGGGAAGCTGAGGCAGGAGAATCGCTTGAACCCAGGATGCAGAGGTTGCAGTGAGCTGATGTTGTGCCACTGCAGTGCAGCCTGCCAACAGAGTAAGACCCGTCTCAACAACAACAACAAAAAAGAAGAAAATTTTTAGGAGACAATGGTAAGTGAGGAATTTTACATTTAATTTTCTGTGACATAGCAAAACATTTTTCCATACAAAATCTTCTATTTATTTATTTATTTTAGATGGAGCCCCACTCTGTCACCAGGCTGGAGTGCAGTGGTGCAATCTCAGCTCACTGCAACCTCCGCCTCCCAGGTTCAAGTGATTCTCCTGCCTCAGCCTCCTGAGTTAACTGGGACTACAATCGCCTGCCACCACGCCCAGTTAATTTTTATATTTTTAGTAGAGATGGGGTTTCACCATGTTGGCCAGGATGGTCTCGATCTTTTGACCTCATGATCTGCCTGCCTTGGCCTCCTGAAGTACTGGGATTACAGGCATGAGCCACCGTGCCTGGCCAGAATATTATATCTTTGAGTGTGAATGTTAAATGGTGGAAAAACAATAGAATGATCTCTGTAGATTCAAAATCTGCACTGATCTTTTTTGTCCAGATTCATATTACAATCTTGAGGAATTTCTCATAATTCTTTGTTTTAGTGGATGCATTTCATGGGCTACAGTTTTCATTTTTACTCACCTAACTTTATCCAAGTCCTTGGTCACCTTCTCTGGAAAAAAATTTGAAGATTATGGCAGCTGTTGAATCCAAACAGTTTCTCAGTGATTTTTTTTTTTTTTTTTTTTTTTTTTTGAGATGGAGTCTTGCTCTGTCACCCAGGCTGGAGTGCAGTGGCACAATCTCAGCTCATTGCAACCTCCACCTCTCGGGTTCAAGCAATTCTCCTGCCTCAGCCTCCCAAGTAGCTGGGATTACAGGTGCCCACCACCACACCCAGCTAATTTTTGTATTTTTAATAGAGATGAGGTTTCACTCTGTTGGCCAGGCTGGTCTCGAGCTCCTGTCCTCGTGATCCACGCACGTCAGCCTCCCAAAGTGCTGGGATTACCGGTGTGAGCCACTGTGCCCAGCCTCTCAGTGATTTTTGATGCAAATTCATTTACTGTGTTCACGAAGTGGCCAATTTTGGGACCTTTAGCATCACTTGCCCTTTTAGTGTCTTACATATGTATGATTACCATCAGCACTAGAAATTCCAGGTACTTCAAGCTTAAAAGTAAGAGCTCTAGAGTGTATTGTCTTGTATTATATATTGTTCTGGGTCTAAGCCATGCTAGTAAATATTAGAGTTCCTATGATTATTTTCTTCTTTATTTTATTTTTGAGACGGAGTCTCGCTCTGTCGCCAGGCTGGAGTACAGTGGTGCGATCTCAGCTCACTGCAACCTCCGCCTCTCAGGTTCAGGCGATTCTCCTGCCTCAGCCTCCTTATTAGCTGGCATTACAGGTGTGCACCACCATGCCTGGCTAATTTTTATATTGTTAGTAGAGATGCGGTTTGACTATGTTGGCCAGGCTGGTCTCAAACTCCTGACCCTGTGATCCTGCCACCTTGGCCTCCCAAAGTTCTGGAATTACAGGCGTGAGCCACTGCGCCCAGCCTCTATGGTTATTATATTACAAAAACAGCACAAAAACTATATATTTTTTATAATACTCAAGTTGTTTGACAAAGATACTCATCATTTGCAACATTATTCTGTAATTTTTAAAATATATTTGTTAATTGACAGATAAAATATCCTGTAGAATATGGTGTTTTGTAGTATATATACATTGTCAAAAGCTTAATTCTAGCTGCTTAACAAATACTTCACCACACATAATTACTTTTGGGATAAGAGCTCATAACATTGACTGTGTTAGCATTTTCCAAAAATACATTATTGTTAACTGTAGTCACCATGCTGTACAATAGATTTCTTGAATTTATTCCTCCTAGGCAACTATGTGTTGTTTTACAGACATGTCTCCAGATGCCCCTTTCTTGTAAATACCCAAGCATCTGGTAACCAGCATTCTACTCTCTGGCTTATTTCACTTAGCATAGTGTCTTCCACATTTATCCACATTGTTTCAAATGAAAAGATTTCCTCCCTTTTAACGTTGAATTGTATTTCCTTGTGTATACCACGTTTTTGGAAAAATACATTCATTTCTTGGTTGAAAAACTCACGTGATGAGAAGATATTTCTGTATTAAAGCATGTATTGGAATTCCGTATATACATGTTTTAGTAATAGTTGATTTCTACCAAATGCTAACCATAATACTGTATATGTGTTAATAAATTTTATTTTCGGCCAGGCGTGGTGGCTCACACCTGTAATCCCAGCACTTTGGGCGCCCAAGGCAGGTGGATCATGAGGTCAGGAGTTTGAGACCAGTCTGGCCAACATGGTGAAACCCCGTCTCTACTACAAATATAAAAATTAGCTGGGTGTGGTGTCAGGCGCCTGTAATCCCAGCTACTCAAGAGGTTGAGGCAGGAGAATCAGTTGAACCTGGGAGGTGGAGATTGCAGTGAGCCAAGATCATGCCATTGCACTCCAGCCTGGGTGACAAGAGCAAAACTCCATCCCCCCTGCCCAAAAAAAAAAATTAATTTTCACAGAAAATTAATAGCATAGGTATTATTATCCTCATTTTACAGAGAAAGAAACAGCCATAGAGAAAAATGACTTGCTCACAACACAGGCAACTTTGACTCTAGAGATAACACTTATTACAGTAAAATCCCTCTTCAGACACAAAATACATGATTATCTTAAACACATTCTTAATAAAAATTTAACAAAAATTGTTAAATGTTGTCATATATGTGTGTGCAAAACGTATAAAATATACAGAAAAGAGAAATACTTCCTGTATTTAAACCATATAAACTCTAGAATTGCCCTTCGATACTGACGTACTTGGGAACAGCTTTCCTTTCAACTGTCCTTCACCACCCCTTTAGCAATTCAGAATATTTATAGCATAATTTTTACCTATACCTGTAGTCAGTAAATGCTGTAATGTAATTAAATATTATTTACTACAAACTCACATAGTACATTATGACTTTATTACTGTTATAATACAAATTTATTTCTTGAGTTAAATATTTGACTCTATTAGTTTAGTTTCCTTTGTGCCTGTTTCTCAGTTTTGCCTAAATGCTACCAATTATCTTACACTGGCTCCCCAAATAGGTTTTTATTTGTTTATAAAACTTTAAATTTATCTCTAGGAACCTCAGCCGAGCAGTCAGAACTCACAGCTCTGACCAAACCCCTAGAACTAAGAAAGAACCAAAAAGTTACTATTTAATACAGACTTCAAATGTGCTTTTTTTTTTTTTTTTTTTTTTTTTTGAGACGTTGTCTTGCTCTGTCGCCCAGGCTGGAGTGCAGTGGTGCAATCTCGGCTCACTGCAACCTCCGCCTCCTGGGTTCACACAATTTGCCTGCCTCAGCCCCCTGAGTAGCTGGGACTAACAGGTGCGCCCCACCACGCCTGAAAAATTTTTGTATTTTTAGTAGAGACGGGGTTTCACCATGTTGGCCAGGCTGGTCTCAAACTCCTGACCTTAAGTGATCCACCCAGTCAGCCTCCCAAAGTGCTGGGATTACAGGCGTGAGCCACCATGCCCTCAAATATGCTTTCTTAGTACTCCACATTTATGCAGCCATCTGGGAAGAAAGGAGACTTTTTACAACAGAGAATACCCCTATTAAATATGGGTCACAGATTTTTACCCTAGTCCAGCCTATCCACCTACCACAGAAAGTAGCTGTAGTTCATTGCTGGGGCCACCAGAAGGGTCAAGATGAAATTGCTCAGAGAAACAGGAGGGCTGACCAAGCAGCTAGGGCCACCACCATCTCTGGGAACTTTTTTTTTTTTTTTTTTTGAGACGGAGTCTCACTCTCGCCCAGGCTGGAGTGCAGTGGCTCGATCTCGGCTCACTGCAAGCTCCACCTCCCAGGTTCACGCCATTCTCCTGCCTCAGCCTCCCAAGTAGCTGGGACTACAGGCACCTGCTACCATGCCCGGCTAATTTTTTTGTATTTTTAGTAGAGACGGGGTTTCACCATGTTAGCCAACAAGGTCTTGATTTCCTGACCTCGTGATCCGCCTGCCTCAGCCTACCAAAGTGCTGGGATTACAGGCATGAGCCACCGCGCCCGGCCTTAGTTGTGTGTGATTTCTATGTGTGCTCTAGGCACTTGCCCTATAGCTGCTCCTAAATGTGGGGTCTTAGAAAACATCTTGTCCCTTCGAAGCATACTCTGCTGGTTGGCTAAATTGCACTGGGAAAAAATAGCAGCAGCCCTATTGCTATGTCACTTGCCTGCAGAGCAAAAGTTGATTCAGGAACAGTAATTTGACTTTGTCTATATTAAAAATCATAAATAGTCAACAAATGCAAAAAATGCAAAGAATTTGTAGGTATGATTAGTGCATTATAGGTGTTTTCAAATTTCTCCTATGATAAATTAAAAATGTAATGTTGGGCATTAATTTCCTAAACCCAGTGCTCAGCAATTTTCTCAAATTGTTTACAGTTTTTCCAAGAGACTTCAGAACCATTCCCTGGAGTGAATTATTTCCAATGGTGAAGAGTAATGGATGGATGGCATGAGATTCTCAAAAAAATCTTGCTCCTATTTCAGAAGTGTCACTCCAGCCCCTTGAAGGTCCAGGAAACCTGGCTGAGTAGTGTGGTCTATGGAGGTGCATGGGCTTCAGAATCAGGCCAACGTTGATCCTGAGTCCCAGCCAGCTGCTTAGTAGCTGTGGGATAGTTACACAAGACACATCTACAAGAAAAGTCATGATAAAATTGATTGCAAAAACAGCAATTTGAAAAATTTCTTATTGTATTCATGTCCTTGGAAATGGCTTTTATAGTCGTTCCTATCAAGAGACAGATTCTGTTTCCCAAACCTTGAACTTCTCTTGACTTATCTGCACTGGCACAGGGTGCCAGTTTGGGGCCCAGGTTTAAAGGTCCTAAATGCTTCTGTTATCTTTTTCAGAATTCTTCCATCTCTATGACAACAAGCCCATTTTAGCTTTCTGGAGAATAGCATCTGAGAAAAGCCAAAGTGCCTCAGTTTACAGACAGCTCACTCACAGAAGCAGAGCCACCTAATTCACCAGCATCTAACCACTCACACCTGAAGGAGCCAAACTGAGCCCAGAAGAATGGCCCGGCTGAGCCCAGCCTAAATTTCTAACCAGCTCAATCCTGAGCTAGTATGTTTCGGGATTGTTATGCAGTTATAAGTTAGTAATATATACACCCATTAAAGACAGGATCTCAGGACAGATTGATCACAAATAACCTGCAAATGCTTGCCACCCTGTAAGTATTGATTTTCTTTTTTCCTTTATTTAAAGTTAGATTTGTTGTAAGATGATATTGAGTTACACAGAAGTTAGGCAGGAGAATAGGGTTTGGAGGCAGGGAACTTAAGGCCAATTCGTGCTGACTTCCTACAAGAAAAAACACCAAGGTCTGGGAGCAGGGAACCTAAAGCCAGTTAACGTGAACTTCCTACATCTAAACCAAAAGGAAAGACCTCATCTACACCCGAGTAGCAAAGGATCGAAGGCGACTGTCGCTACAACCCTCCCCCTTGTACCAGTTCTCTGATAGAAAAGGACAGTGCCTTGGAGTGGCCGTGGGCCAAGCACAGGCCATGCCTTCATCTGCATAGGGTACCAATTCGCCTCAACCTTTGATTAGCCAAGGACCAAATCCTTCATTCAGATAAGGGGTAGCTGATAGGAACCTCAAAAGGAGTACTTAAAACCCAGAAAACATTGTAACCGGGTCCTTGGGCGGCTTGCTGGGGCTCACACCCACCCTGTAGAGTGCTTTCTCACTTTAATAAAATCTTGCTTTTGCTATTCCCTTCCTGTTTTTCATTCCTTTGTGTGCTTTGTTCAATTTTTTTGTTCGAAATGTCAAGGACCTGGACAGTTCACACTCACGGCCTTCCTTCTGGTAACAGAAGTGCAGGTATATGTGGATGCATGTGATTGGTACTTAAACTCACACAGTGCCCCATACCACAGGAGAAAAACACACAGTTCCAGCCTGGCAATTAGGTCCAAAGATAAATAGCAAAACAAGAAGTTTGCCTTTAATCTATTCCCTCCACATCTAAACTCTGGAGGGCAAGGCTGTGAGGAGATCTGAAGACATGGTGCTCTCTCTTCCTGTGGACCCATCATTCCTTGTTTACCATCTGATATTTGAAAAGAAGAGGAACCCCTGAGAAAGGAGGCAGAGGCTGGTTAGGAAGATAGGGAGGGAAGGTCTTGGGAGATGAAAAACACCCACGGGACCACACCTGCACCACCCATGTAGCTAGCAGGAAGAAATGTGGTTAAGAACTTCCTCTTATGCCAGGGTGTTGATCAGAAGAGACTGTCCCACTTAGGCCCAGGTGTAATGAATCAACCTAAATGTCATTAACTTGACCCAGCTCCTTATAATGTTACTAACATGACATAAATATTTTGGTTTTAGCTTCACTCTTTCCACCTGCTGTCGGTTTTGCTTGGGCACTCATGGGTAATAACCAAGATGGAGTCACTGTGGTCAACTCCAGGCATGCACAGATACAACACCCTTAGCGGGGAAATTTACCCCTCCCATTTGGGCAGAACCCACAGAAGACTTCCTCGTTCTTGCCACATAAAAGACCCAGAACTCAGCCCCATTTCTGGCAACCTGCTTTCATGTCCCCTTTCTGCTGAGAGCTTTCCTTTTGCTTAATAAATCCTATTCTGCTTTATTCACTCTCTGATGTCTGTGTGCCTTATTCTTCCTGGCCATGGAACGAGAATCCACACCTGGCTGAACTGAGGATACCACGACACTGGCACCAAACCGCAACTGGGAGACCGTGGTCTTCACGTGGACGCTCTCAGCTTGCAGCCCCTGCTCTCTCTAGAGGCACTGTCCCACCCACCCTTGAGCCTGAGGAGAACAGTTGGTAGAGAGGCTGTTCCCTCACAGCAGAAAAGAAGTGTTCAGGCCCTCACTTCCCTGAGGGAAGAGAGCCCTCATGGCTGCACTCAGTGTGGCTGCCACCTGCCATATGTAGCTACTGGGTACCTGGAATATGGCTGGTTTGAGGTAAAATGTGCTGGAAACATAAAATACACAGTGAGTTTAGAAGAATGAGGTCAGAAATATACCTTATTTCTAATTATATATTGATCACATATTAAAACAATAATATTTGGGGTTTAAATTTTTTATTTTATTTATTTATTTATTTTGAGATGGACTCTTGCTCTGTCACCAGGCTGGAGTGCGGTGGCACGATCTTGTATCATTGCAACCTCCGCCTCCCGGGTTCAAGCAATTTTCCTGCCTCAGCCTTCCCAGTAGATGGGACTACAGGCACACGCCACCATGCCTAGCTAATTTTTTGTATTTTAGTAGAGACGGAGTTTCACCAGTTTGGCCATGATGGTCTCGATCACCTGACCACGTGATCCACATCAGCTTCCTAAAGTGCTGGGATTACAGCCGTGAGCCACTGGGCCCGGCCAATATTTTGGATACAATAGGTTAAAATTATCACAAACAATTTCACTTGCTTCTTTTTCTTAGTTTTGATGTGGCTAATAAAAAATTGAAAATTCACAAATAGCTAACATTTTATTTTTTAGAGGTTCGCTTTCCTCTTCAAATCTCAGGTATCCTACTCAAAAGACCACAGGCCAGAAAAGTTACGATATCTAAAATATTAAAATTATTATATTGTTTCCATTTGTGAACAAGTGTGTGTCTGTGTGCATGCGCGCGCGCGCGTGCGTGCACAAGGTTAAAAATGAACCATGTGCAGAGCCAGGCCTAGCACAGAGAGAAAGCCCTGACTCTAAGTGCCTGGAGGCACGAGTCTGTCACTCTTGCCTCAATTAGTATACTGTGTTTTCGCAATTTCTGTCACTCAAAGCCTGAGGGCGTGAAGCTTCGAGCCCTATCCAATCAGGCCGCTGGACTGAGAACTGCCCAATCAGGGATGCAGCCGGAGAGGAGAGGGCGGCATCCGGGATCTGGCGCGGCTTTTGCCTTTCGCTCCAGCCTGAGCTCGGTTAGGGCCTCGCCGTCCTGCTTCCACCCCTCAGGGAGGCCTCCGTGATTCGGCCTCAGCCTCCGTCGCTCTGTGACCTGTGGGTATTGGATGATTCCTAGCTGAGACTCTGCTACACCCCTGAAGTGGGGAAATGGTGAGTGTGTGGGGCAGGTCCTCCCGAGGCGACTGGGGAGGCCTCATCAGAACCGACGGGAAATGGCGGCGGCGGGACCGAGTCTGTGAAGAGAGTCCCCTCTGCCGCCGCTCAGCCCTCGGGCCTCAGCCCCCTCCGGTGAGGGACTCTGGTTTCTGTCGGTTCCCGCAGGGTGGCTCTGGCCCAGCCTGCAGCCCTCCTTGTGCAGCTCTGCCCCCGCAGCCGCGCACCTTCCCTGGGCTGTGGGGTGAGGAGGAGCTCATCTGGAAGACGCCGACGCGGCGTGCGCAGTGGGCGCGTGGGAGGAGCTGTGGTCTGGGGGTCCCGTCCCTACTTGACCTGTTCGGAATGATGTCAAGGCCCCATCAAAACATAGAGTTCATGTGAGCAAACGGGGACTCATTAATGGGACAGCGCCGACCATGGCTCGTGGTTTGGGGGCTGCTGGCGGGTCTTAAAGGAAAGGCTTTTGTGAGGTGTGTGAGGAAGCGAAGCAAATCACCCTCCCGCTCCCACTTTCCCACCAGTCCCCTTGCCCTGTGCGCCTCCTCCGCGTGGCTGTTCCGGAGTCGCATCTTTTAGAATATGCTAGTGTGGGCGCGCACAGCGCTTCGCTGAGTTCTGTGAGTAGTTCTGCCATATTATTGAACTTGAGGAGGGTGTGGGCGCCCCTGGTTTGTAGGCGGGAGTTCAGAAATGAAGACGGGTGTCCAGAGGCAGGGACCGGTGCCTGCAGGGGGGCAACTGCGAGAAGAGCGCTGAGCTTGTGGGGTCTGCGCTGACTCTGGGTGGCGTCTTTAGTGAGTTGCTGGACACCGCTTTGGGGTTGGAGCATTGACTGGTGTTGAGCAAACTCCTCACGTTTTCTGTCAGAAGAAAGACAGGGCTGAGCCTGGGCTGGAGGGAGTAGCATGGTGTCTGCGGGAGGCGTGACTGGGTTCTGCACATGCGCAGTCCTGCTGGGCCCTGTCCTGTTCCTCCAGGTCTCCTCCGAGGGAGAGAGGGGACTGGAAACTTAGAGGAAAGGAGTTCTGAGAAACATCCTTCCTCACACCATGCTGCCAGCCCCCACCCAATGCTAACCCACTCCTGAGCCCACCCACTGGGCATTGGCATGGCCACACTCCTTCCAGGATAGGTTTCTACCCTCAGAAATTGTGCCCAATGGCAGCTTTGCTCCTACAGTTTTCTCCCAAGAACACACAAAGTGCCCAGAAGACTCCTGGCTCATCTCAACCCCAGATGTGTAGCAGGAATCTGCTTTCTTCACCACCCAGTCTTCTAGACCACCTGATCCTAATCTCCTCTGCCCTTATGGACTCAGGAATCAGTCAGAGTGTAGCCCTGCGTCGGCCTGCACTTATAGTACAAACCAGTGCTTTAGTCAGTCCTGCCTTGCCCCCACCCAAGGCTCTTGATGGCACCTTCCTCTCTTCTGCTCTTTCCTTCCCCACAAATCCTCTTTCCTGTGTTCACAGTGTGCCCAAGTCCATCCCTCAGGTGCCTACAAGAATTCAGACGTTAGTAAGTTCAAGACCATGCCTTTAGAACAGGCTGTTGTAGGACCAAATACAAATTAGAAGCTTAATGCTTTCTCTTTAGAGTGTGGGAAGAATTTTTGCTCTTCTCCCTTTTCTTAAAGCATTTAATTTGAAAACTTTTATATTTAAATATTTTCTCTGCTTCTTTGAAAAATATATAAATCATTTTTATCAGTTAACTAGGTCATTTGTCTTTTTCGACTGAAAATTGTCTTTATCTAGGATCTGGAAACTATTGTCTTGAAATGTAAATCGCAAGAGTCTATACACCCTATGCCACAGTTTTTGTAGGAAAGTAGGGGGCTGCCTTCAGCAGGTACCTGGCTCAACATTTCAAAACTACGTCTTACCATGAAGATGTGGGAAGTTTTTTTGTTGCTGTTGAATGTTACCAATTAGAAAACCCTGCTGGGACTACAGGCGCCCAGGTGACCTCTCAAATTACTAGGTGACATAAACTGTGTATGACAAATGGTGCTGTCATGTCTTGTACTTGAGAACTAATTACGGTGATGTTCTTTCTGTATTTGCAATCTATTAGTTGATTGCCTGTGATGCATATCATAGTTTGGTATAATTAAATAACAGAACATTTTCTTGCTGTTCTGTTATTGTGGGGAGTATTTTAGGATTAGAGATGATTTTGCTTTTAGTTATAGTTACCACACTGTTCAGAATTACCAGATTTATACATAAAGTGCCCACTAGGCCTCACTTGAGAGAAAACCTTTTTTCTAAGGATTCCAGTCACAATCCACAATTTTGTGGCAAAGTGCACAAAGTGTAGCAAAGTGCTCCTCAAAGCTGCAAAAAAAAAACAGCCGGGTGCAGTGGCTCACACCTTTAATCCCAGCACTTTGGGAGGCTGAGGTGGCCAGATCACGAGGTCAGGAGATTGAGACCATCCTGGCTAACACCGTGAAACCCTGCCTCTACTAAAAATATAAAAAATTAGCTGGGCGTGGTGGCAGGCACCTGTAGTCTCAGCTACAGGGGAGGCTGAGACAGGAGAATGGCATGAACCCGGGAGGCGGAGACTGCAGTGAGCCAAGGTCGCGAGACTGCACTCCAGCCTGGGCAAGTGCTGGTGAGAGTGAGACACCATCTCAAAAAAAAAAAAAATCTCTCTATTTGGGATCTCTATTTGGGAACAGTCACTTCTAAAGCAGTTAGACTAGATTTCTACAAAAATAACTTCTCAGGACAGCAATCAGTTATTCCATTTCTTTTAGCGCTCCTGGCATCTTTAGATCTGACACTGGTTCAGACATCATGGGGTCCATAAACCCAACCAGGATCACATAAGTGCATTAATTAAACCAGAGAACTTCAATTCTCTCTCTTCTCCCCTTGCCCAAATGCCCACAAATGTGCATAGCTTACCAGCCTTCCAAGACCTAAATGTGCAGTTCCAAATTCTAAATTAATATCCTGGGATTTGAGAAGAAAACGGCACTTTTGTCTGAGAAATACAAGTTCTTTTAATTATCAGACCCAGAGATTTGTTAAAATGAGACCGCAGTCCTACTTTTCCCCACGTTGAACTATTTATTTTTTGAAATTCCTTGCTATTGCTACCAGTGGCTATAAATTAACCTAATAATACCACAATGGACACTATAATGCACACCCTATGGCTTAACATATATATAGCCAGACACTAACCAGTGTTACTTCTATAAACCAATAGGAATGTCTGAGAACTTTCTATCAGTCCCCTCTCTGCCTTCTTTTTTGCCTTTAAAAATACACTTGTAACTGCTTCTAATTGGAGTGTATGTTCAGGGCAGCTTTATACTCCGGGCTTGCAGTCTTCAAGCTTTGGCCCAAATAAACTCTCTAGTTATGTTTACCCCAGCTTTTTCCTTTTAGGTCAAAATATTCTTCAGAATGTGTTGAAGGAGCCTCCATGAGAGGATCTCTCTGGTTTTACTCTGTTTGCTGTAATCCCCAAGAATGCAGAGGCACATTGATTCTGAGAGGAGAGACCCTCTCATATTGTTTTATATTGTTTCATACTCAGTAAAAACAACAAGGAAGTAAAATCAAAGACAGGCAGCCCGGCGCCAGGCCTCAGCCTGCCTGGCCTAAACCCAGTAGTTAAAAATCAACTTATGAATTAGAAGCCGATGTTATTCATAGATTCCAAACATTGTATAGAAGAACATTGTGAAACTCCCTGCCCTGTTCTGTTTGTTCCTGATCACCGGTGCATGCAGCCCCTGTCACATACCCCTTGCTTGCTCAAATCAATCACGACCCTTTCATGTGAAATCTTTGGTGTTGTGAACCCTTAGAAGGGACAGAAATTGTGCACTCAGGAAGCTCGGATTTTGAGACAGTAGCTGGCTGATGCTCCCAGCTGAATAAAGCCCTTCCTTCTACAACTCGGTGTCCGAGAGATTTTGTCTGTGGCTCGTCCTGCTACAATTCCACCTAGAATCTGCACATAAAAGCTGGCTTCTGCCTAGGATTCACAAGATAGTGCCAGACTTTGGGTTGAAGACATACAGAAAACTCACAGAAGGCATTTTCTGCATCATGAGAGGTCAACATAGACATCTTAAACCACACTTTCAGAGTGGAGCCCTTTGAGTTTTCCAGATCTTGTCTAGTCACCTGGTACAACTATGTGAGAGGCTTCTGGTGTGAACAGAATCCTGTGGCAGAATCTGTAAGTGTAAACAAGCACCTTAGCAGTGGGAGGTCAGGTCCACAAAATATCCAGAGCCATAATCACAACCATAATCACTAGTCTGCCATCCTGTATACTGTGGTACTGGAGTACTTTTATCTTTCCTCTTGTCTCAGAGTTAGCTGATCAGGGACAGTGCATATGACATCTGGATCCAGGATCTGCAGCTCTACCAGGGCAGTTCTGTTTTCCGTTTGCACTCCACAAAGTTAGCCTGAGTCTCTCCTGCCTGGATCACTATGGGGGCTTCAGCCCAGGGTCACTGAGGACACTCTCACCAGCATCAGTGAGTTATTTGAGACATTTGAGGATGTCCTGTGCAGACTGGGGTCAGTGTGACAACAAAGTCTAATTCTGGTTCCATTTTCAGAGAAAGAGAAATGACTTATCCAGGGTTTGTTCCTCCCCTCACAGAAAGAATCTCCTTGTTCATAACAGATAAGAGTTGTTCCAGTTTTTTTGGTTCTTTGGTGAAAATGAGGAGATCTAGAGACTCAAACTGATCAATAAGTAATTGCTTCTATTTCTTATGGTAATTAGAAAAAGAAATGAACCAGTCATGGTCCCTACCATCAAGTAACTTGCAGTCTGGAGCACAAAGATGGAAACTGTACAGGAGACTTAAGCTTCATTTGGGTTACTTTTATTGTTTTGTGAGTTTTGATGCCTCCACCTGAAGGGCTATTCGTGGACTGAAGAGAATTTGTTGTTGTTATTATTATTATTTGTATTGTTTTTAGCTTGTGAATAATAAGTATTTGGCTCTTAATATAATTGGTCTAGAAAAAATAAGGATTTTGATTAAGTTCCTTCTTACTGTATGTTGTAATATAGACAGGGAAGTGGCGAAAGTAGGTTAAAATCACACAAACTCTGGGAATAAAATCTCTCTTTGTCAGGCTTAGAAAAAACAAAACTGAAAACACTTAATGGCCTAGAGAGCAGAAGCCTAGGGCCCACTGTCTGTCCCAGCTCTGCCCAGATCCACCCTCTGCTGAATCTTGTCCAGGTCTGACCCCACACTGAAATCTCTCACAGAACTGCTTAGAGGAGATAAGAGTTTGGGGTGGCTACTCCTACTGCCACTCCAGAGCTGGTGCTTCCAATTTCCTGAAACAGAAAAGCAGATAAATGGGGAAAAGCAATATACTTTTGTGCCTTAAATTCTTTTTTATAAAATTAAAACCAGTGTTTCTAGAGACATCTCATCCAGCAATCTGTTCTCCAGCCCTATAGTTTTAGTGTTTGTTTTTCTTTACAATTTTCAAAGTAAATACAAATACAAAAATAAAAAATTCCTCTGAATTGCACTTAACACTTTCTTTCTGTTTCTCTCCCATCTATCTATATTGAACTATTCTATACATTTTTTAAAAAATCAGTCATAGG
This sequence comes from Homo sapiens, assembly GCF_000001405.40. Taxonomy (NCBI): domain Eukaryota; kingdom Metazoa; phylum Chordata; class Mammalia; order Primates; family Hominidae; genus Homo; species Homo sapiens. The sequence continues at coordinate 391,937 of NC_000004.12, forward strand.
AAAACAAGAAGAAATAGAAATGCCAGGCCCTGCATTTAAATCCTGGGAATTATGGGACACTTACTACCCACCTCCCAGCATGTTATGAGAATTAACGCACATAATGTGAGCTTCCCAGCAGAGGGCTCTGTGACATACTCCTGCACACATAGTACATGCTCCATAAAGATCACATTAATGCATGTGCACGTGTTTTTCAAATGCAGACTTACTCAGACATTGCCACCATCTCCAGCCTCTGTAACCTTTGAAGGGCCTGCAGAGAATGTCATGTTTCAGGATGATGATTGGTAGTCTTGTCTTCAGGTGAAAAGTATTTGTGTTGGGATAAGGGACCCTGTGTGCTGTGCCTGCTTTCTCTAGCTGAGTGTTACTATAATGGATCTAGAGGGAGGAATATCAGCATTAACAGGAGACTTGCTATAAGAAGCTGTGTAATTCATGGACCCTTTTCAAACCTCCAGAATTTTGTTACTTACAGTAAGGCTTAGAATAGCAAATAATTTATATGGACATTGAAGTCTGAAAGCCAGTGCTTAGCTAAGTGACTCTCAGCTGAGTCTTCTAATAGTATCACATGGACTGTTTGAAGAGAAACAGCCACTTTTCCCCTCCCCACAGATCCTGTCTATTGTTCTGGATGGAAACATCCCTGTTCTTTAAATTAAAACATGATTCTACAGCCAGGCCAGGGTCAAGCATGAGGGCTTCCAGATACTTAATGAGAGGTGAGTTCACCCTTTGTTCCAGGAGGTCACAGGGTCTACTCTGCTTGGTTTTCATAAGGGCAGGTCAGTGTAGCCCGTATTTCCATTGTAGCAACAGAAATTTCTGGCATGCTGTAGAAAATGAAGTAGAGATTCCTCTTCAAAGGGACTTTCCTCCCAGTCTAATTGAGAATAAATAGTAACCTCTCTTAGAAGCAAAATTTACTCAAAGACCTATGCTGGTATTTTTAAATATCTGCTAACCGTAATAAAGAAATCAATATACTTTGTATTCTTAGCTCCCACATTTTAGCCTAAGATATTTGCCCTGGGATGCCTAAGCAGGTCCAAGCAAGTATTAGGTCATAGGCTGTTCCTCTTACTTATTTGGAGGTGTTTTTGGCCTTTCTCAGCATTCCACAAGTTACTTCCTCTTTTCCTTTATTCTCCTCTGCCTTCCCCTCTTTTGGAAAGTTCTAAATTGCTAGCCAGTCGGGACAAGGACAAAATGTGAGGTCCTATTCCAGCCAATGGAAACCAGACACAGCCATAGGGTGGATGCATCAGGTTATAAATGACCCTGCCTCCTTTATTCATGTGTGCTCTCATGGCAAGACTGCTAGTGAGTGGCACCCTTTCTACAGAAAGTAAATTAGCCTTGCTAAGAAGATCCTTTGTCCCAGTGTTGATTTTTGTTGACACCGAATACCCATTCCTGACACATGCCGTCCTTTTTCCTCAGAGTTATGGAATAATTTAGAGAACATTACTGTGTTGAAAGTTATTTTATCAGATAATTATAGTCAGTCCCATAAGTCAGAACCAGCTCACATAACTCATTTCTCCTGTAGTCAATTTAAGAACTCTGTCCTTTGATAAATATGTGTTTTCAGGAACTCTTAACATTCAGGGATGTGGCCATAGAATTCTGCCCAGGAGAGTGGAAATGTCTGGATCCTGCCCAGCAGAATTTATATAGAGATGTGATGTTGGAGAACTTCAGAAATCTGGTTCCCTGGGTGAGGATAACTGTAAAATGTAATTGCTAATGCTCCCTCAGAGTTTCTGAAAAGGCTGCATTTTTTTCTCATGTTCACAAATTAGGGGTGTCTTTAGTCCCATGCTGTTAAATCTTCTAAGAATTCTCTCTTTTCTTTAGAGATCTCCCTTCAAGTTTACATGGACAGCCAATGTCCACTTTATCACTTATAAGGGGCTGCATGATCTGACTGCTGTTCCATTGCTTTTGCAGACATAGGAATATTTGTGTTATTGAGGAGCTCTATGTTAATTTATTTTTTTCAAGTATTGTTTTTGCATCATGTCTAAAATATTTAAGGCAAGTAGTGGACGTATTAGGATTTGGGTCAGAAATCCCAGGAACACCAGAGACAGATGTTGCAGATTTTCTGCTTACTGATTTTTAATCCTATTGCAAATGTAATTCCACAAAAATTCTTTGCTAGCAATTTTTTCAGAACAATAAGCATTTTCCTAAATATGAAAAATGTTGATTGTACTTCAAAATGTTATTGTTTTAGTGTAAACTGAGATTTGTAATTTAAACTCTATATGTGTAAATGAAAAGTTATAATATAGTTTAAAGCATGGGTTTCCAACCTTTTGGCTTCCCTGGGCCACATTAGAAGCAGAATTGTCTTGGGCCACACATAAAATACACTAACACTAATGATACCTGATGAGCTTTAAAAGAAAAGTTCATGAATAGTTTTTATGATATCTACCACAACAGGTATGCAAAATATTCTTACATTCATAGGGTTGGACACCACTTGATTAAAGTATCTACTCACCTTCTAGATTTCTTAAATGTACTGTCATAAACCAGCTTAGAACACTGCTAAATGTATATTATTATTTCTTAATAACTATTATCTTATAATTTTAGTAAGAAGCCTACTGGGATTCTGTTATTGAGATCTATCTGTATCTAAAAATGTGGGTCTCATGCATATACACACCTATATAATTTATATATGTGTATTGTAAATTCTCACTTAACATTGTTGATAGGTTCATGGAAACTGTAAATGAAGCAACATATTCTTTAAAAAAAAATAATTTTGACTGGGCACGGTGACTCAAACCTGTAATCCCAGCACTTTGGGAGGCTGAGGTGGGCAAATCATGAGGTCAGGAGTGCAAGACCAGCCTGGCCAACATGGTGAAACCCCATCTCTACTAAAAATACAAAAAATTAGCTGGACATGGTGGCATGCACCTGTAATCCTAGCTACTCGGGAGGCTGAGGCAGGAGAATCGCTTGAACCCGGGAGGTGGAATTACCATAGTTTAATTGATAGAGCTCTCCCTCTCCCTCTCCCTCTCCCCACGGTCTTCCTCTCCCTCTTTCCACGGTCTCCCTCTGATGCCGAGCCGAAGCTGGACGGTACTGCTGCCATCTCGGCTCACTGCAACCTCCCTGCCTGATTCTCCTGCCTTAGCCTGCCGAATGCCTGCCATTGCAGGTGCGCGCCGCCACGCCTGACTGGTTTTCGTATTTTTTTGGTGGAGATGGGGTTTCGCTGTGTTGGCTGGGCTGGTCTCCAGCTCCTAACCGCGAGTGATCCGCCAGCCTCGGCCTCCCGAGGTGCCGGGATTGCAGATGGAGTCTCGTTCACTCAGTGCTCAATGGTGCCCAGGCTGGAGTGCAGTGGCGTGATCTCGGCTCGCTACAACCTCCACCTCCCAGCAGCCTGCCTTGGCCTCCCAAAGTGCCAAGATTGCAGCCTCTGCCCGGCCGCCACCCCGTCTGGGAAGTGAGGAGCATCTCCGCCTGGCCGCCCATCGTCTGGGATGTGAGGAGCCCCTCTGCCTGGCTGCCCAGTCTGGAAAGTGAGGAGCGTCTCTGCCCGGCCACCATCCCATCTAGGAAGTGAGGAGCGCCTCTTCCCGGCCGGCCACCATCACATCTGGGAAGTGAGGAGCCTCTCTGCCGGGCCGCCCATCGTCTGAGATGTGGGGAGCACCTCTGCCCTGCCGCCCCGTCCAGGATGTGAGGAGCGTCTCTGCCCGGCCGCCCCGTCTGAGAAGTGAGGAGACCCTCTGCCTGGCAACCGCCCTGTCTGAGAAGTGAGGAGCCCCTCTGCCCGGCAGCTGCCCCGTCTGAGAAGTGAGGAGCCCCTCCGCCCGGCAGCCACCTCGTCCGGGAGGGAGGTGGGGGGGGTCAGCCCCCCGCCTGGCCAGCCGCCCCATCCGGGAGGTGAGGGGCGCCTCTGCCCGGCCGCCCCTACTGGGAAGTGAGGAGCCCCTCTGCCTGGCCAGCCGCCCCGTCCGGGAGGGAGGTGGGGGGGTCAGCCCCCGCCCGGCCAGCCGCTCCGTCCGGGAGGGAGGTGGGGGAGTCAGCCCCCCGCCTGGCCAGCCGCCCCGTCCGGGAGGGAGGTGGGGGGGTCAGCCCCCCGCCTGGCCAGCCGCCCCGTCCGGGAGGGAGGTGGGGGGGTCAGCCCCCCGCCCGGCCAGTCGCCCCGTCCGGGAGGGAGGTGGAGGGGGTCAGCACCCCTCCCGGCCAGCCGCCCCATCCGGGAGGTGAGGGGCGCCTCTGCCCGGCCGCCCCTACTGGGAAGTGAGGAGCCCCTCTGCCCGGCCACCACCCCGTCTGGGAGGTGTACCCAACAGCTCATTGAGAACGGGCCATGATGACAATGGCGGTTTTGTGGAATAGAAAGGGGGGAAAGGTGGGGAAAAGATTGAGAAGTCGGATGGTTGCCGTGTCTGTGTAGAAGGAGGTAGACATGGGAGACTTTTCATTTTGTTCTGTACTAAGAAAAATTCTTCTGCCTTGGGATCCTGTTGATCTGTGACCTTACCCCCAACCCTGTGCTCTCTGAAACATGTGCTGTATCCACTCAGGGTTGAATGGCTTAAGGGCGGTGCAAGATGTGCTTTGTTTAACAGATGCTTGAAGGCAGCATGCTCCTTAAGAATCATCACCACTCCCTAATCTCAAGTACCCAGGGACACAAACACTGCGGAAGGCCGCAGGGTCCTCTGCCTAGGAAAACCAGACCTTTGTTCACTTGTTTATCTGCTGACCTTCCCTCCACTATTGTCCTGTGACCCTGCCAAATCCCCCTCTGCGAGAAACACCCAAGAATGATCAATAAAAAAAAAAAAAAAAAAATTTGATAGAAACAAGTGTTATGTTTGAATGCATATAACAACATTGTTTTATTTAACGATGCAGTTTTCAAGAACCTATTTTGAACATTAACTGAGGACTTACTGTACTTCTGTGTTTGTGTGACATGGATTTTTCTGATACATAAAAATGGCATAACTATATATTTAATGTGTACAATGTAATGATTTGATATGCATGTACATTGTGAAACAAAATACAGTCAAGTTGATGAACATATCTATTACCTCAAATTTTTTTTGTAGTAAGAACACTTAAGATCTACCGTTGTAGGCCGGGCATGGTGGCTCACACTTGTAATCCCAGCACTTTGGGAGGCTGAGGTGGGTGGATCACGAGGTCAGGAGTTCGAGACCAGCCTGGCCAACATGGTGAAACCCTGTGTCTATTAAAAATACAAAAATTAGCCGGGTGTGGTTGGACGCACCTGTAATCCCAGCTACTCAGGAGGCTGAGGCAGGAGAATTGCTTGAACCCAGCAGGGAGAGGTTGTAGTGAGCCGAGATCACGCCACTGCACTCCAGCCAGGGCAACAGAGTGAGACTCTGTCTCAGGAAAGAAAAAAAAAAAGCAAATTATAAGCATACATTACAGTATTACTAACTATAAACACAATGCTATTTGGCTAATCTAATGCTAATTTACATTAGATTTCTCAGACTTGCTCAATTTATAACTAAAAATTTGTACTCTTTGAACAACATCGCCTCCTATTTCCACCCTCAGACACTAACAACCACTATTCTACACTCTGCTTCTGCTGGGCGTGGTGGCTCACACCTGTAATCCCAGCTCTCAGGGAGGCAGAGCTGGGAGGATAGCTTTAGCCCAGGAGTTTGAGACCTGCCTGGGCAATATAGCAAGACCCCGTGCTCCATAAAAAGAAAGAAAAAAAAAAGACAAAAAAATAATAAGTGTAACTACACTCTGCTTCTATGAGTTTATGTTTTTAGATTTCTCATCTAACTTAAAACAAGCAGTTTCTTTGTCTTTCTGTGTTTGGCTTATTTCATTTAGCATAATGTCCTCCAGGTCTGTCCCTGTTGTAAATGGCTAGATTTCCTTCTGTTGACGGCTGAATAGTATTCTGTGTATATATACACACGCACCATATTTTGGCTATTGTAAACAACACTACAGTGAACATAGGGCTGAAGATATTTCATCAAGATAGAAATTTTATTTCCTTTGGTAGGATGCCCAGAAGTGGTATTGCTGGATTATACAGTATTTCTATTTTTATTTTTTACTGGTTTTTATGATGACTTTATTTATTTACATCTCACCAACAGCATACAGATTTCCCTTGTATGTATGTCTTCAATGGGAAAAAAAGTAACCTTTTGTCTATTCTTGAATGGGTTATTATCGTTGTTTTGCTTTGAATTCTAGAAGTTTTTTGTATGTTTTGGATATTAACTTCTTGTTAGATATATGGCTTGCAAATATTTTCCTATGTTATAGGGTTTAAAAAAATTTTTTTCTTTGCTGTGCAGAAGCTGTTCGATTTGATGCAGTCCCACTTGTTTGTATTATTTGTTGCTATGCTTTGATCTCATCAAAAAAGTTAATGCCAAGACCAATATCAACAAAGTTTTTTTTTTTAATATGTTTTCTTCAGGAGTTTTAAGGTTTTATGTCTTACATTTAAGTCTTTCATTTTGAGTTAATTTTGGGGTATGGTATAAGAAAATATTTTACTTTTATTCTTTCACTTGTGGATATCCAGTTTTTCTGGCACCATGTATTGACAAGACTGTATTTTCTGCATTGTATATTCTTAGTGGCCTTGTCAAAGATTAGTTGACCTTGTATTCCTGGTTTTGTTTCTGGGCTCCCTATTTTGTTCCATTGGTTTTTGTATTTGTCTTTACGCATATACCATACTCTTGATTATTATAACCTTTAAATAAAATTTGAAATTAGAGAGTATGATACCCTCGCATTGTTCTTTCTCAAGATTGCTCAGGTTATTTAAAGTTCTTTAAGGTTACACTTAAATTTTACAATTGTGTTTTCTATTACTGTGAAAACTGCAACTAAAACTTTGATAGGGATCACATTGAATCTATAGATCATTTTGGATAATATGATACTTTGACAGTGTTAGTTATCCTAATGGAATATGTCTACATTTATTTGTGTCTACTTCAATTTCTGTCATCAATCTTATTGTATTTAATGTATAATTTTTTTATTGGTTATATTTATTTTAATTAAGTTTCTTATTTTTATACTATTGCAAGTGGAAATTGTTTCTTTTTTTGGAAAGTTTGTTGCTACTGTACGAAAATGCAAAAAATATTTGTATGTTGGGCCAGGTGCAGTCTCTCATTTCTGTAATCCCTGCCCTTTCAGAGTCCAAGGCAGGTGGGTCACTTGAGGACGGGAGTTTGAGATGAGTCTGGACAGTGCAGTGAGACCCTGTCTCCAAAAAAAAAAAAAAAAAAAGAAAAAAAAACCCACAAGTATTTTTATGTTGATTATGTATCTTGATACTTTAATGAATGCATTTACTAGTTCAAACAATTTTTGTTGTTTTACTCTAGGGTTATAATATATATATGCATGATCTTATTACCTACAAACAGTAACATTTTTACTTCTTTTCCAAGCTGGAGAGCTTTGTTCTCCTTTTCCTTGCCCAATTGTTCTGAAAGAAACTTCCAGAAATATGTTAAGGAAGCTGTGGCCCTGGAGGCAGGCCTGCAGATCTTGGCCTCAGCTGTGGTCTCTGAAGCAGCCCTGTGCCTGTGCATTTGAAGAATCTAACAAGGGTTTCTATAAACTATTTTTGACGGGTAAAGATTGTCATGCGCGTCCGTGTGAAGAGAGTCCACCAACAGGCTTTGTGTGAGCAACAAGACTGTTTATTTCACCTGGGTGCGGGTGGGCTAAGTCTGAAAAAGGAGTCAGCAAAGGGTGGTGGGATTATCATTATTTCTTATAGGTTTGGGATAGGCATACAAAGTACCTTCTTAAGGGTGGTATGGGGGAGAATATTACAAAGTACCTTCTTAAGGGCAGGGGAGAATATATGTATCAGGGTGGGGCAGGAACAAATCACAATGGTGGAATGTCATCATTTAAGGCTATTTTCACTTCTTTTGTGGATCTTCAGTTGCTTCGGGCCATCTGGATGTATACATGCAGGTCACAGGGGATATGATGGCTTAGCTTGGGCTTAGAGACCCGACATTCCTGTCTTCTTATATTAATAAGAAAAGGAAAACAAAATAGTGGTGAAGTGTTGGAGCGGCAAAAAATTTTGGGGGTGGTATGGAAAGATAATGGGTGATGTTTCTCAGGGCTGCTTCGAACGGGATTAGGGGTGGCGTGGGAACCTACAGTGGGAGAGATTCAACCGAAGAAAGATTTTGGGTTAAGGGGTGATATTGTGGGGTAGTTAGAAGGAGCATTTCTTGTATAGAATTATTGGTCATGGCCTGGATGCGGTTTTGTGTGAATTGAGAAACTAAACGAAAGACACAAGGCCGAGTAAAAGGAGGAGAAAAATAGGTATTAAAGGACTAAGAATTGGGAGTACCTAGGACGTCCAATTAGAGAGTGTCCAGGGGGGGTCAACGTTATCGTTTGCTTGGTTGGTGAGTTTTTGGACTCTATCCTTGAGTTTTTTTATGTTGTCATATACCAGGCCAGATTGATTTAGGTAAAAACAACACTCTTCATTTAAAAATATACAAAGTCCTCCTTTTTCAGCAGTGAATAAATTGAGGCCTCAGCAGTTCTGGAGGACAACTGCAGCTAAAGAGTCAACTAGGGCTTGGAGAACAGACAAACTTTGTGATATGTCTGTAATGCTAGCAGAGAAGTCATTAGAGAGGCTGCAGAATGTTGTGACAGAGGTTAAGATGCCTGCTATTCCAGTTCCAAGTGCAATAGTGGAGGCAGAAAGTCTTAGACCCACAAGTAAAGGGATTAGTGGGATGACTCTTTTTTTGTCATGTTGGTGTCATGAGAGGGACAGGCAGTTTTTCGTTCCCATCTGCAAACTGGATTTGGGGGGTAAGGAAGACTAGAGTACATGTGCCTGTCCAGTTGGCAGGTAGGCACATGTAGGTGGAAGAGCCACATAAAAAGAAGAGACCTTGTGTCAGGCAGAACTGGAAATGTAAAGTGAAAAGGTGAGAGGGTGTACTGAAAGAGGAATCCTGCACCTAAAATCCTAGAGATCCAGCAAGGGCAGCAGCCATTAGAGGTTGTAATGGGGATTGATGGTGCAACTGTGTAGAGGGAGGGGTTTGGTTTTCATGGTGTATGAGAAAGCGCATAGTGTCTACAAGTAACCTTTCACTGCTATTCATGGGGCTGGGTATAAACAAGCAAGAGGAGGGGCTAGGAGGAGATTCAGATGAGCAGGGGGAGGGTAGCCAAGGATGGAGTGAGATGCAGGGTAGGTGTCTTCCTAAACAATAGTGACTGCCAATGCTTTTTAGTTTGTAACGATAGAGGGCTTATCAGTAATGCAAAGTTGGAATGCTCCCATCCGTTTGGTAATGTGTGTGGCTGGGTTCTGGAGATAAAGAGTAAAGGAATATTTGGACAGTGGAAGGTTGCCTGCAGGGATTCCAGTAGGCTGTTGTTGGGAGATGCGTAACGGAGCGGCAACAGGGATAATTGTTTGTGAGGTTAGGGGTCCAAATATGGGTGGGGGTGGAATTGACATAAGGAGAAAGGTGCTATAAGTAGATGCGGAGAAGTGTGGCAGACAGCTTGTTGGTGTGAAATGTCTGAGGAGTTCTCACCAAATCTGTCTAGAAAGTAAAGAAGTTCCCCAGGTGCGTAAATATGAGTGCTATCGAAGGAGGTTCGGAGGTGCAGGGAGACGGGAGAGGTAGCCCAATCGGCCTGTAGAGCGGGGTGGCTGTGTAAGAGCAGGAAGAAAGGGAAACACATAGCCAACAATTCTTTGCTAGAGAAGGATTGGAGGCAGTGAGGAGAGAGTGGGTGAAATTGACAGTATGCTGGAGGCAATTTGGGAGAGGTAAAGAGTGGCATAAGAATGGGAATGACAATAAGAGTGAGTATAAAAGTAAAGAATAGAACTTCATCAGGGTGGAAGTATTGGAGGGTGCCCTGTCAGCAAAGATCATCTATCCAGTCCAAGAGGGAGTCAAGAGTGGTGGTTTGGGGATAACACCAGGAGTTATCAGCTGTGAAGTCTTGGCAAAACAATGTAAACTGGCAGTGTAAACAAGAGCAGGTCATTTATGAGTAGTTGAGAATGGTGAATAGGAGTATGACTAGACAGAAGATAGCAGGGATGACAAGTTTTTGGGGTGTAGTCCAAGTAGTGGGGATGACTGCATAAAGCCCTGTTGCAAAGAGTAGGGTAAGGATGGATACACCTAACAGAATGAAGGGATGTATTAGGCTCATAAGGGTTATTATTATTCTTCAGAAATGCGAGTGAGTTTAAGGGAAGTAGGGGAGAGTACTTGTGACTTCCAGGAGGAAGAGGAGATATCAGGCTGGCTGGCTGATGGACACAGCTTTATTCTGGAATGGTGAACCCAATGGGGAGGGTCCTGCAGGTGGACGGCAGTTGGGGTACTATAGATGACTAAGTAGGGTCCAGTCCATTGAGGTGGTAGAGTTTGAGGGGTCAGAATCTTAACAAGAACTGATCGTCCAGCTAGGGTGTCTTTATATCGCTGGGAATCTGGAGTGGGCAAGAGAAGATTAGCAGCCTGGCGAATTTCATGTCTAGCCTGCTGGAGGACTGGAAGATAGTTGTCTAGAGGGCTGGTGTCTGGGACAAGGTTTGGGCCAAGTAAGAATGTGCGTCCATATAAAAATTCAAATGGACTGTGCCCGGTAGCATCTCGAGGACAGTTTCTAATTCTGAGAAGGGCAAGAGGTAAAAGTACTGTCCACTCCTTTTTAAGTTGGAGGCTGAGTTTGGTAAGGTGTGTATTTAAAAGACCATTAGTCCATTTTACCTTTCCTGAAGATTGAGGACGGTAAGGGGTATGAAGTTTCCACTGAATACCAAGAGTCTGAGAAACTGCTTTGGTGATTTGACTAATAAAGGCCTGTTATTGGACTGTATAGAGGTGGGAAGGCCAAACTGAGGAACTGTCTGACAAAAGGGAAGAAATGACCATGGTGGCCTTCTCAGACCCTGTGGGAAAGGCCTCTACCCATCCAGTGAAAGTATCTCCCCAGACCAAGAGGTATTTTAGTTTCCTGACTCGAGGCATGTGAGTAAAGTCAATTTGCCAGTCCTGGGCGGGGGTAAATCCCTGAGCTTGATGTGTAGGGAAGGGAGGGGGCCTGAACAATCCCTGAGGGGTAGTAGAATAGCAGATGGAACACTGAGAACTGATTTCCTTGAGGATAGAGTTCCATGATGGAAAGGAAATGAGAAGTTCCAAGAGGCGGGCTAGCAGCTTGTAACCTACGTGGAAGAGGTTATGAAATGATGATGTGTCCGGAATTGGTGGGTTCTTGGTCTCACTGACTTCAAGAATGAAGCCGCGGACGCTTGCGGTGAGTGTTATAGTTCTTAAAGGCAGCATGTCCGAGTTTGTTCGTTCTGATATTCGGTTGTGTTTGGAGTTTCTTCCTTCTGGTGGGTTCATGGTCTCGGTGGCTTCAGGAGTGAAGCTGCAGACCTTCGCGGTGAGTGTTACAGCTTATAAAGGCAGTGTGGACCCAAAGAGTGAGAAGCAGCAAGATTTATTGCAAAGAGGGAAAGAACAAAACTTCCACAGTGTGGAAGGGGACCCGAGCAGGTTGCCACTGCTGGCTCGGGCAGCCTGCTTTTATTCTCTTATCTGGCCCCACCCACATCCTGCTGATGGTCCATTTTACGGAGAGCTGATTGGTCTGTTTTACAGAGAGTTGATTGGTCCATTTTGACAGAGTGCTGATTGGTGCGTTTACAATCCCTGAGCTAAACACAAAAGTTTTCCATGTCCCCACTAGATTAGCTAGATACAGAAGGTCGATTGATGTATTTACAAACCCTGAGGTAGACACAGAGTGCTGATTGGTGCATTTACAAACCTTGAGCTAGATACAGAGTGCCGATTGGTGTATTTACAATCCCTTAGCTAGACATAAATGTTCTCCAAGTCCCCACCAGACTCAGGAGCCCAGCTGGCTTCACCCAGTGGATCCCGCGCCGGGGCTGCAGGTGGAGCTGCCTGCCAGTCCCACGCCGTGTGTCCGCACTCTTCAGCCCTTGGGTGGTCAATGGGACTGGGCGCTGTGGAGCAGGGGGCGGCACTGATTGGGGAGGCTCGGGCCACGTAGGAGCCCATCGCTGGGGGGGTGGAGGCTCAGGCATGGTGGGCCGCAGGTCCTGAGCCCTGCCCCGCGGGGAGGAAGCTAAGGCCCAGCGAGAAGTCGAGCACAGCAGCTACTGGCCCAGGTGCTAAGCCCCTCACTGCCTGGGGCTGGCGGGGCCAGCCGGCTGCTCTAAGTGCAGGGCCCGCTGAGCCCACGTCCACCCAGAACTCACACTGGCCCGCAAGCCCTGTGCGCAGCCACAGTTCCCGCCCACGCCTCTCCCTCCACACCTCCCAGCAAGCTGAGGGAGTCGGCTCCGGCCTTGGCCAGCCCAGAAAGGGGCTCCCACGGTGTAGCGGCAGGCCGAAGGGCTTCTCAAGTACAGCCAGAGTGGGTGCCAAGGCTGGGGAGGCACCGAGAGCAAGCGAGGGCTGCGAGGGCTGCCAGCACGCTGTCACCTCTCAATGATAGAATAGAATGGGCCTTTGAGGCTGGAAGGAGACATTTTCCTTGGTCCAAGAACCATTTGACTTGTGTGGGAAGAGATTAGATTGATAGGCGGAAGTTTCAGTGGGAGTATAGGTGGGAGTGACCGATGAGGAGAAAAACTGGCCATAAGGGACAGAAGTTGGAATGCTAGCTGCTTCTTTAGCTACCTTATCAGCATAAGCATTGCCCTGAGTGATGTGATCTGATGCCTTTTGATGGCCCTTGCAGTGAATGACTCCAGCTTCCTTTGGAAGGAAAGTGTCTTTGAGAAGAGTTTTTATTAAAGAGGCATTAATGATGTAGGACCCTTGCATAGCGAGGAAACCTCTTTCACCCCATATAACAGCATGTTGGTGCAGGATATGGAAGGCATATTTAGAGTCAGTATAAATATTGACATGTAATTCCTTGGCAAGAGTGAGGGCTCAAGTTAAGGCAAAGAGTTCAGTTTGCTGAGAGATAGTGGAGGGGGCAGAGTGGTAGCCTCAATGATAGATGTGGAAGATACTATAGCATAGCCTGCCTTTGCTGTTGAGTGGCAATTAGGCCTGGTGGAACTGCCATCAATAAACCAAGTGTGATCAGGGTGAGGAACAGGAAAGAAGGAAATATGGGGAAATGGAGTGAATGTGAGGTGGATCAGAGAGATACAGTCATGGGGGTCAGGTGTGGTATCTGGAATAATGTGGGAGGCCGGATTGAAGTCTCGGCCAGGAACAATGGTATTTGTGGGAGACTCAACAAAGACTGAGTATAGCTGAAGGAGCTGGGGGGCAGAAAGTATATGTGTCAAGCGTGAGGAGGAAAATAGATTTTGAAAGTTATGGGAACTGTAGAGAGTAAGTGGAGCATAGCTTGTGATTTTGAGGGCCTCTAAAAGTATTAAAGCAGCGGCAGCCACTGCACACAGACATGAGGGCTATGCTAAAAAAGTAAGGTCAAGTTGTTTGGATAGAAACGCTACAGGGCGCGGTCCCGGCTCTCGTGTAAGAATTCTGACCACACATCCCTGCAGTTTGGCTGTGTGTAATGAAAAATGTTGGGATGAGTTAGGCAGAGCTATGTGGGAGCAGCTTTTAGGGCTGTTTTTTAAGGAATGGAAAGAGGAGTGGGGAAAGGATTTAGGATTTGTGGGGTCAGCTAGGTTTATCTAGAACAGAATAATGGGTTGTGGAGGGAGGTACTGAGGATAGGAGAGCATATGGGTTTGGCACCACGGGGTGGATAGGCAAGACAATTTGATTGATAAGGCGCAGATCCTGAACTAACCTGTAAGACTTGTCTGGTTTTTGGACAGGTAAAATGGGAGAATTGTAAGGAGAGTTTATAGGCTTTAAAAGGCCATGCTGTAACAGGCGAGTGATAACAGACTTTAATCCTTTTAAAGTGTGCTGTGGGATGGGACATTGGTGTTGAGCGGGGTAAGGGTGATTAGGTTTTTTTTTTGAGACAGAGTCTCGCTCTGTAGCCCAGGCTGGAGTGCAGTGGCGCGATCTCTGCTCACTACAAGTTCTGCCTCCCGGGTTCACGCCATTTTCCTGCCTCAGCCTCTTGAGTAGCTGGGACTACAGGTACCCGCCACCACGCCCGGCTAATTTTTTGTGTTTTTAGTAGAGATGGGGTTTCATTGTGTTAGCCAGGATGATCTCGATCTCCTGACCTCGTGATCCACCCGTCTCAGCCTCCCAAAGTGCTGGGATTACAGGCGTGAGCCACCATGCCCAGCCGGGTGATTAGGTTTTAATGGGATAGCAACAGGTGTGCGATCAGTTGCCATGGAGGGAGTGGAGGTGTCCCATACTTGTGGGTTAAGGTTGGGGCTTTACGAGAGGAAGACGCGAAGGAGGCTTTGGGTTGGGAAGAAGGGTGGCAATGAGATGTGGCTGTAGTCCAGGAATAATCAGGGAAGCAGATAATTTGGTTAAAATGTCTCAGCCTAATAAGGGAACTGGGCAGGTGGGGATAACTAAAAAAGAGTGCATAAAAGAATGTTGTCCAAGTTGGCACCAGAGGGGGGAAGTTTTAAGGGGTTTCGAAGCTTGCCATTAATACCCACAACAATTATGGGGGCAAGGGAAACAGGCCCTTGAAAAGAAGGTAATGTGGAGTGGGTAGCCCCCGTATTGATTAAACAGGGGACGGACTTAACCCTCCACTGTAAGAGTTACCTGAAGCTCGGCATCTGTGATGGTCCAGGGAGCTTCCGAGGTGATCAGGCATGTCAGTCTTCAGCTACTAAGTTGAGGAAATCTGGGAAGGAGTTGGCTAAGGAACGTTGGGTTTGGTCTCCAGGGGCTTGAGGAGCGGTGGTGATGTGAGTCGGACAGTCTGACCTCCAGTGGGGGCCCACACAGACAGGGCACACCTTAGGAGGAATCCTGGGCTACAGGCATGCTGAGGCCCAGTGGCCAGGCTTTTGGCATTTGAAGCAAGGTCCATGAGGATGTTTTGAGGGACCCCTGGGAGCTGTGGCTTGGAGGTTCTGAAGTTCTTGTATGCTAGAGATGTGGTTGTGGGTTGTCTTACAGTGGAGGCAAGTAGCTGTAACTCAGAAATGCGTTGCTGTCTGGCTACCTCCTCCCTATTATTGTACACCTCGAAGGCGAGGTTGATTAATTCCCGTTGTGGGGTTTGAGGGTCAGATTCCAATTTTTGAAGCTTTTTCTCATGTCAGGAGCTGACTGGGTGATAAAATGCATATTAAGAATAAGGCGGGCCGGGCGCGGTGGCTCACGCCTGTAATCCCAGCACTTTGGGAGGCCGAGGCGGGTGGATCATGAGGTCAGGAGATCGAGACCATCCTGGCTAACAAGGTGAAACCCCATCTCTACTAAAAATACAAAAAATTAGCCGGGCGTGGTGGCGGGCGCCTGTAGTCCCAGCTACTCGGGAGGCTGAGGCAGGAGAATGACGTGAACCCGGGAAGCGGAGCTTGCAGTGAGCCGAGATTGCGCCACTGCAGTCCGCAGTCCGGCCTGGGCGACAGAGCGAGACTCCGTCTCAAAAAAAAAAAAAAAAAAAAAAAAAAAAAAAAGAATAAGGCGGCCTTCTGGCCCCTCTGGGTCTAGGACGTAAAGCATCTCAGGGTTGCTGCCAAGCGGGCCAGGAACCGGGCTGGGTTTTTATATTTGACGAAAAAGAGCCTAAACGCTAACTGATCTGGGAGAGGTCAGATAAAGAAAAAAGAAGCATTAACTTTGACTGTGCCTTTAGCTCCAGCCACCTCTTTAAGAGGAAATTGTTGGGCAGGTGGGGGAGGGCTAGTTGCAGAACGAAACTGTAAGCCAGACTGGGTGTGAGGAGGGGAGGTGATAGAAAGATTATAGGGTGGGGGAGCAGAGGCTGAGGAAGAACTGGGACCTGGCTCAGCCTGGCGAGGAGCAGCCTGGGGAGAAGGGGAGAGGTCAGATGAGTCTGTAGAAAACAAGGATTCAAAGGATTCAGATCTTGGGTTGGAGACTGAAAGAACAGACAGGAGAGAAAGAAGAAAGATTTGGGATGAGTCGGATTGGGAACAGAGACTAGGGAGGGACCAATGTGTAAAGAATGCCTGGACGTCAGGCACCTCAGACCATTTGCCCATTTTTCAACAAAAATTATCTAGATCTTGTAGGATAGACAAATCGAAAGTGCCATTCTCTGGCCACTTGGAACTACTGTCGAGTTTGTATTGGGGCCAAGTGGTACTGCAGAAGAAAATAAGGCATTTAAGCTTTAGGTCAGATGTGAACTGAAGAGGTTTTAAGTTCTTGAGAACACAGACTAAGGGAGAAGAAGGGGGAATGGAGGGTGGAAGTTTGCCCATAATGAAGGAGGTAAGTTTAAAGAGAAAGGTAGAGACAAAGAGAAGAGGGTGGGTGAGCAGCCCTGGGCTGCAATGTGGGTGAGCAGCCAAGCAGGTGTCCCCGCAATTGACTTGCCACCAAGGGAATGTGGGTGAATGACCAAGGCAGGCATCCCTGCGGTTATCAGACACCAATGGAATGTGGGTGAATAATCAGGCAGGCATCCCCATAACGATTAAACATCAAGGGAAGACTGTCTTCCTGAGTCTGTGACCGGCGCCAGAGTTTTGGGTCCACAGATAAAATATGTCTCCTTTGTCTCTACTAGAGAGGAAAAAGAACTGGAATTGGAAGGACAGGGAGATTGAAGGGTAGCGAGAGAGGAAGATTGAAGTGTAGTGAGAGAGGCTAGAGAAGAGTGAAGACTGCTTACCTGATTTGAAATTGATGAGATGTTCCTTGGGCTGGTTGGTCTGAGGACCTGAGGTTATAGATGGATCTCCTCACAGAGTGAGGGCGAGAACAGGGGACTGGTCTCCCAAAGGAGTCCCTCTGACCTGGGTCCTTGGCACCAAATGTCAGGCGTGTCCATATGAAGAGAGTCCACCAACAGGCTTGTGTGAGCAACAAGGCTGTTTATTTCACCTGGGTGCAGATGGGCTGAGGCCAAAAAAGGAGTCAGCAAAGGGTGGTGGGATTATCATTAGTTCTTACAGGTTTGGGATAGGCATACAAAGTACCGTCTTAAGGGCGGGGTGGGGGAGAATATTACAAAGTACCTTCTTAAGGGTTGGGGGAGAATATATCAGTTAGGGTGGGGGCAGGAACAAATCACAATGATGGAATGTCATCAGTTAAGGCTATTTTCACTTCTTTTGTGGATCTTCAGTTGCTTCAGGCCATCTGGATGTATACATGCAGGTCACAGGGGATATGATGGCTTAGCTTGGGCTCAGAGGCCTGACAAAGATCTCCCATTTGTTTGGTCCACAGGCTGAGATTACCTCTGCGGTTGCAGAGAAGAAGGGTTGTAGTAGCTGGCTCACAAGGGTGCTGTGGGGTCTGCCTTTGATGATTGTGTTACCAGAGATTTCGACACTCATGGATTCTTTCTGGGCCATGGAAAGATTAAATATCCTTGAGGACATTAATCTATATGGCAGGCAGTAGGTTAGGGTTTAAAGTTTGTCTGCATATGATGGGTCAAATACAAGGTGTATGAATGGGTTTGGCTTCTGCTGACTACCTGGGAACAGTTTTCAAAGTCTCTATGTGGGTCCCTGAGTGTGTACAGCTGGCCATGGATTGTGGCTGTGAGGGTTAGAACTGAGTCACAGGGCTGCTTCAGGGAGCACAGCTGAGGCCAGGATACACAGGCCTGCCTCCAGGATTATGGCTGGCTGTTTCCCTGCAGATCTCTTGATGGGAAGGACCACTTGTGGACTGTAGCTGATAGGAGTTTGAGAAAGGTTGCAGAACTGCTTCATAATCTTCAGTAAGGCCAAACTCTGCACTGTTTCCTTGTCTGTAGCCAAGTCTATGTGCCTTTGAGTTGGCCACCTGGGTGAGGACCTCCTTTTTCTAAATAACCCTCCTTGATCTCTGGCTCCACTGAGGTTTCACAGCTCTTACCATAGGCAAACATCTTTCTACTTCTATTTCCTAGTTTACTACTTAAAATATTGTATAAAAGTGGAATCATGGGCCAGGCATGGTGGCTCACTCCTGTAATTCCTAGCACTTTGGGAGGCCGAGGCGGGCGGATCATGAGGTCAGGAGATTGAGACCATCCTGGCTGGTGAAACCTCGTCTCTACTAAAAATACAGAAACAAAATTAGCTGGGCGTGGTGGCGGGCACCTGTAGTACCAGCTGCTCAGGAGGCTGAGGCAGGAGAATGGTGTGAACCCAGGAGGCAGAGCTTGCAGTGAGTTGAGATTACACCACTGCACTCTAGCCTGCTGGCCTGTACCTATAATCCCAGCTACTTGGGAGGCTGAGGCATGAGAATCACATGAACCCAGGAGGCAGAGGTTGCAGTGAACTGAGATCGCACCACTGCACTCCAGCCTGGGTGACAGAGCAAGACTGTCTCAAAAAAAAAAAAAATTGCTGAGACCAAGGTCATAATCTTACTGTATCTTCTTTTAGAGATTATATAGGTATAATTCTGACATTTAAATATTTAACTCATTCAAGACAGTTTTTTTTATATGGTTCAGAGGAAGGACCCAATCTCAGTTTTTCCCATGTGGATACAGAGTTTTCCAATACCATTTATTGAAGAGACTGTGTTTTTCTTGTTGTGCGGTCATAGCAACCTTGTTGAAGATCATTTGAGCATATATACAAACATGGTTTGGTTTTAAGTTCTGGGTTCTGTTCCATCACTAGTTGTCTTCTTTCAAGTACCACAGTGTTTTTATTTATGTAGCTTTGTAATCTGTTCTAAACAAAGGAAGCGTTGTGCCTCTTTGTTCTTGTTTCCTAAGAATGTTCGGGCTATCAGTGGTCCTTTGATATTCCATGTAAATGTAAGAATTTTAAAAAAGATTTCTTTAAAAAGTATCATTTGGCACTGGGCGCAGTGACTCTCGCCTGTAATCCCAGCAGTTTGGGAGGCCGAGGCAGGTGGATCACAAGGTGAGGAGTTCAAGACCAGCCTGGCCAAATGGTGAAACCCTGTCTCTACTAAAAATACAAAATTAGCCGAGTGTGGTGGTGGGCGCCTGTAATCCCAGCTACTTTGGAGGCTGAGGCACAGGGAATTTCTTGAACCCAGGAGGTGGAGGTTGCAGTGAGCTGAGATTGCGCCACTGCCCTTTAGCCTGGGCGACAGAGCAAGACTTCATCTTAAAAAAAAAAAAAGTATCAAGTATCATTTGGATTTTTACCAGGATTACAATGAATTTGAATATCACTGTGGGTAGTATTGTTATTTAAAAATATTAAATCTTCTGACACAATGAATAGTATGTTGAAGAGTCTGTTAAGTCTCACAAATTTTTGGATGTGGCAATTTTGCTTCTGCTGTTGCTGTCTAGTTTTATTTCATGTGGTATGAAAGGATGCATTGTGTAATTCAATATTTAATGTGTACCAGGCTTAATACCTTGATGACAAAATAATCTGTACAAAAAACCCTCATTGACACAAGTTTACCTATATAACAATCCTGCACATATACCCAGATCTTAAAATAAAGTTTTAAAAAATAAGAGTTATCGGGCGCTTGTAGTCCCAGCTACTAGGGAGGCTGAGGCAGGAGAATGGCGTGAACCTGGGAGGTGAAGCTTGTAGTGAGCCGAGATCGGCCACTGCACTCCAGCTTGGGCGACAGAGCTATTTTGTGTTCTAACAGGTTATTTTGTGTTCTAACAGGTTGTCTGTGAAACAACAACTACTCATTTTCTTCTCCACTTAGCCCCTGACACAGTTTAGTTTACTTTCTGTTTCTAGGAGTTTAATTACTTTAGGTATCTTGCATAAGTGGAATTATATGGTATTTGTCTTTTTGTGCCTGGCTTCTTGCACATAAACAAAGTCTTTAAAATGTATCCTTATTGGGGATATAACAAAATTTTCTGCTCTTAAGAAGTTAATAATATTTAGTTATTTATACATTCCAAATTATCTTTATTCATTTATTAATAAAACTTGGTTCTTTCCACATACTTGCTTTTGTAGATGATGCTACAATGAATATGGATGTGTAAATTACTCTTCATTTGATAATATATGCAAGGGATTATTTATGTGCTCTATTCTGTTTCACTGGTATTGTCTTTTTTTGATCCAGTTATAAAGTATTTGAATTACTATAACTTTATAATAGGTTTTTAAAATCAGGATGTATGATGCTTCTGATGTTGTTCCTCTTTTGACAATTTTTGAGCACTTCTGGCTTCCTTAGTTCTCATATAACTTTAGGATTGCTTCTTATAGTAATGCAAAAATGCATAGCTGCTGTCATCCAAAGTATACCACCTTTTTCTTCAGCACTCTGTGTCAGGGGAACCCATCTTTGACAGCCCCCTAAAAACCAAAAATGTGGACACATATTCTACATTTCTCTTTCTCTCCTGAGGAAGAAGCATAGAGTTGGGAGTTTCTCCTTGTTTTCACCATACTGTATTGGGAGGAGGTAAGGATGTACTGAGCATGTGTAATAACATTTTTCTTCTCTTCTACATGTTTTTGGCATTTTGCTAAAGTGAAGTAGTACATATTCTTAACTATGTTTTGGAATTCCCACAAAGGCGATGTAATCAATATGGTGCTAAGATCATTTATCTATGAAGAAATGAGGATCAGTGGTTTTTGTTCTTGCAGTTTAAATTGATATCTTTATTACTTTAATTTTTAATTTTTGTGAATGCACAGTAGCTATATATCTATGGGTTACATGAGATTTTTTTTTTTTTTTTGAGATGGACTCCTGCTCTGTCGTCCAGGCTGGAGTGCAGTGGCGCCATCTCGGCTCACTGCTAGCTCCGCCTCCCAGGTTCACCCCATTCTCCTACCTCAGCCTCTCTGAGTAGCTGGTACTACAGGCGCCCGCCACCACACCTGGCTAATTTTTTTGTATTTTTAGTAGAGACGGGGTTTCACTGTGGTCTTGATCGCCCGACCTTGTGATCCACCCGCCTCGGCCTCCCAAAGTGCTGGGATTACAAACGTGAGCCACTGTGCCCGGCCAACATGAGATTTCTAATGTAGGCAAGAAATGTATAAAAATCACATCAAGGTATAGGTATTCACTATCTCAAGTATTTGTCCTTTGTTTTACAAACAATCTGATTTCATTCTTTTAGTTATTTAAAAATGTATAGTTAATTTGCTTTTGACTATAGTCACTCTGTTATATGAGCAACTACTAAATCTTACTCTAATTTTTTTGAAACCATTAACTTTCCTCACTTCCTCCCAGACCTGTAGTATACTCTCCAGCCTCTGGTAACAATCCTCCTTCTAGTTTCATGAAATTAATTTAATTTTTAGCTCCAGCAAATGTGTGAGAACATGCAAAGTTTACTTTATATGCCTGGATTATATCTGTAAACATAACGACCTCGGCCGGGAGCGGTGGCTCACGCCTATAATCCCAGCACTTTGGGAGGCCGGGGCGGGCGGATCACGAGGTCAGGAGATCCAGACCATCCTGGCTAACATGGTGAAGCCCCGTCTCTACTAAAAATACAAAAAATTAGCCCGGCGTGGTGGTGGGCACCTGTAGTCCCAGCTACTTGGGAGGCTGAGGCGGGAGAATGGCGTGAGCGGAGATCGCGCCACTGCACTCCAGCCTGGGCAACAGAGTGAGACTCTGTCTCAAAAAAAAAAAAAAAAAAAAGCATAATGACCTCTAGTTCCATACTTGTTGTTGCAAATGACAGGATCTTATTCTTTTTTATGATTGAAAAATATTCCATTGTGTATATGTACCACATTTGCTTTATCCATTCATCTGTTGATAGACACTTAGGTTGCTTCTAAATCTTGGATAATGTGAACACTGATGCAATAAAAATGGTGGTATAAATATCTCTTTGATGTCCTGATTTCTTTTATGTACCTACTTAGGAGTGGGATTGCTGGATAATATAGTAGCTCTATTTTTCATTTTTTGAGGAACCTCTAAACTGTTCTCCATAGTGGTTGTACTAATTTACATTCCCACCAAGAGAGCACTAGAGTTCACTTTTCCCAACATCCTCATCAGCATTTGTTATTGCCTGACTTGGATTAGAGCCATTGTAATTGGAGTAAGATAATATCTCATTGTCATTTTGATTGCATTTCTCTGATAATAAATGATCTTGAGCACCTTGTCATGTGTCTTTTTGTCATTTGTATGCCCTCTTTTCAGAAATGTCTATTCAAATTTTTGCCCATTTATAATCAGATTATTCAATTTTATCCTATAGAGCTGTTTGTGCGCACTATGTATTCTCGTTTTTTTTTTTTTTTCTGATGGGCAGTTTACACATTTTTTCTCATTTTATGTGTTGTCTTTTTGTTAATTGTTTCATTTGCTCTTTAGAAGCACTTTAACTTGATGGGATTCCATTAGTTCATTTTTGCTTTGGTTGCCTGTGCTTGTGGGGTATTACTAAAGACATCTTTGCCCAGTTTAATTTCCTGTAGAGTTTCAGCAATGTTTTCTTGTAGGAGTTTCGTAGTTTGAGATCTTAGATTTGTCTCTAATCCATTTTGATTTAATTTTTTTATATGACAAGAGATGTTGTCTAGTTTCATTCTTCTGAATATGGATATTCAGTTTTTTTAGCACAATTTATTGAAGACTCCTTTCCCCAGTATATATTCTTGACACCTTTGTCAAAAATAAGTTGGTTGTAGATATGTGGATATGTCTCTGCATTCTCTCTACTGTTTCACTGATCAGTTTCATGCTGTTTTAATTACTGTAGCTCTGTAGTATCATTTAAAGTCAAATACTATGATTCCTCCAGTTTATTTTTCTTACAATGGCTTTCGCTATTCTGATTCTTTTGTGGTTCTGTCTACATTGTAGGATTGTTTTTTCTATTTCTGGGAAGAATGTCATTGATGTTTTTCTAGAGGTTGTGTTAAGTCTGTAGATTGCTTTGGGTAGTATGGACATTTAAAAAATGTTGATTCATCCTATCCATAAACATAAAATATTATTCAGTTTTTTGTCTTCTTAAATTTCTTGCATCAGTGTTTTATAGTACTCATTGTAGAGATTTTTCATTTCTTTAATTTCTAGGTATTTAATTTGAATTTGTTGCTATTGTAAATGGGATTAGTTGATTTCTTTTTCACATTGTTCACTGTTAGCATGTAGAAACACTACTAATTTTTAAATCTTAAATCTTCACTAAATTCATCAATTCTAATCATGTTTTAGTGAATTTGGTTTTTCCAAATATAAGACCACATCATCTGCAAACAAAGATAATTTGGCTTCTTCCTTTCCAGTTTGGATGGCCTTTATTGTTTTCTCTTGTCTCATTGCTCTAGCTAGCACTTCTAGTACTATGTTGAATAATAGTGGTAAAAGTGTGCATCCTTTGTGCCTCTTCTTTTTTCTTCTTCAGATACAGACACTTTATCAGAACGATTTGGGGTTTAGGTTCCCAACTCTAGAAGGTAATTTGTCCTCAGCCATCCTGTTGTCTTGTCCTGGTCCTAGGCTTCAGAACTGTCTGGGGAAGATCCCAGATGCCCACGGTAGCCATGTGTCTTCGAGTGCTTAGGGCATAACAGTTACTGAATCATCTCCTCATAGTGGACGGCCTCAGGTGTGGGGTGGACCCTCTCGGAAGCAGCTGGGTGACCTGGTGCTCAGAGCACTCTTGTGGTTTACGCTTCATTCAAAAAGCCACATCCTTGTGGCATTAAGATTTTCTTTCTCCCAGTCCAGTTTCCATTTTTTGGAATCACATTGCTGCTCAGCCAATGGAATGCTGATACTGAGGGGAAAGGCAGAAATAATTTCTACCATCTGGATTTTTTCAGAATTGTGAAGGGAGAAGAATATAGTATCCCCAGAGACAAAGTCCATTCTAGCAAGATGGTGCATGGACCTGCACCCACACACACAAACACACACACACACACACACACACACAAAACACCACTCCAGGCACACATGGGGATGCAGTGCAGAGGCTCTTGGGAGGGTGGTCATTGAGTACTTCAGTGAGAAGGATAAAGGTGTGAGGATGTACATCACACGACAGACAGCCCAACTTGACACTTGAGTCAGACATATCATTATTCCAGCCAGTACTGCCACTCCTTGGGTTTGTCATCTTGAAAAAAATGTTTATTTATTTCAACTTCCATTTTATTAACTGTACAATGCATTTTATTGGTAGAGTTTGAAAGATAGGAGAATATTCTCAAAGAGGCATAAATATGTAAACTTAAAAAATGTCTAATGGTATATTTGTTAAAAATTCTTTCGTTTTCCCTTGACACGTGTAATAAGTTTTTCAGATCTGTATATTTTGGGAGTGGTTTCAAACAGAACCTCAGGGCCTAGTTATGGGAATATTACTGGGTTAAAAAAAGTAGGAAACATTTCTCTTCCTCTATGGCTGCAGAGAACTGAATGCATTTTTAGAAGAAATTTTGGTAGATAAATTGGTGATTTAGAGATGTGCCAAAATATCAGTTTCTCTTTTCTGCGTGGTGGGGAATTTGTAGTAATGAATAAGTCTGCTCTGTATGCTGTTATCTGGATGTCTGAATTTAATGTTAAATTTTATGGAATAGGACTTGACATTCCTGGTTAATGTTCATGTATGATTTCCTATTTGTTGTTATGGAAATAATACCTAAATGATTATTGTCTGAAATTGATATATATTTTGGTTTTTCTTGTTGAAGTATAAAATGTAAGTGCCTTACAATCTCCTTTCCTCCTATAAACATAAGCAATGAGTTTGAGGAATTTTGCTGGTTTCTTTAAACACCGAGTTCTTTTATATAAAACTAAGTGAATAATCTTGACTGGGAATCAGAGACCTAAGACTGTTGACTGCAAGGTAAGGCCAATCTTGACCCTGCCAAAGGAGGTCATCAGTAGCCCGGTAGTTTCTTCCTGGGAACATTTTCTGCAGGTGTCCCAGCCTGGCTCAAATTAGACATGAAAGGAGCCTTTATACTGAGAAGCTACAGAGCCCTGGAAAGCTGAGGATCCACAGGCAGATGCAGTGAGAGTTGGGATGGGAGGAGGGTTGTGATGTCCTCTGAGAGGGTGTAATTGTTATTGTCATCGGGCTGTTTCTAGATATCATCAAATAAAATAAATTCTGATGTAGGTAAGAAGTGACTTTATTTTAAGGAGTATTGCAATGGAAAAAGCACTAAGCACAAGATCTGCAAGCACCTCCAAAATGAGACAGATAAGGGTGATTTTTCATATGGAGGATCAAACGATTAGAAGGAAGATGGGAGGGAGAAGGCAGAATGGAGAATGAGAATGGCAAAATCAGATTCAAGATTAGAGAATGTTTCACCCTGAAGTCAGCCTGTTCTTGGGAGGGGCATCAAGAGGGTTGTATGCTGGCTTAGACTGAAGGTGGAGCATAGTCCAGGGGCCTGGGAGAAGGAGAGAAACTTGAGCAGTTTGGTTAACAAGTATTCTGAACACTGAAGACAAAATTATTAATTATTTATGAGGGAAAAATGAGAATGTAGAATCTGTGAATTTGTGATACCTAAAGAGGGAGTATCATAAAAGTCATAATGAAAAGGGTATTTCTTTGCAGTAAGCTTTTCTTGCAGAACACAAAGGATTTGAGAGATGTTAGTCGTAACTACCATGATTCACTGCCCACATCATGTTTTCCCTGCTTTTCTTTGTCCTATGTGTTTTTTCCTCTTAGCATTTACTGAGTTGTATCCAATATAATAATCTAGTAAACATAGGTAAAGTGTTTTTGCCAAGTTCTGTGAGTAGTTTTATCAAATCCTTTAACTTGAGGGAGGGAGTTATGGAAGCCTATAATTTATAGACAGTTCCTCAGAAGTATAGATGGGTCCCTGGGGCTTGTGACTGGCATGTGGAATGGAAGCAGTGTTGTGGGACTCAGCCTTGAGTCAGTGGGGTCTATGCTGACCTGGGTGTTTTCAGAATTGAGTTGTTGGACACCCAGTTTGTGTTGGAGAATGGTTGATGTTCAGCAAACTCCATATATTTGGTGTTAGAATAAAGATATTAGGGCCAGGCACGGTGGCTCACGCTTGTAATCCCAGTACTTTGGGAGGCCAAGGCAGGCGAGACCATCCTGGCTAACACGATGAAACCCCGTCTCTACTAAAAATACAAAAAATTAGCCAGGCGTGGTTGTGGTGGGCGCCTGTAGTCCCAGCTACTCGGGAGGCTGAGGCAGGAGAATGGCATGAAGCCGGGAGGCGGAGCTTGCAGTGAGCCAAGATCGCGCCACTGCACTCCAGCCTGGGCGACAGAGCGAGACTGACTCAGAAAAAAAAAAAAACATTAGGCTGGGTATGGTGGCTCACGCCTGTAAACCTAGCACTTTGGGAGGACGAGGAGGGCAGATTGCTTGAGCTCAGGAGTTAAACACCAGCCTGGGCAACATGGTGAAATCCTATCTCTGCCAAAAATCCAAAAAAACTAGCTGGGGACAGTGGCACACACCTGTATTCCTGGCTACCTGGAGGGGGTGCTGAGGCAGGAGGATCGCTTGCACCCTGGGTGGCCAATGCTGCCATGAGCCAAGATCACACCACTGCACTCCAACCTATGTGACAAAATGAGACCCTTTCTCAGAAAAGTAAAATTAAGATATCATAGCAGCCTTGGTTGGAGGGAGACACTGGGTCTGTTGTAGAATGGAGAGGTTTTTTTTCCTTCCTTTTTTTTTTTTTTTTTTTTTTTTTTTGCAGACAAGCTGTCACACTGTGAATTGTCCTGTGATTCTAGGTCTCCTCCAAGGGTCAAAGGAGACTGAGGACTGCTTCTAGAGTTTTCCACTAACAGGCCACGTAAGTGTCCCGAAGATTCATGGCTTCTTTCTACCTCCCAGATCTTGAATCTGCACCAGTAACCTCTTTCCTGCAGTAGCCTAGATTTCTGGATCACCTGACCATCTTATCTCCCTGCACGCACACATTTATAAGTCAGAGCTGTCCTGCCTGGGCCAGTATCTGTAGCACTAACCAGTTCTTTCACCAATTGTGCACCAAAGCTCACCCATGGATTCTTGATAGCACCTTTTCTATTCTGCATTTTTCCCCCACAAACCCTCTTTCCTGTGAAGACAGTATGCCCAAGGTCTCCCTGCAGGTGCCTAAATCCAGGCCATGCTGGAAATCAGATGTCCATGAGTTCGAAGCAGAGTTTTTGGATGTGGTTATTGTAAATATAAGTGCAAAACAGAAATGAGAGACTTAGTCCTCCAACTGGAAAATAAAGGAAGAGTATTTTCTCTCCTCCCTTTTCTAAAAACCTTTCATTAGAATTTTTTTTTTTTTTGAGATGGAGTCTCACTCTGTCACCCAGGCTGGAGTGCAATGACGCAGTCTCAGCTCACTGCAACCTCTCAGCCTCCTGGGTTCAAGCGATTATCCTGCCTCAGCCTCCCAAGTAGCTAGGACTACAGGCCCATGTCACCACACCCGGCTAATTTTTTTGTATTTTTATTAGAGACGGGGTTTCACTGTGTTGGCCAGGCTTGTCTCAACTCCTGACCTCGTGATCCCCCCGCCTCGGCCTCCCAAAGTGCTGGGATTACAGGCATAAGCCACTGCACCCAGCCTTAATTTAGAAAATTTTTATATGTAAATTCTTTCTCTGCCTTTTTTCTTTTTTGTTGTATTTTAAGTATCTAATTCATTTCTATTAGAGGTCTAATTTTTATTTTATTATACTAACATTGGGATTAGTTATTTTTCAAGTGCTTTGAGGATTAAAGTTTCATTGTTTGAGATCTTTTTTCTTAGTATAAAAATATATTGCTATAAAATTCTTAGAACATCTTTTGTTACATTTCAGTTTTGATATGTCCTGTTTCTATTTTCAGTTTTCTCAAGATAGTTTGTGATTTTTTTTCGTCTTTGACCCATTGGTTTTTCAGAAGCGTGTTGTTTAATATACACATATTTGTAAGTTTTTTACTTTTCCTTATATTGATTTCTAGTTTTATAAAATTGTGATTTAAAACTTTGATATGATTTCAGTCTTTTTAAAAATGAAAAGACTTGTTTGTTTTTGTTGTGGGCCAGATTTATGATGTGTCCTGGAGAATGTTCCATGTATGTTTGAAAAGAATATAAATTATACTGTTGGATGAAATGTTCTACATATGTCTGTTAGGTACAGTTTTATAGTGTTAAGCAAGTACATTGTTTTTTCACTAGCTTTCTGTCTGAATGATGTATTAAGTAGGGCAGTATATTCCCCTATTATATCTGTTTCTCCACTTTTCTTAATATGTGTTAATATATTTATGGGCTCCAGTGTTTGGTACATATATATATTTAATTATTTTTTGACAAATTAGACTCATCATTATATAATAAAGTTCTTTTTTTATGACAAATTTTTTTTCTATAAGTCTATGTAGTCTGATATAAATATAGCCACTTCTACACTGTTTTAGTTATTATTGGCATGGAATATTCTTTTTCATCCTTGTACCATTAAGCTATGTATGTCCTTAAATCTAAAATAAGTCTTTTGTGCACAGCATATTGTTGATTTTTTAAATCTATTCAGACATTCTGTGAATGTTTTCATTTATTTTTTGCTTCAATAACAGAATATCCCAGAGTTGGTAATTTATAAAGAATAGAAGTTTACTTAGCTCAGAATCCTGGATGCCAAGAAGTCCAAGAGCATATCATTCCCATCTGATGAGAATCATACTTCCACATCACAACATGACCAAAGGCTTGAGGATGATGGAAGGTGTACACCAGAGCTCACTTTTATAATAGACCCACTCTCATGATGACTAACCCACTGTGGAAATGATGATACTAATCCTTTCATGAGAGTAGAACTCTCATGATCTAATAACTTATTAAGGGCCTCATTTCTTAATTTTCTCACAATGGTAGTTAAATTTTAACGTGAATTTTGGAGGGGATGCTCACACTATAGCAATGTTTTTATTGAATAACTAAATATATATTTAAAGGAATTACTGATTGATAAGAACTTATTACTTCTATTTGCTTTTCTTTTCTTTTCTATTTTTTTTGACAGAATCTCACTTAGTCGCCCAGGCTGGAGTGCAGTGGCACGATCTTGGCTCATTGCAACCTCTGCCTCCTGAGTTCATGCAATTCGCCTGCGTCAGCCTCCCAAGTAGCTGGGACTACAGGCACCCGCCACCACGCCCAGATAATTTTTGGTATTTTTAGTAGATACGGGGTTTCACCGTGTTAGCCACGATGGTTTTGATCTCCTGACCTCGTGATCTGCCCACCTCAGCCTCCCAAGGTGCTGGGATTACAGGCGTGAGCCACCACACCCAGCCCTATTACTGCTGTTTTCTGTTTTCTGACCATTTCGTTTCTGTTAATTCTTTCATGCTGTCTTCCCTGGTGTTTTCTTGAATTTTTGTTTTGTTTTTGTTGTTTTATGCCTTCTTTTTTTGTATTTACCCACTACAATTTTTTTTTGTAATTTCCAAGAAACTTATGTAAAACATCTCATAGTTATAAAATCAAGCTTCAGATAGCAATTTAACTGTTTGTTTTGTACAGATAGGGTCTTGCGTTGTTACCCAGGCCAGACAGGGTCTTGCTTTGTTACCCAGGTTGTAGTGCAGTGGTGCATTCATAGCTCAGTACAGACTCAACTTCCCCAGGCTCAAGCAATCCTCCTATCTCAGCCTCCCAAGTAGCTGGGACTACAAGTACATGCTGCCATGTCTGGCTAATTTTTTTACTATTTTTTATGGAGACAGGGTTTTGCCATGTTGCTCAGGCTGGTCTTGAACTCCTGGGCCCAAGCAATCCACCTGTCTTGGCCTCCCAAAATGCTAGGATTACAGGCATGAGCCATCAGGCCCAGCTGCTTTTTTTAAAAGAATAAATAGCTTTCTGAGATCTTTAATTTTAATTATGTACTTATTGAAGAGACAGGGTCCTGCTATATCGACCAGACTGGTTTTGAACTCCTGGCCTCAAGCAAAAGTTAGCTTCTATGTATAGAAAAATTAAACAATCTTACTCCCTTCAACATAGTATTTATGTCACACCCTACTTTTTTTTTTTTTTGAGATGGAGTCTTGCTCTGTCACCCAGGCTGGAGTGCAGTGGCGAAATCTCGGCTCACTGCTAGCTCTGCTCCCAGGTTCATGGCATTCTCCTGCCTCAGCCTTCCTACTAGCTGGGACTACAGGCGCCTGCCACTGTAACCAGCTAATTTTTTGTATTTTTAGTAGAGACGGGGGTCACTGTGTTAGCCAGGATGGTCTCGATCTCCTGACCTCATGATCCACCCACCTCGGCCTCCCAAAGTGCTCAGATTACAGGCGTGAGCCACTGCGCCCAGCCTCACACGCTACATCTTTTTATATCGTATACCCATTAACAATTTATTGAAGCTATTTTTAGTAATTTTTTCTTATAGTTTTTATACCATAGTTAAAAGTGATTTTTGACCATAATTACAGGTTTATAGCCTTCTAAATTTGACTATGTATATATGACTTTCAGTAATATTTACTTTATTGTTGTAAGTTAGGATTCCATTACAACTCGAAAAATTCTCATTAGCATTTTTTGTAAGTCAGGTCTAGTGATGAAAAATTTCCTCAACTTTTTTTAAATCTGAGATTTTGATTGATACATCATTTCTAAAGAACAGCTTTGTCAGGTGTATTCTTAGTTGTCAAGGTTTTTTCTTTTTCTCTCTTCATTTGCACTTTAAATATACGGTTTCACTTCCATGTGGCTTGCATGGTTTTTGCTGGGCAATCTGCTGATAACCTTATAGAAGTTCCCTTGTATGTGAAGAATCTCTTTTCTCTTCCTTCTTTTAAGGATCTCTCCTTGTCTTTGAATTTTGGCATAATTACAACGTGTTATGGACAATTTTTGTTAGATTCTTCTTGCTACAGACATTTTGAGCTTTTCAATTTAATGTCTATATTTCTTCCAAGATTGGTAGAAATTTAAGACATTATATCTTTAAACAATTTTTAAAATTTTCTCTCTCATGAACCCCCTAAAATACGTACATTCTTACTGTTTACTATGCAGTATGGGACCCAAATGCTTTATTCACTCTTACATTCTTTTTTAAAATTCTAATCAGAAACTTTCAAATGACTTACTTTTACATCTGCTGTTTTTTTTTTTCCTGTGTAACGAGGTCTCCTGTTAAAGCTTTCTCTTAAATATTTTAGATCTCCTATTGTGTACTTCAGCTCCAGCATATCTATTTGGTTCTCTTTTAATGGGTTCTCTTTATTATAATTGTGATTTTGTTCATACGTTGTTGCAAAAGAATTTAGTAATGTGTGGTCTTTTTGCATCCATTGAGATTCTTTAAGAAAATTATTTTGAATTCTTGGCCATTTTTTAGATCTGTGTCTTACTGTAAGTGGTTACTGGAGCATTTTTAGTTTCCTTTGGTGATGTTATGTTTGCCTGATCCTTCATGATCTGTGATACCTTCTTTTTATGTCCTTGCATCTGAAGGAGTAAATACGTCTTTCAGTCATTATAGATTAGTTTGTGGAGGTAAATATTTTCTCCTATTGGATCTCTGTGCTGATGAGATTGCAGTAAGGTGCACTGGATCTGGATCACAGTGAAGTTCATTCTTGGCAGACCTGTTATTAGGGCATCAGACCATTGTGGATTCTATTTTCTGGGAAGACTGAACTTTCTTCAGGATCTTGATCAGTAAGACTGGTGCTGAGGAAAAAAAGTCTCTGGTTATACAGGCAGATGACAGAGCTGATAAAATCCATGTGAGCAGGTATGGCTTCTGCTGTGTGGCTCTTGCTGGGTTTTTGGAAATCCTCTAACCCAGTCATTGGACAGGTTCCTAGATGAGAAGTACTGACCCTTGGTCACAGCTGAGAGGGTGTGGAACTGATTCATAGGGCTGCTTCAGGATACACAGCTGAGACCAAAGTCTTCAGGTTTGTTTCTGGCTTCATGGCATTTCTCCCTCCAGATTCCTGGGTGGGCAGGACTGCTCCCAGACTTTAGTTGACAGGGACTGGAGGTAGGTTTTGGGACTGGAGCTGGGTTTTAGGACTGCTTCAAGATTCACAGTGGGAATAAAGTCAGCCAGCATGCCTACAGGGGCACATATAGTGTGTTTTTTGGCAGGTCCCAGGTTAGGAAAAACTGCTTCTGGACTTCAGTTTCATGGACTGGGAGCCAGATTATAGTGCCACGTCAAGATCCACCATTAAATAAATATTGGCAAGCCTACATCCAGGGGCACAGATGGACGTTTCTGTCTGTGGGTTCCTGCATGTGCAGGATTTCTTCCACATCATGATAGATGTGTGCAAGGGGCTAATTCGGAGATCACTGAGAGGAGCAACATCTAAAGTCCTTTCACCTGAGACACAGGACATTATGAATCCTCCTTGGTGTCTTGGCAGATGGTGCTAGTGGCATAAACAAAACCAAATGGCCTACAGCTATACTTACAATGAGAATTAATCATATTTTATTTTGTAGCTGGGACTATGATGGGCAAGCATGCCACTCAAGCAAGCTCATGCCTTCTCAATACAGCCCTCCTCAGTCTTAGGTTTACACCCTTTGACATGGATTCCAAAGTTCCCATAAAGGTTCTTTTGCCAGGGCATAACTGCTCCTTTTTTTTTTGAGAGGGAGTCTCACTCTTATCACCCAGGCTGGAGTGCAGTGGCACCATCTCAGCTCACTGCAACCCCCGCCTCCCAGGCTCAAGCAATTCCCCTGCCTCAGCCTCTCGAGTAGCTGGGATTACAGATGCCGCCACCACGCCCAGCTAATTTTTATATTTTTAGTAGGGATGGAGCTTCACCATGTTGGCCAAGCTAGTCTCGAACTCCTGACCTCAGGTGATCCACCTGCCTTGGCCTCCGAAAGTGCTGGGATTACAGGTGTGAGCCACTGTGCCCAGCTTGCCACTTTTTTTTTTAAGTCTGTCAAAGTTTTATTTATAAGAAATAAATTTACATATAACCCAAACACAACAACTCTGGTATTACATTAATACAGCTATAACATTAGTGCAGCAATTTTATAACACAAAAGTGTTATAAGGACATGGGAAATGTTCGTGAACTGTGAGGTGAAAAGATACAGAAAATGACTATGCCTACTGATACTACCTTTGAAAAAGGACCCATAAAAAATACATTGAATATTAGTTGGCTAAAGAAAATATTAACTGTGGTACTTTCTTACAGATTATGGTTATCTTCTTCCATATAATTTCAATATGTACTAAAATTCACACCTATTTTGTAATCAGAATGTCATTATAATTAAATGTTATGTTGTGCCATTTCATCAGATCTTCTTATAGTCAATGTCACATTAAATTAGAATCTGAGTAACTAATGTTTAAAAATAGCTGATATATTTGAAATTTAGGCAAAAAACTCATTTTTATTTGTAAAATGTGCTCAGTGTTAACTTTATTGATAATAACCAAAAACAAACCTAATATTTTATGATTTTAAAATTATTTTTAAGCACAAAATAGACCCATGTTGGGGATGAATAACATGTCTGAGTTTGTTAATTTTGTCTGCTACTTTTCCCTATATTTCCTTGTTTCCTTCATCCTAAAATTTTTAAAAATGAAAACTTTAATCATTGTTGCATGTTTAAACTATTGAATATTTTCTTTTGTTAACTGAAGTAAAAGGAAACATTCTTGTAGAATTATGGAAACTAATAATGCAGTAGGACTTAAAATTGAATGTTAGGAGGTTCTTCGTTTTAAGAATCTTCCCGTGGGAGAAGTTTCCATCGAACTGTTATATCAATTTTATCATCAACATTTCCCAGCGCCTGCTCTTTACAGAGTTCTAAGAACACCTGCTCCAAGGTAGCCTGAGAGAGGCTGTATTCCTCCAGGTTGAAGGTCTGTTTCACTGCCTTTAATTTGAAAAAGGCCTGAGACAGAGGGTGGACATCCTCCACAGGTAACTTACATGCCATTAAAGAGGAATATCTTTCCTGCCAAGCAGCCTGTGGGAAAAGCTTCAAAATCTCTGTGTGGAGAGCTTCCACCTGAGTAGGTTCTTTCATTTTTATTTCTAGTAAATAATCTTTACCAAACTTTTCAGCTGTTGAATGGAACCAATACACCTTAGCGTTCCTGACACCATGATGGCCACACGGTCACACAGAGACTTAGCCTCTGACATGTAATGGGTGGTCAAGAGGGCGCCCCTCTCCTGGTTTTTAATGGTAGCCTGAAGTATCTGCCACATTTGCTGCTGCCCCTCAGGGTCCATCCCGGTGAACAGCTCGTCTAGAAGCACCACTGATGGGTTCCCCAGTATGCTCAGCACGAAGCATAGCTTTCTCTTTATTCCCTCTGATAGAGTTTTCACGGGAGCCTTAAGTTGCTCCTGGAGCTTGAGAGCTTCCACCAATCATGAAATACTAAGAGCAGCATCTTTGCCCAGTCCTTTCACGGCTGCATACAACTCCAAATGCTCTTTCATTGTAAGTTTGGGACACAGTGAGTTCTCCTGAGGGCAGTACCCAAGAACTTGAGGCTGTTGTCACGCTGTTGCCTTACTGATGCTCTGTTGCCTTGTAACACCACCACTCCTGCAGTTGGCACTGTGCACCCAGTTATCATTTTAATGGAAGTACTTTTGCCAGCTCCATTGTGTCCTAGTAATCCCAAAACTTCACTTTTTAACACAAAACGAAACATTTCTGATGGCTGCTTTCTTCTTTGTTGTTGAAAAGCAACTTTCTTTGTCTCATAATATTCCTTGTGTAAACAGCTTGCAGTTATGACTGGTTCCTCCTCCAAGTTTGGAGTAGTGAGTGCATTTGCTGCTTGGACTCTTTCAGCTTGAACATCTTCTTCAGGCTCTTCTGGATTGGTATGAGTTCCTCTACTTCGTGGAGAGATTCTGAAAACTGGGTCTTTATTCATGATTTCATTTCCATACTTCATTTCCAGACACCTTATGACAAAAAGGAAAATAACACTCTGAAGGTATGGTATTAAGTTTGTTAAAAGAATGGTTTTATTGACTTCATTTATTCTATTGTCCAGACTGTCCAAGTTTCTCATATACATAAAGTTGAGCTGGATCAATAACGACATATCCTAGGAAAGTAAAGGAAGGTATGAATATCATGCACAAAATTAAGTTGGGTTTTTCTTACTTAGTTGATACCAGAATTGTGGATACACATATTAAGACAATAAAAAAGCCAAAAGACCAAAAGCCATTATTTTTTCTCCACTTGCAAAAGATGAATGAAAGCACGTACATGAGGAATACAAGAGAAGCTGCACAACCAATTATGCATACCACCAAAACAAACATGAGTTCCCATGGAAGCTGGAATCCCAGAAATGAGAAGTAGTAAATTAAATGTATTGAAAGGAGAATCAAGAAGTGTAATGGAATGTCCACCAGAGCCTGTCCACACCATTATGCTGAAGGCCAGAGGCCTGAAATCCATAACTGAGATTGAACTTTTTTTAATAATCACTGATGCTGCTTATGCCAATATAAGGAGAAATGCAGTTTGTGATCAACAACAAAAATATGGACCCATCTATAAAACCAAGATCCAGCACTATGTCATCACGAAAAAATAAGGTGCTCTCCATTTGAATAAGCTCTGTGAAGTTAAAAATTCCAATAAGGGCATTGCTAACAATTCCCATAAGAACGGAAAACAATTCGATTTCTTGGTATTACATGCAACTGAAAATCTAATCCTTCTGGTCACCAGACACTATGATGGCTCCATTGTAGGAGGGATCATCTGAGCCATTTCTGTTTCTGAGGTCATCTATTTCCAAAACTATATCCTGACGCTTCAGTGAATGCACAAAGTCTTCAATATTTGATCCTGGAGCAAAGATGAATTTAGAAAGCCAAGCGAAATACAGGGGTAGAGAAAAGTGGGAAGAACCCTGTGGGCACCCTCAGCCCCCAGTGAAGCCATATTGTTGCCACATTTTTTTTATAACCGTAGATGTGGGTAGAGAACCTCCTATTCTGCCATCTTGCTATGTCATTCCCCTTGTATATTTTACTTTCTGATATGTTCTATGTCAAATGTTTTTTATTTTGAATTCAAAATGTCTGAAATGCTCAAATTTTCAAATTGTGGAATAAGTAAATGTATTGAAATGCCTCATTCTCATCAGAGCATTTTATTAATTATTGACTTAATTTTCTTTTGCTGCTGTACCTTGAATGCCAAAGATTCAAAATGCCAGCTCTTCATAAGTACATAGTCACAGTTGAAAACTGTAGTTATTTAAAAGATTGTCTTTATGATACATATATATTAGATTCAATATTTTATAGGTCAGAATTTTTTATTCTAGTTTTCAACTCCATTTTAGTGGTTTGTTTTTAATCTTTATATTTTTGTTGGTTTTGTTTTTTTTTTTTAATTTTGAGACAGGGTTTTGCTCTTGTTGCCCAGGCTGGAGAGCAATGGCATGATTTTGGCTCACCACAACCTCTGCCTCCTGGGGAGGCGATTCTCCTGCCTCAGCCTCCCGAGAAGCTGGGATTACAGGCATGCACCACCACGCCCGGCTAATTTTTTGTATTTTTAGTAGAGATGGGGTTTCTCCATATTGGTTATTCTGGGGTCTCGAACTCCTGACCTCAGGTGATCCACCTGCCTTGGCCTCCCAAAGTGCTGGGATTACAGGTATCAGCCACTGCACCTGGCCTAATCTTCATCTTTGTATGGTAATTTTAACCTGTACCTTTTATGACCACGTGGTGTTTAATTCAAATAAATGTCATTGGGTTTCACTTGGAGCAAATTAAAATATATATATATATAAATCAGACATTTCTCTTGGCAAGAAAGTTATCTATGTAGTATTTGCCTGTATAAATATTGCCCTAGGTGTTTATAAATGTTTTATTTACTTGGGTGTTCATCATTGTTTTCTTGTGTGGGTGAGTAGTCAAAGAAACAGTGTAAAATTACCATCTATTTATGTTTGATTATGTTATTCTGTGAGAGAAACACTTCTTATTTGAAGGCGATTTTTACAGACTGTAACCTTTTTAGGTAGATGTAAATATTTAGTTGTGATGAAAAATGTGTAACTGCCATCTTAAATATTTTCAAGTGTACAGTCTAGTGGTATTAAGTACACTTACTTTATTTTGCAATGGATCTCTAATTTTACCTTACAAAAGTAAAATTTAGTACCTTATAAACAATAAAGTGCCCTTTTTTCCTTTTTCTTTAGCTCCTGAAGAATACCATTTTACTTACTGTTTCTATTATTTTCACTGGTTTCCATATTCTTATCAGTGTAATTATATAATGTGTTTCTTTTTGACTATTATATGTAACAATATTCTCAGGCTTTGTTTTTGTAAGATATGTCAGAATATCTTTGTTTTAAAATGAAATAATATTCTATTATATGTATATGTCACATTTTAAAAATTTGATACTGATCCCTAAAGGGACATTTGTATTCTTTCCAGGAATCATCTTTTGTAAATAATGAAGAACATGCATGTGTAAATATCTACTTAAAGTCTTGCTTTTTTTTTTTTTTTGACAGTCTCATTGTCACCCAGGCTGGAGTGCAGTGGCACGACTTCGGCTCACTGCAACCTCTGCCTCCCGGGTTCATGCCATTCTCCTGCCTCAGCCTCCTGAGTAGCTGGGACTACAGGCACCTGCCGCCACGCCCGGCTAATTTTTTTTTTCTTTTTTTGGATTTTTAGTAGAGATGGGGTTTCACAGTGTTAGCCAGGATGCTCTTGATCTCCTGATCTCGTGATCCACCCGCCTTGGCCTCCCAAAGTGCTGGGATTACAGGCGTGAGCCACCATGCCCGCCTAAAGTCCCGCTTTAAATGTTCTTGGAATAGTTTGGATACAGTGTTGTAGTACTATGTGTATGTTCGTATTTTTATTTCCCAAGCCTTTGATGTTATATCCAAAAACTGATTGCTAAGACCAGTTGCATGAAGGCTTCACTGTCTGTTTTTATTAGATTCCACATATGTGTAAGGTCATGTAGTATTTGTCTCAGTGTATCTGGTTTCTTTCTGTAACATGATCCAGCAATTTGAATTTTTTTTTTCTTGCATGGTCACAAATGTTTATTGTCTTACAATCAAAAGAACCATCTTAAATTACAATGTTTATTGTTTAAATATATGTCACTTTGTGATACATTTTTTCTATAACGGCTGTACTAACTTAGTCTTACCAGCTGAATATGTTAACTTTTCTATACCTTCTCATAATTTTTTTGTCTTTCTACTTACAGTCATTCTAACTGCAGTGAAGTCTCATCTTGTTGTGGCTTTGATTTGCATACCTGATAATTAGTGATGCTGAACATCTTTGCATATTCTTTTTGGCCATTTGTATTTCTTCTTTTGAAAATTGTATCTTAGCCGAGTGCGGTGGCTAACGCCTGTAATCCCAGCAGTTTGGGAGGCTGATGCGGGTGGATCACCTGAGGTCAAGAGTTTGAGAGCAGCCTAGCCAACATGGTGAAATCCCGTCTCTACTAAAAATACAAAAATTAGCCAGGCGTGATGGTGCACACCCGTAATTCCAGCTACTCGGGAGGATGAGGCGGAAGAATCGCTTGAGCCTGGGAGGCGGAGGTTGCAGTGAGCTGAGATCAGGCCACTGAACTCCAGCCTGGGTGACAGAGTAAGAACCTGTCTCAAAAAAAAAAGACAGAAAAAGAAAAATGTATCTG
Organism: Homo sapiens; assembly: GCF_000001405.40. NCBI lineage: Eukaryota > Metazoa > Chordata > Mammalia > Primates > Hominidae > Homo > Homo sapiens. The sequence goes on from NC_000004.12 coordinate 430,737, forward strand.
TAAGTCTCTTGCCTATTTTCAAATTATGTGTTATATATGTTGTTATATATTCTGCAAGTTTATCTCATCATATGTATATTTTGCAAATATTTTCTTTCATTCTATAGATTATCTCATTGTTTACTGTGCAAAAGATTCTTAGTTTGTTGCAATCCCATTTGCATATTTTTGTGTGTCTTGAGGTCTTAAAAATTATTTGTTCTGCAATATGTGGTAAAGCATTCCTCTGTGTTTACTTCTAATAGCTTTATAGGTTTGGGTTTCCTTTTTTTTTTTTTTTGAGACGGAGTCTTGCCCTGACACCAAGGCTGGAGTGCAGTGGCGTGATCTTGGCTCACTGCAACCTCCACCTCCCGGGTTCAAGCGATTCTCCTGCCCCAGCCTCCCGAGTAGCTGGGATTACAGGCACACACCTCCATGCCCAGCTAATTTTTGCATTTTTAGTAGAGATGGGGTTTCACCATGTTGGTCAGGCTGGTCTCGAACCTCTGACCTCGTGATCTGCCCGCCTTGGCCTCCCAAAGTGCTGGGATTAAAGGCGTGAGCCACTGTGCCCAGCTTCTATTTAAATTTTTATTTGTGATTGAGTTTTTTATATCATAAGAGGTAGGGGCCTAGGTTCATTTTTTTATTATGTAGATAAATTTTTCTAGCAACACTTATTGAAAAGACTGTCTTTTTCCAACTGTGTGTTCTGGACATTTTTGTTGAAAATCACTTGGCTCTAGGTTCATGAATTTATTGCTAGGCTCACTGGATACTTTCATCTGTTTTTATGTCAGTATCATCCTGTTTTGCTCATTATAGCTTCATAGTATGTTTTGGAACCAGGAAGTGTGATGCTCCTAGCTTTGTTCTTTTTGCTCAGGATTACTTTTGCCGTTCGTGGGTCTTTGGTTGTTCCCTATACATTTTAATCTTTTTTTTTCCGATTTCTGTGAAAAAAGTCATTGGCATTTTGATAGAGATTGCATTGAATCTGTAGATCACCTTGGGTAGTATAGCCACTTTTATATTTTTTCAATTCATGAGCAAAAAATATCTTTCAATTTTTCATGTCTTTTTCAGTTTTTTATCAATGTTATATAATTCTCAGTGTAGAGCGTGGTTACCCTTTTTAATTAAGTTTGCCACTAGACATCTAGACATCTTTATTTTGCTGGTCTATGTAGGAGTATTTGGCAAAATTCAACATGCCTTTGTGCTTTAAGAAACTCAACAAATTAGGTATAGATGGTATGTACCCCAGCACAATAAAGGCCATGTATGACAAATCAATGACTTATATCATACTAAACAGGAAAGAGCAGAGCACTTTTTATCTGAGATCTCAGACAAGGATGTATTCATTTTACGTTATACTTGTGTATGACAATATTCAACTGTGTACACTGTAAGACTGTGGAGCAAGGCCGGGCATGGTGGCTCATTATCCCAGCCTGTAATCCCAGCACTTTGGGAGGCTGAGGCAGGTGGATCATTGCTGGGGCTACGCCAAGATGAGATTATCTAGAGAAACAGGCAGGTTGGCCAAGCAGCTAGGGGCACCACCCTTTCTGGGGAACTCCTTATGGCCCTTATCTCAACTGTACCTAACAACCTGCCCCCCCTGCAATATGCTCAAGAGAAAAAGAAATGGGGTATCAAACGTGAATATACCCTAGGACCTGAAAGATTGTGTAAATTGAGAGTTTTGTTTTTTTGTTTTGTTTTGTTTTGTTTTTTTGAGAAGGAGTCTCGCTCTGTTGCCCAGGCTGGAGTGCAGTGGCTCGATCTCGGCTCACTGCAAGCTCCACCTCCCAGGTTCACACCATTCTCCTGCCTCAGCCTCTCAAGTAGCTGGGACTACAGGCGCCCGCCACCACGCCTGGCTAATTTTTTGTATTTTTAGTAGAGATGGGGTTTCACTGTGTCAGCCAGGATAGTCTCGATCTCCTGACCTCGTGATCCGCCCACTTTGGCCTCCCAAAGTGCTGGGATTACAGGTGTAAGCCACTGTACCTGGCCCTGAGAGAGTTCCCCCCCGCCCCGCCCCCCGAGGTCCTCCAGCAGAGAGCAAAAAGGGCACTCCATAATTCTTGTCTCTTTGGGAGAGAGCATATCTATCAGCTGTAAACAACAGACAAACAAAACTAAAACTCTCTTTTTGACAAGTTTGTAAAGTCTGGACATCTATAGTAATCCTGCAGGCCTAAGCCACTCTCCTTAATTCAGCCAGTTCAGCAACAAGAAACCTACCCAGTGGGAAGAATGGTAGGTAGACTTAATTGCCAACCTATCTAGGCTACAAATACCTTCTGATTTTTGGGGACCCTCTTACTGCCTGGGTTGAAGCCTCTCATACTAGAAAAGATTCAGGTACTTGCCAGAATCATTCTGAAAGAAATTATCTCTTTGGGTTTCCACAGTCTTCACAAAGTAACAATGGTTCATAATTTATTTTGCAAACTACCCAAGCAGTGGCAAAAGCCCTACGGGTAAAATACTTTTCACACTCCTCCTGAAAGCCAGTCTCCCAGGAAGGTAGAAAGGACTAATCAAGCTATTAAAAGGACCTTGAGCAAATGATGCCAGGAAGCCTCTTTACCATGGCTAGAACTTCTGCCCATGGCACTTCTCCAGATTAGAACAGCCCCTAAATTACATCTATGCCTTAGTTTCTTCGAAGTCCTATATTAGAGACCCTTTCTACATGCAAACCTAGTATTATACCCAGAGGTTACCAAATTAACCCGGTACATAAAATCGCTGACTCAATTTCAAGAGGCCATCCAGGAGTTTGGACAAACAATTCTGAGTTTGACCCCCACTCCAACAACCCTTATAACCAGGCAGGGTAACAAGTCCTCATTAAAATCTGGAGAGGTGGATCTCCTGGATCTCAACTAACCACATTACAGAAGAACAATTTTACTATCATACTTCTCACCCCAATAGCTATCAAGTTTCCTGGCATCTCTAGCTGGACACATTATTTTTGAATACAACTGGAAACACGTTAAGGAACCAAAGAAAGATTGAACCAACACTTACCTACTCCTGTGACCCACAGGAGGACTTACAAATTTTTCTCTAAATGAGAAGCTAAGTAATGCTCTTCCTCATTTTATCTCAAAGTAGGGTAATCCCAATATTGGCAATCTTATTTGCAGTGGTACTGTTGATTCTTACCTTAACCCTAACTTGCACACCACCAGGTGTTCCATTAAGAGCTTGCTTTATCTAATATTAATTTTTTAACCTAGTTATTTTACTTTTGACTGCTTTAGTCCATCAGCGATGTAATATTTTCATGTTTATATTAGAAGTCATAATACTCTGCAGATTTACTAATATGCCTTTGTTACTGTAAACCAACACCCTCTCCAGGGAAGAGTTTGCTATGTCCCTCCTACATTTAAACATCAAAGCCATAATCTGAGTAGTGATCTCTCTAATATTCATTGGGTTAACAGTCTCTCTTCTTAATCAAGCATCTCAATTTGGCCCTATTCTACTTCCCTTGGAGCCATGCAGCCTAATGTTCTATGGTCATTACTCATACTTCTGACTAAAGTCACCCTCATATGCCCTAACTGCCCACAACCTTTTTTTTAAGCACTTTGCAGGCAACTCCACAACTACTAAACTCTACCAATTCTTCCTATGCCTCAACCTGTTAGCTAGTCATGAATTCCTCTTCATCCTGGGTGGGAATGGCCTACTTGGCCACAATACAAGAATGGACATCTACTCAAGCCCAACTTAGCTTCACCTACCATCGGGACCTCTCTACACAAAACCTTCCCTCTGCTAGTATAATCTTTTTGACAAAACCTAAAGCAGCCTTTTAAGATTTTCTTAAACCCACCCCCATTGTTTCAAGCCCCTTGTTCTCCCCTGCTACCCTCATTGGCCAGGTACTCCTATGCATCTGTGCTACTGTAAACTCCAGAACCATCGTGGATGCTTTAGACCCAGCACAATGCAACACAACGAGCACCATTATTGATATTTCTCAAAATTTTGTTTCACTAAATATTCTCAACATCAAATGAGATTTTCTATTCTCCCCCAAATGTTTTAGCACCTGGAGCATTCATCCAAAATGATGCCACTGAATTCTGCGTCGGTCACACCTCTGGCAGTCAACCCAACCCATGGTGTCAACCAAGCCAGTATAAATTATGCAAAAGGTTTCAAGTCTTTGTTTCAGAAAACCCTTCTCCTTGATACTACTAGAGACATCCCCATGATAAAATGAAACAAAAAAACACATAGGACCCATGTCTGGCTCCCCTGGCAGCAGCAACTTTAGTGGCAGAATCTCACATATCGGATAGCCAACAAGGACCCTGGTCAATGTTTGGAACTGACCTCACCTTCTGCATCCATTTTTATTGACTACAGAACTTTACTTCCTGTGTGAAATGCAGGCTTATCTCTGCCTCTCTGGAAACTTGACGAGGACATGCACTCTGGCTTCCTTCACCCCTAAAATTTGCATTGTCCTGGGTGATGATTCTTTGCTGTTACCCTTTACTACCTCAAACCAGATCAACTGTGCAGTTTATCTTTTTTATTTTTTTCCTCAATGAGCTTGGCATCACAAGTGCCACTACAGGAATAGCTGGCATAATTATTGCCTTCTCAACTTACCACAACCTGTCTCTAGAACTGACTCAAAAAACAGAAACCACTGCTCAGACTCTTACAGAGTGACAGCAACAAGTTGATTATCTCGTGGCTGTAGTTCAAAATTGTAGAGGTCTTGCCACACTAGCTGCAGCTCACAAAAGCATTTGCCTTATGCTAGGAGAAAAATGCTGTTTCTGGGTTAACAGATTAGGGAAAGTCCAGGACCATGTTAGAGATTTTATAAACCAAGCCTGTCACCATCAGAAACATGCCACTAAGGGCTAGTTCTCCTGGGGTGCCAACTGGTTCAAATTCTCATCACATCCCTTTTTGGGGGATCCCTAGCTTTTGTCTTCCTTTTTCTCTTTTGTGAGCTTTACTCACTAAATCAAGTAACCAGGTTTGTTTCCTCTCACCTGGAAACTCTCAGACTTCAAATGGTCCTGCAACAGGAGTATCAACCTATTTTCTTCCCTTCTGTACAACTGTGTTTCTCCACATTTCCTCTGGATACTGCAAGTCAAACCTGGGAAAACATGGAGGGAATGTTTTTCTGACAAAGAGCAAGATAATGAGATGCTGATGAGTTATCTTATGTCACCAGGAAGTAGTTACAGAAGACCCACAGTGCACTGTCTCAAAGATTTTTAGAGTCACAATCTATTGAGGGAATGTTCGAGTAGGCAGTTAGACATGAACAGAAAAAAAGAGCCCCAGAGGAAAAAGCCTCATGCTCCAAAGACAACCCAAAACATGTATGCTAAATTTGAGCAGAGAGGAGCAGAAATACCTATGAAGAACACCCTGAAACACCACTTAGGACACCCAGTAATTGCTCATACTGTGATTAAACTGTCAGAATGTAGCTAGCTACATGCTGATAAAAAGGGAAAAAGGGCTAAAGGAAAATTCCTAAGAGATACGTAGGCATAGTAAGTACACATTTGACTGCTATATTATTTTCCTAAGATGGCGGTAATAAGCAGTGCTGCCATTAAGATTCATTGATCACTGGAACTCACACATGTATATCAGCTGACAGTAAGGAAGCATCTCACAGACCTGGGCAGAAACTCGATGAGGATAAAAGAAGAGATTTACCAGGAAGCAGGATACTAAACAAAGGCAGACACTTAAGACAGAGGTGGGAAATTTTTTTTAAGTCTATGATAATAAAAACTGCAACATGTAACTCTCAAGACTGTTTCCAGCTGGGCCAACCTACTCCTCTTTTGGTGTGTTCTTTGTGTCTGGGCTGAATTGTTTCTCTCAAGAAAACAAGAACTAAGGACTTTGCACTTCCTGGTAACATTTTCACTCTCCCCCACCTCTTGACAAACACCATTGTACTTTGTTTTTATGAGCTGACTACTAAAAATATCTCACATAAATGAAATTATAATTTTTTTTTTTGAGACGGAGTCTCGCTGTGTTGCCCAGGCTGGAGTGCAGCAGCGTGATCTTGGCTCACTGCAAGCTCCACCTCCTGGGTTCACGCCATTCTCCTGCCTCAGCCTCCCAAGTAGCTGGGACTACAGGTGCTGTCACCACGCCTGGCTAATTTTTTGTATTTTTAGTAGAGACGGCGTTTCACCATGTTAGCCAGGACGGTCTCGAGTTCGAGACCTTTGCCTCCCAAAGTGCTGAGATTACAGGCGTGAGCCACCGCGCCCAGCCCAATGTTTGTTAATTTTTTATTAAGGATGGGTGTTGAGGCCGGGCACGGTGGCTCATGCCTATAATCCCAGCACTTTGGGAGGTCGAGGTGGGCGGATCATGAGGTCAGGAGATCGAGACCATCCTGGCTAACACAGTGAAACCGCATCTCTACTAAAAACACAAAAAAATTAGCCGGGCGCAGTGGCGGGCACCTGTAGTCCCAGCTACTCGGGAGGCTGAGACAGGAGAATGGCGTGAACTCGCGAGGTGGAGCTTGCAGTGAGCTGAGATCACGCCACTGCACTCCGGCCTGGACGACAGAGCGAGACTCCGTCTCAAAAAAAAAAATGGGTGTTGAAGATAATCATGTATTTTCTGTTTGAAGAGGTTGTTTACCGTAGTAGTTAAGACTTATCTCTAGAGTCAAACTTGCCTGTGTTTTACTACTGGCTCTTCTGTTGTGAGCAAGTCATTTTTCTCTGTGGCTCTGTTCCTTCCTCTGTAAAATAAGGATAATAATAATGTCTATGCATTGAGTTTCTGTGAAAATTAACAGATATACAGGATTATGGTTAGTATTTGGTATATATTATTATGTATATGCTGAATTACATTAATTAATGAACGTTTGAATTCAATAGCTGCCATAATCTGATTTTCCAGAGAAGGTGACGAAGGACTTGGATAAAGTGACTAAAAATGAAAACCGTACCTCATGAACTGCATCCACTAAAACAAAAAAATCATAACAAATTTCCTCAAGATTGTAACATGAATCTCAACAGAAAAGATCACTGCAGATTTTGAATCTTGAATCTACACAGATCATTCTATTTTTCCAACACTTAACATTTACACTCAAAAGATTCAGCTTAAAAAAATAGTTTTGCTATGTCATAGAAAATGATATGTAAAATCCTTCACCTACCATTAAGTCTCTTAAAAATTTCAAGAGGGCCGGGTGTGGTGGCTCCCGCCTGTAATCCCAGCACTTTGGGAGGCAGAGGCAGGCGGATCATGAGGTCAGGAGATCGAGACCATCCTGGCTAACATGGTGAAACCCCATCTCTACTAAAAATACAAAAAATTAGCCAGGCGTGGGAGTGGGCGCCTGTAGTCCCAGCTACTCGGGAGGCTTAGGCAAGGGAATGACGTGAACCCAGGAGGCAGAGGTTGCAGTGAGCTGAGATCGTGCCACTGCAGGTTAGCCTTGGCAACAGAGAAAGATTCTGTCTAAAAAAAAAAAAAAATTTTTTTTCTAAGATATATTTTATCTTAAGAGATATCAAAATTCTGATGAGTTTCTTCATATGGTGCTTACAATATGCAACCCACTTATATTAATGTTTTACCTATTCTAACTTATGTTTAACACACTTTTTGTTAGAATCTCATACAATTTTTCCTTTACCAATACAGAGAAGCAATGCTGACTTAATCCTCTTACCTGTGAACAGTGAATTACTCTCAAGTCATCTGAATGTTGTATTGATAAATTATAAATAATCTCAAACAACCCAGTTAAAAACAATAATATACCACATTAAAAATTCTAAACTTCTCATCTGAACCTTGAAAGTCCATGTGAAATTACACGGCATGAAGAGATCAGCGAGGAAACTGTAGCCAAAACACAAAGGAAAAGAAGACATCACAAAACTAAAGATAATTAGAAAATAAAAACAGAAATCCTCTTTAAATTCAGACTGAGTCAGTTTTGCAGCCTGGGAACACGTCCTCTCCACATGCACAATTAATGACATTTCTTCAACATAGATATTTTTAATCTTTTACTTGGAGCTACGAACTAACTCCAGGAATATTTATGGCTAGTTATGGAGCATCTATTACACACCCAGCACTTTGTGTTTGTTCACTACAATTATTTATCAAAACATCCCCAATACTTATGTCTTCCCAGTACTTGCCTGAACAAACTTATTTAGTTATAAAAAGTGAAAAGAACAATAACTAAAGAAAACAGCTTATATAAGGTTGTCCAATAAAATGAAATGTTCTAATTAAATAAAACATAAATACACACATTGTGAAATTACATCTAAAAAGTATTTTTGGTGCACTAAATTTTATAAAAATGATTCTTATAATTTCTGACAAGCTCACATACTTTATGAAGTGGAAACAAAAAAAATGAGAAATTTATAGCTAGAGCATGAGGACCACATAAAACCAGAATTGATTGGCATGGGGAGATTCTCAACGATGATTCATTAGATTGTACAGTAATTAAATGAAAAGAAGAAAATATAGATTTGATTTCAAAATGTTTTAGATTTCTAGTAAATTACCTATCCACAGTATTAATAGAACCTTCTTTGTTCCAATATTGCTATTTTCTTTGGAAAATAGGTATAAACTCTCATGCAAACACAATTACTTGCTCCATAATTTCCTTGTGCCCAACGTTTATCTTTAGAGCACAAAATTTATATATTTAACTCCAAGTAAATTAAATGTCTGTATGTGTTTGCAGGAGGACATGCCACATGTTCAAAGATATATATGAAACATTTTTTAAAAGTATTCAAGACTCAGGAATGTATGAATGTTTATTACAAACATAAAATGACCTGTAGTTAAAAATAATTAAAGTGTGTAACTGGATTGTGTGTAATACAAAGGATAAATGCTTGAGGTGATAATAACTCATTTACTGTGGTGTGATTATTACATACTGTATGCCTGTATCAAAATAACCCATATATACCATAAATATATACACATACTATGTACTCACAAAACCTTTTGAAAAATTTCAATAAGAATAAAAATGTAACATGCAAACAATATTCTTCAATTTATTTGCTGTTGAAAGCCACTAAAAAAGACTAGAGATGTCATTCAATTATATTACCAGATAGTACATTGTTACCATCTTTAACGTACACCCTTGAGTAAGGTTGGATAGGTGAAAGTTGGTGGCATAATAAAACACTTCATTCACGGCACAAAAATTTTAACACAATAACAATTTTTATTTCAAAAATTAAGTTCACACATTATCTTAAGAGAATTTTAAAATTTACTGCATTTTATTGCACTTATTACATAAATATACAGTTGGCAAAACAATTTACTACTAAAATTCAGATTCTCTCTCAGTATAACGCAAAGTATTACTCTGAACACCTACTTCAGGCATCACTCAGTAAGTCAACCACTAAAAGCCTCTCTGCTCAGATTTTCCTGGTGCATCTTTTATTTCTCTTCTCTTTCATGTAGAAGTCTATGAATAATGCCCACCTAATGCAAAGGAGTTTCTCATATCTCTGACGCAGCAACAATTTATCACATGCTTTCACATAAATGAGAATGTTGAAATAGTATAATTTTAGAGTTGAATTATTTGCTTTTGAAAAAAATTTTTACTTTTTTCAAGTGAAAAAATATATTTCGAATATATCTCTTCAAAAACCTACTTTTCAACTTATATACAAGGAAATTTTCTAACAGGTTCAACTTTTGTTATACTTAATACTCTGATTTATTTTAAAGTCTGAAGTGTTAGTTCCTTAGTTCTTTCTACTGTAAATCCTCTGATGTTTACATAGTCTTAATTTTAGCCTAAATATTTCTTCACATTTACTGCACCTACAAATTATATTCTAGTAAAAATTCTCTGGTGTTTCTTTTCTTTTTATCTTGTTTTGAGACAGAGTTTCACTCTTGTTACCCAGGCTGGAGTGCAATGGCACGATCTCAGCTCACCGCAACCTCCACCTCCTGGGTTCAAGCCATTCTCCTGTCTCAGCCTCCTGAGTAGCTGGGATTACAGCCATGCACCACCATGTCCTGCTAATTTTTGTATTTTTAGTACAGACGAGGTTTCTCCATATTGGTCAGGCTGTCCTTGAACTCCCGACCTCAGGTGATCCACCCTCCTTGGCCTCCCAAAGTGTTGGGATTACAGGCGTGAGCCACCGCGCCTGGCCTCTGGTTTCTTAACCTGCAGTTTCTGAACAGAGGTTTTTCCACATTTATTACATTTGTAGGATTTCTCTCCAATATAAATTCTCTGATGTTGAACAAAGTTTAAGCAACTGCTTCAGAGTTTTCCTCTAGTACAAAATGCATATAGTAAGTTCTGGGATACAAGTACAGGTACTAGAGCCCTCTTTATCTTTGTATTCTCTGTCTTAAGACTATTCTTCACTTTAATGGCCTATATTTTCTAAAAGGTCTTTCAACAGAAATTACATTTATAATGCTTTTATTAACTATAAATTTCAAGTAGACAATAGCTTTTGTATATTTTTATGTTTGTACAAGTAGTCTCACATATAAATACTATCATGTGCAAAAATGCTAAGCATTGGTTACAAGTTTTGCCACATTTTTTGTATTTCCAGGTGTTTTCTTCAGTAGGAATTACATTAAGAACTGACTAGAATTGGAAGTCTTTGCCACATTTTTAATTTTAATTTGGCTTCTCATCAATATAATTACTCTTATGTCTACAACAGATTGAGGTGTGATTAAAAGCCTTCTCACATTTTTCACATTTTAGAGTTTCTCTTCATTATGAATTATCTTATGATTAGAAAGGATTGAGGAGCATTTAAAGACCGCGACATTCGTCACCTTCGTAAGACATTCCCCTGGTATGAGTTCTCTTATGTTTAAGAATGCTGTAGTATGACTTAAAGGCTTTGCCACATTCTTTACACTTGTATGGTTTTATCTCCAGTATGAATTTTCTTATGTGCATAAAGATTTGCAGACTGTCTAAAGGTTTTGCCACAGTCTCCACACGTGTAGGGTTTCTCTCCAGTATGAATTTTCTTATGCGCATAAAGATTTGCAGACTGTCTAAAGGTTTTGCCACATTCTCCACATGTGTAGGGTTTCTCTCCAGTATGAATTCTCCTATGTACATAAAGGATTGCTGACTGTCTAAAGGCTTTGCCACATTCTTCACATGTGTAGGGTTTCTCTCCAGTATGAATTCTCCTATGTTTAGTAAGGGTTGTGGAACTAGTAAACGCTTTACCACATTCTAAACATTTAAAGGGTTTCTCACCTGTATGAATCCTCTTATGTTTAGCAAAGCTTGAGGATGACGTAATGACTTTGCCACATTCCTTACATTTGTAGGGTTTCTTTCCAGTATGAATTTTCTCATGTCTATTCAGGTGTGAGGACTGTTTAAACACTTTCCCACATTCTTTACATTTGTAGAGTTTATCTCCAGTATGAATTTTCTTATATTCGTTCAGGTTTGTGGACCATCCAAAGGATCTGCCACGATCTTCACATTTGTAGGGTTTCTCCCTAGTGTGAACTCTCCTATGTGTAGTAAGGTTTCTTGACCTACTAAAGGCTTTGCCACACTCTTCACATTTGTAAGGTTTTTCTCCAGTATGAATTTTCTTGTGTTGATTCAGGGCTATGGACCATCCAAAGGCTTTGCCACACTCTTCACATTTGTAACTTTGCTCTCCAGTAAGAATTTTCGTGTGTTGATTCAGGTCTGTTGATGGGGCAAAGGCTTTGCCACACTCTTCACATTTGTAAGGTTTCTCCCCAGTGTAAATTTTCTTCTGTTGATTCAGGTCCGTGTACCATACAAAGTCTTTGCCACACTCTTCACATTTGTAAAGTTTCTCTCCAGTATGAATTTTCTTGTGTTGATTCAGGTCTGTGTACCGTCCAAAGGCTTTGCCACACTCTTCACATTTGTAAGGTTTCTCTCCAGTATGAATTCTCCTATGTACATAAAGGTTTGCGGACTGTCTAAAGGTTTTGCCACATTCTTCACATGTGTAGGGTTTCTCTCCAGTATGAATTCTCCTATGTACATAAAGGATTGCGGACTGTCTAAAGGCTTTGCCACATACTTCACATGTGTAGGGTTTCTCTCCAGTATGAATTCTCCTATGTTTAGTAAGGGTTGTGGAACTAGTAAACGCTTTACCACATTCTAAACATTCAAAGGGTTTCTCGCCAGTATGAATCCTCTTATGTTTAGCAAAGCTTGAGGATGAGGTAATGACTTTGCCACATTGCTTACATTTGTAGGGTTTCTTTCCAGTATGAATTTTCTCATGTTTATTCAGGTGCAAGGAATGTATAAAGGCTTTCCCACATTCTTTACATTTGTAGGGTTTATCTCCAGTATGAATTTTCTTATATTCATTCAGGTTTGTGGACAATCCAAAGGCTCTGCCACGATCTTCACATGTGTAGGGTTTCTCTCTGGTGTGAATTCTCTTATGTGCAGTAAGGTTTGTTGAACTATTAAAGGCTTTGCCACACTCTTCACATTTGTAAGGTTTCTCTCCAGTATGAATTTTCTTGTGTTGATTCAGGGCTGTGTACCGTCCAAAGGCTTTGCCACAGTCTTCGCATTTGTAAGGTTTCTCTCCAGTATGAATTCTCCTATGTACGTAAAGGTTTGCGGACTGTCTAAAGGTTTTGCCACATTCTCCACATGTGTAGGGTTTCTCTCCAGTATGAATTCTCCTATGTACATAAAGGTTTGCGGACTGTCTAAAGGCTTTGCCACATACTTCACATGTGTAGGGTTTCTCTCCAGTATGAATTCTCCTATGTTTAGTAAGGGTTGTGGAAATATTAAAGGCTTTACCACATTCTAAACATTTAAAGGGTTTCTCGCCAGTATGAATCCTCTTATGTTTAGCAAAGCTTGAGGATGAGGAAATGACTTTGCCACATTCCTTACATTTGTAGGGTTTCTCTCCAGTATGAATTTTCTCATGTTTATTCAGGTGTGAGGAATGCATAAAGGCTTTCCCACATTCTTTACATTTGTAGGGTTTATCTCCAGTATGAATTTTCTTATATTCATTCAGGTTTGTGGACCATCCAAAGGCTCTGTCACGATCTTCACCTGTGTAAGCTTTCTCTCTGTTGTGAATTCTCTTATGTGCAGTAAGGTTTGTTGACCTATTAAAGGCTTTGCCACATTCTTCACATTTGTAAGGTTTCTCTCCAGTATGAATTTTCTTGTGTTGATTCAGGTCTGTGTACCATCCAAAGTCTTTGCCACGTTCTTCACAAGTGTAGGGTTTCTCTCCAGCATGAATTCCTTTATGTTGAGTTAGGTCTGAGAACTTCTGAAATGACTTGCCACATTCGTTACATTTAAAGTGTTTCTCTCCAGTATGTCTTGTCTTATCTTTGTTTGAATTTGCAAATTTACTAAAAACTTTGACACGTGCATTACATTGAAATATTTTGCTCTGAGTATTTGACAAGCATTTATTAATTCCATTATAAACTCCCTTCTGCACTTTACACACGTTCATACTTTTACAGCCTTTCCTTAATTGTAAATTATCATGCCCACATTTCTCATATCTTCTCAGTATAAGTTTGTGGAATGAATCTTCTATCCCCTGCACTGGCAAAAAGTCTTGGGTGAAATGAGAACACATAGCTGAAAGAAACAAAAATAACAAATTATCCCAGTTACTAGATTCATATGCATATACTTTACAAATCATAAGATTATACAAAGTACGCTAGTAAGATCACATAACAAAATACCACAAGTCATAACTTCTTCACATATACATGTAACAAACATATGGTGATCAAAATGCCTTTGTGTGAAATCTATAAATGAGTTAATTGTATGCAATCCCTCAGGTAAGCACAATGCCAAGAGCCACATAGAACAGGAAGGAATGTTTGTTCAATTTACCCACCAACAGCTCTTCCTCCCCAATATAGCACTATGCCATTAGAAGAAAGCTCTCAACTCCTTTTTCCTTAAAAGAGAAGAAAAATACTGACACACATATCCTTATTTCTGGCTTTTGGGGTCTTTACAAAAACTGATTTCTGCCTCCAATAAAACAGTGCTGAAAGAAATGGTGATACTTTGGAAGAACAACTTGGGTATTCGAAGACAAAATATAAATATTTCAAAAGCAGACTGAAGTGCTGAATACAGGCAACAGGTACAGCAAGTGATGAGAGACTTTTTTTTTTTTTTTTTTTTTTTGAGATGGAGTCTCACTCTGTCGCCCAGGCTGGAGTGCAGTGGCGGGATCTTGGCTCACTGCAAGCTCCACCTCCTGGGTTCATGCCATTCTCCTGCCTCAGCCTCCCCAATAGCTGGGACTACAGGCACCTACCACCACGCCCAGCTAATTTTTGTATTTTTAGTAGAGATGGGGTTTCACTATGTTAGCCAGGATGGTCTCAATCTCCTGACCTCGTGATCCACCTGCCTCAGCCTCCTAAAGTTGCTGGGATTACAGGAGTGAGCCACCATGCCTGGCCAATTAGAGCCTCTTAACAGGAAACATGAAGAAACCCTTTTAACTAAAAAATAAACACAAAATTCCAGACAAGAGACATCCTTCCAACATGTATGACAGGTTCCCATAATCTCTACCAAAGACAACTGGCTTCAGACTACATCATGACAAAGCAACATAATAAAGATTGTGACAAATAGCTTTTTGTTAATGTTCAAATAACAAGCAAATATTACAATGTATACAAAATATTAGAACACATTATAATGATTTTAAAATTTTCAGAAAACCATAAAAAAAGATGTACTAATTTTTTAAATGTAATCTGAATAATGCTGAATCAGTTAACTGAAAACACATATAACTAAATGTAATCAGAAAAATCAGAACATCAATGAAAACATTAAAAACATAAAAAAAGGAGGTGAAAAATATAAAATAATGACTCAGAAATTTTCAGAAGTTAAAAAAAGGATGTAATAAATGAAGCAGCTCAACAAACTTCAACTAGGATACACACACAGATTTATCGCAAGGCACATATATATACATGAGCAAAGTTTGAAAAATCAAACACAAGAAGGGCATTTTAGGAACTACAAAAAGTGATGTGTCATTTATAAGTGTGGTCTTATAAGATTACCAGTGAATCTGTCAACAAAACTATTTCACACCAGAAGGAACTGCAATATAATTAAGATGCTGGAGAAAAAAAAATTCTACATGGGAATAATATAACCAGCAAAACTGTCCTAAAAATGAAGAAAAAGTAAAGACCTTTCAAGATAAGCACATGCTGAAAAAGTATATTAGCACAACACCTGTCTTACCAAAAAAATGCTGAAGAAAGTGTCTTCCAGTGAAAATAACATAATGCAAGAAAACCAAACATAATCATACGAAAATATGTAACTTTCTGAAAAAGATATGCACGTACACAAAGTTCTGTACCACTATCCTAATAGTGCGGAAAACATTTTAATTATTCTCTAAAATTTTAAAGTTAAAAGCATAAAAATGATCATAAACTGTTGATCATTATCTGGTAATAATATACCACATAAAAATATGATTACTGACATCAATAACAAACGAGGACAGATGTAATGAGGAAGTTTTCTTTTTTTTTTTTTTTTTGAGACAGAGTCTCACTCTGTCACCCAGACTGGAGTGCAGTGGCACTATCTTGGCTCACTGCAACCTCTGCCTGCCCAGTTCAAGCAATTCTTCTGCCTCAGCCTCCTGAGTAGCTAGAACTACAGGTACACACCACCATGCTCTTCTACTTTTTGTATTTTTAATAGAGACAGGGTTTCATCATACTGGCCAGGCTGGTCTCGAACTCCTGACCTCGTTATCTGCCTGCCTCAGCCTCCAAAAGTGCTGGGATTGCAGGCGTGAGCCACCACACCCAACCCCGAATTTTCTTTTTTTTTTCTTTTTTTTCTTTTTAGACAGAGTCTCACTCTGTTGCCAGGCTGGAGTGCAGCAGCACAATCTTGGCTCACTGCAACCTCCCCTCCTGGGTTCAAGCAATTCTCCTGCCTCAGCCTCCCAAGTAGCTGGGACTACAGGCGCACCACCACGCCCAGCAAATTTTTGCATTTCTGGTGAAGATGGGGTTTCAACATGTTGACCAGGATGGTCTCGATCTCTTTACGTAATCCGCCTGCCTCAGCCTCCCAAATTGCTGGGATTACACACGTGAGTCACCGCGCCTGGCTGAGGAAGAATTTTTCAAATGCAACTCGTTTTTACCAGTTTAAAATATATTATTTTGCAGGGCACAGTGGCTCACACCTGTAATCCCAGCACTTTGGGAGGCCGAGGCGGGTGGATCACAAGGTCAGGAGATTGAGACCATCCTAGCTAACATGGATAAACCCCATCTCTACTGAAAATACAAAAAGATCTAGCCAGGTGTGGTGGCAGGCACCGTACTCCCAGCTACTGGGGAGGCTGAGGAAGGAGAATGGCATGAACCCAGGAGGCAGAGCTTGCAGTGAGCCGAGATCGCGCCACTGCACTCCATCCTGGGTGACTGAGCAAGACTCCGTCTCAAAATAAATAAATAAATAAAATAAAACAAAAAATATATTATTTTAAGAAATTTTATGTACTTTCCAAGATACCAGAAAAAAGTATCTCTATAGATACGCCAAAAAATAAGAAGTAAAGGTGTATCAGTACAAAAATCAAAAAGACACTAAGGAAGACAGAAAAAGAAAATAAGGGGCAAAAATGAAATAATCCAGCAAAAAAATCAATAAAACGTGTAAGTCTATTTCAGCAAATTATTCAAATATTTATGAAGTTTCCATTCGAAATACATGCACCAAATGAAGGGATTGATTGCAAAAATTAACATGATCCAGCTTGCTTTTCTACAGGAGTCACTTGAGATGTAATAATTTAAAAAGACTGAAAAAGGAAAGAAGACATTTGATGCAAATAACCAAATTATATAACACAAAGTACATCTTAAGTCAAAACTATCCTATTTCATAAAATATACTTTAACTAAAAGTTCAGAAGAAAGGCCATTAAACAATAATAAAAACGTTCCTTTACTGGGAACTCAACGACAAATGTGTGTATACATATGTTAATGTGTCTGTTTGTGTGTGTCCCACATTGAGTTCCAAACATACAAAGCCAATACTGACAGAATTAAAGCAACACAAAAAAGCAATATAATTATACTAGGATATTTAAATACCCCAATTTCTATAAAGAATAATGAAACAAGATAAAATATTCATAAGGAAACAGGAGACTTGAAAGCAGTATTAAACAATTATGCCTAACAGAATTGTAAAGAACACTGCTCAACGAGAATACACACCTTCCTGAATAGCTCATACAATATTCTCCTTGATAAACTACATATTAGGGCACAAAAAAAGTCTTAACAGAAGTTTTTAAAATTCAAATTTTACAGATTTCTTTTAATGACCAAACTGGTATGAATGTAGAATAAAAGAAAGAAAACTATAAACCCCGTCTCTACTAAAAATACAAAAAATTAGCCAGGCATGGTGGTGGGTGACTGTAGTCCCAGCTACTGGACAGGCTGAGGGAGGAGAATGGCGTGAATCTGGGAGGCGGAGCTTGCAGTAAGCTGAGATCCCACCACTGCACTCCAGCCTGGGTGACAGAGCAGGAATCCGTATCCCCCCCCAAAAAAAAAAAAAAATTACATACTTATAGAAATTAAACAATACAAACTAAAGATTGAAATAATAAAGATATCTAGACTGCTCAATGTAATCTACAGATTAAATGCAATCCCTGTCAAATTTGTAATTAAATTATTGTAGTAATAGAAACAGCAAACCCCATATTATATCAAATTAAGAAACAGTGAAGTACCCAACAATCTTCAAAAAGAGAAGCAATCTCAGAGGCTTCACAGCTCCTGATTTCAAAACACATACAAAGCTAAAGAATTAAAATAATTTGGGATAGATATAAAGCTGAACAGCTAGATTAATAAAATCTGCCAAAAATACAAACTCACACACGGTCACATGAAGAGTTTTAGACACTCATAATTACTGCAGCATTGTTACTGAAAGCAAATAAATGCAACACAGATTTCTCTCACCAAATTGATAAATTTGAAATATTAAAATGAAATATTACTCAGTTTGTAAAAAGCAAAAATTAAGTACAGTAAAGATAAACCTTGATGACATTAACACAAAATAAGTCATGAAGAGACAGAAACTGTATGAATCAACTTACATCAGATATCTAAAGTGGTCTGACTTTAAAATAAAAAGCAGAATTGTTTTTGTAAAGGGCCAGAAAATAGAAAAAGTAGGTAGTTGTTTAATGTGTACTGAGTGTTAGCTTTGCAAGATAAACATATTCTAAAGATAGAGTGCATAACAACGTTAATATGACTAAGCTGAATATTTAAAAATATATGATTGTAAAGTTTCAGCATTTTTGAAAACAAAAATAATATCTAAAAGAGATAGAGGTATGACAGTTTTGGAAATTATCTTCAAATCACGAAAGTGTTTCTTCCACACACACAAAAGTATAGATTTTCCAATAACATTTTTGTTATTGGAAAAAGACAATATTTTCAATAAATGGTGCTAGGAAAATTATCTACAAGATAATAAAAAAAATAAAACTAGGCTCCTACCTCTTATGATATAAAAAAGTCAATCACAAATAAAGATTTAAATGGGAAACCCAAATAAAGCTATTTGAAGTAAACATACAGGAATGCTTTACCACACAGTACAGAGCAAAGAATCTTAAGACCTCAAAAGCACAGGCAGAAGAAGCAAAAATATGCAAATGGGATTACAACAAAGTAAAAATGCTTTGCATAGCAAAGACAGCAGAGTGAAGAGATAATCTACAGAATGAAGGAAAATATTTGCAAAATATACATATGACAAAAGATAAATTTACAGAATATATAACAAACTTAACAAAAATACCACAATTTGAATATAGGCAAGAGACTTTAAGAGACCTTTTTCAAAAGAAATACAAATAGCCAAAAAGTACATGCAAAGATGCTCAACATCACTAATTGTCAGAGAAATGCAAATCAAAACCACAAGATACCACTTCACTCCAATTAGAATGACTGTAATTAGAAAGACAAAAATATGTTAGTGAGAATGAATAGAAAAGGAAACACATACAGTCGGTAAAATTGTAAGTTAGTAGAGCCATTATAGAAAAAAATAAGTATCACAGGATAACATATGTTTAAACCATCAACAAATGGTATTTTAACACTGTTTCTTTGACTCCTTGCCTACACAAATAAACTGTGGACGACCACACACACACAGAAAAAATAATTGAAATTGCTGGATCACATGTTCTATTTTTAATTTTTTAATTAAATGGGATTGCTGGAACATATGTAAGTTCTATTTTCATTGTAGCTAAACAAAATCAGTATGTCAAAGAGAAATCTACACTCCCATGTTTATTACAGCACTGTTTACAATGGCCAAGATATGGAATCAATCCAAGTGTCCAGAACTTGGATGAATAAAGAAAATGTAGTATATATACACAATAAAATAGTATGCATCTACAATACAGAATACAATTTTGATATTTGCCACAACACAAATGAACGTGGAGGCCATTATGTTAAGTGAAATAAAACAGATACACTGAGACAAATACCACATGATCTTACACATATGTGAAATCTAATATAAACATTTATGATGAAGGCTTTATGCAACTAGTCTCGGCAATCAGTTTTTGAATATAACATCAAAGGCTCAGGAAAAAAAATATGGACATACACATGGTACCACATCACTGTATAAAAAATATCTCAAAAATATTCAAGGCAGGGCTTTAATTACATGCTTACACATCTATTTAAAATATCCCAAAAAAGCCGGGCGCGGTTGGCTCATGCCTGTAATCCCAGCACTTTGGGAGGCCGAGGCAGGCACATCACGACGTCAGGAGATCGAGACCGTCCTGGCTAACATGGTGAAACCCCATCTCTACTAAACATACAAAAAATTAGATGGGCATGGTGGCAGGTGCCTGTAGTCCCAACTACTAGGGAGGCTGAGGAAGGAGAATGGCGTGAACCCAGGAGGCGGAGCTTGCAGTGAGCCGAGATTGCACCACTGAACTCCAGCCTGGGCGACAGAGCAAGACTCTGTCTCCAAAAAAAAAAAAAAAAAAAATATATATATATATATATATATATATATATATATATATATCCCAAAAATATTCAAGGCAGGGCTTTAAATACATGTTTACACAAGCATGTTCATTATTATTTACAAAAGACAATTCCTGGAAACACAAATGTCCCTTTAGAGATAAATATCAGATTTTTAAAATGTGACATATACATACAATATTTTATTTTAAAACAAAGATATTCTGACACGTCTCTGTGGAGAAAAAGTTAAATATTACATTTGAACTCAATTGAACATGGACACAAACAATGGTCACCAAGTTCCCAAACAGGTTGTGTGAGCCCCTTGACGTCTTCAGCCAGCACTGTTTTGAAGAAATCTCTATTTCAATCTATTCCTATACGTTAGTTATTGAAAAAGAATAGACAATCACAAAAACAAGTTGACCATTTTGTGTTCCTTGAGCCCAGTTCACGAAATGCCCTAGTGATGGGACCTCGTGCCAAACAACTCATTACAAAAATAGCTAGGGTCTCATAGCATGACGAAGCTTCATGAGACCCCTCCTCGTCTGTGCACAGATGGTGGCTGACTCTGGAGCCCAGGCTGTTGCTTCCCAGTCTGGTGGTGAATTCTCCATAGTCTGGTGAATGTAAATATATATACCCTTTCTCCCTTCTCCACTTCCCACTGCAATTTGGTTATTACATTTGCTTATTTTATTCTTATTCTGCATTGCTATTTACGTGAAATAAAGGTTGTTTATCCTTAAAGGTATTGTGTGTGTGTCTTCTTCTCCCCTAACGCATTTCCTGCACAGAACATTTTGGGTGTCAGGAACAGGATCCAAAAGCGAAAACGTGCCATTTTTCAGCCACGAGGACTGGGCTGGGAGGTTGGGGGCTTCCCATATCCTGGGATGGGAACTCCCCTAGTTCTCTCCCTTGGCCATTGAGTGGTCCAAGGGAACTGGCCTTTTTGAAAATTGGGAATCTAAATTAGTGCATTTTGAACCATTGGCTGTCTGTGAGGTGCTGCAGGGAATCCCAGTTGGTAAAGGGAATGCTGAGGTAATTTCCCGGTATAGATGGTGCTTGCTTACTGCTTGTAAGTTAATGTGTCAAGATAGGGACTGGTTGCTACACGAGAAATGTAAGCTGGAAAAAAAGTGCTAATCTGACATCCTGACTGGCCCTGGCCAGGCCTGTGTCTTGACTGACCAGGCTGAAAGCTATCAGCCTATTGCTGAAAAAAGCAGCTGTCCAAATAGCCGGTCAGGGTAAAACTGAAGAACTAGTCGGCTGGGGCTTGCAGCAGGTAAAAACCCAGCTCCTATCTCAAGGATGGGAAATTAACCCTAGGAAAATTCAAGAACCTGCAAAAACTGTAAAATTCCTTGGCATCCTCTGAAATACACGGTAATAGTCCATTTTACAAAAGGCTAAGGCTAAAATACTAGAATTTGCAACCCCTACCACTAAAAAGGAGGCCCAGAAATTTATTGGCTTGTTTGGATTGTGGAGACATCATATGCCCCACATGGGTAACATTTTACAACCTCTGCGTGCAGTCACTAGAAAACGCTATGACTTTCACTGGGGACAGAAAGAGAGCGTGGCTTTTCAACAAGCTGAACAAGCGGTGCAACTGACCCCAGATCTATGGCCCATACGAAACAGGCCAGTAGAACTGCAAGTAGCTGTCCTAGATCAACATGCTAATTGGAGTCTTAGGCAGAAACAAGGTGGGAAGAGGGTACCTTTGGGGTTTTGGACCCAGAAACTGCCATAGGCTGGCAAAGCTTATACCCCTTCCAAGAAGCAATTGTTAGCTTTTTATTGGGTTTTGCTGGAAACAGAGGACCTCTGCTTCAACCATGAGGTCTTTATGAGGCCTGAAATTCCTATTATGACTTGGGTCATGAGTTTCCCCAATACTCACCAGATAGGGCACACTCAAGAAAGCAGCATTATAAAATGGAAATGGTATACACAAGATAGGGCTAAGCCAGGACCAAAGGGGATACTGCTTTTGCATAAGGATGTACAAAACTTGCCAGCTCAGAAAACCACTGAGCAAGCCCTTCAGTTAGGGAAGGAAACCTCCCCCATCCAATGGGACAAATCCTTTAAAAAACTAAGCCCAGAGGACCAGAAACATGCCTGGTTTACTAATGGACCACCAAATACACTGGTGGCACTCGACGCTAGAAGGCCGTGGCTTACAGTCCTGTTAGAAAACATAAGCATTTCTGATGAAGGAAAAGGTGGAAGCAGCTAGCTGGTTGAACCAGTAATGGTCCTCTGAGCTATTTAGGAGGAGGCCAGAGGGATTTGTCAGTTGTATACCAACTCTTGGTCAGTAGCAGATGGTCTTACTACCTGGTTGCCCCAATGGCAATGAAACAAATGGTTAATTGGGAATAAAGAGGTTTGGGGAAAAAAATACTGGGAAGATACCTGAATCCTGGCACACACCACCATTATCACTGTTCTCCATGTTGATGCTCATGCATCTCTGTTTTCTCTTGACAGACTATTTAATCAGCTGGCAGATCAACAGGCCAAAATTTCCACCACAACTGCAAACTTGAATGTGGATGAATGGATTACATGTTCAAGCCTGGTAATGAGAGGCATTATAATGGAATAACCTATCTACTAATGGTCAGCACATGTGTCTTTGTATCTGAGGCCAAGGATAAATTCATCAACTGGGTAGCCACCACTATAGAAGAAGCCAACCACAATCAATGTCGGCTATGCGTCCAGCTGCCAGAGGCCGCCAGGAATGAGCTACCTTGAAGAATCGTCCGTGACAACATTTCTGAATGGCTATGTCACTATCAATGGGGCCACAACAACAACACTTGCAATCCAACCTGAACTTCCTATGACCAAACCAAGCAATCTATTTATGCCCAAGTCAAGTGAAAGGTGAACTCCACCTTCACCATGCATCAAAAGCCTTGGTATCCTGCCCAATATGCCTGGAACGGTATATATTGGGAACCTGCTGTGCTGGTGGCCGGATTCCATATAGCTCCCCACCCACCCGCCACTTTGTCTGGAGGCCTTAAATGGCTCCTCTAATGTTCCTCTGGGTTTCTCCCACCAGACAACTGTCAACACATACTCCAAATCAACAGCATTGTCCCTAATGAAACACAATCTCTTTCCTACTTTAATAACACATTAGTACACTATGATTACAGTAACTATATTGCAGTCCCCTGGGGGGGCCCTCTGGATATGTGGATACTACGGGTGGTGATACCTGCCCCTACAATGGACAGAGAGATACACTTGGGGGTGGCCATTAATTCCATCCACCATACAAATGCGCTGGACTCCCTGGTGGTGATAGCCTACTACAGTATTCTCCCCTGCTGCTGGTACAATCCTGCTTCAGCAGCAAATTAAAATATTAAGTTTACATGTAGACAAAGCTCTTAATGATAGTAGCACTGGACTTATGTTGTTGTCAGAGGAATTTGCTCAGCTGTGTACTGTTGTGTTGCAAAACTGAATGGCATTAGATATGCTTACCGCAGCCCAAGGAGGGGTTTGAGCCTTACTGCATACTGAATGTTATGTGTATATCCCTGACAATTCTCACAATCACTCTCCTTGCAAAGCCATGGTGGGTGTGGTTTTTATTAACTCTGCTTTTAGTTCTCCTGTGCTTACCTGTATCTGTAATCTATATCAACTATGCCTTCCCCATGTATCTGTAAGGGTATTTTCCTACAATTGAGGATCAAACTGAGGCCGAATGTGGAGGAAAAGTTAAATATTAAATTTGAACTCAATTGAACATGGACACAAACAACGGTCACCAAATCCCGGAATGGGCTGTGTGAGCCCCTTGACACGTTCATCCAGTGCCGTTTTGGAGAAATCTCTATTTCAATCTATTCCTATATGTTAGTTATTGAAAACAATAGACAATTGCAAAAACAAGTTGATCTTTTTGTGTTCCTTGAGCTCAGGTGCAAAAGCCCCTCGTGACTGGGCCTCATGCCAAACAACTCATTACAAAAAGAGCTAGGGTCCCACACTGCGCCAAAGCTTCACGAGACCTCTCCTCATCTGTGCACGGATGAATGGTGGACTCTAGAGCCCAGGCTGTTTTGCTTCCCGGTCTGGTGGTGAATCCTCCATAGTCTGGTGAATGTAAATATATGTATCTCTTTTCCCTTCTCCCCTTCCCACTGCAATCTGCTTATTATATCATTTGCTTATATACCTACATTGCCATTTACATGGGATAAAGGTTGTTTACCCTTAAAGATATTGTGTGTGTGTCTTTCCTTCTCCTTTCACCCCGCAGCACACAACAATCTTACAAAAACAAAAGCCTGAGGCCAGTTGTCCTGGCTCACACCTGTAATCCTAGCACTTTGGGAGGCCGAGGCGGGCGGATCAGCTGAGGTCAAGCGATCGAGACCATCCTGGCCAACACGGTGAAACCCTGTCTCTACTAAAAATACAAAATTAGCTGGACATGGTAGTGCACACCTGTGGTCCCAGCTACTTGGGAGGCTGAGGCAGGAGAATCGTTTGAATCTGGGAGGCAGAGGTTGCAGTAAGCCGAGATCGTGCCACTGCGCTCTAGCCTGGCAACAGAGCAAGACTCCATCTCAAAACAACCAACCAACCAACCAAAAACCAAGCCTAAGAACATTATGTGAAGACAGTAAAAAAGAAAAAAAAAGAAAGAAAAAATATTACACCAATGACAATATAAAAATCAGTCAAAATTACAGAAACAGTAAGTAAAATGGTGTTCTTCAAGAGCTGAAGAAAAAGAAAAAAATGGCAGTTTATAGTTCATAGAGTATTAAACTTTACTTTTGTAAGACAAAATGTAGAGATCCATTTCAAAATAATGTAAATGTACTTAACCCCACTAGACTGTACACTTGAAAACCTTTAGGCAATTTTATGTTTTTCATCACAACTAAATATTTACATCTACCTAAAAAGGTTCCATTTTTCAAAAATCACCTTTGAATAACAAGTGTTTCTCTCACAAAACATAATCAAACAATAAATAGGTGGTAATATTCCACTGTTTCTTTGCCTACTCACCTACAAAAGAAAACAGTCATGATCACCAAAAAAATTTTTATTTATTTATTTATTTATTTATTTATTTATTTATTGAGATGGAGTCTCGCCCTGTCACCCAGGCTGGAGTGCAGTGGCACAATGTCGGCTCACTGCAACCTCCGCCTCCCGGGTTCAAGTGATTCTCCTGCCTTAGTCTCCTGAGTAGCTGGGATTACAGGCATGCGCCACCACACCTGGCTAATTTTCTATTTTTAGTGGAGACAGGGTTTCTCCATGTTGGTCAGGCTGGTCTTGAACTCCTGACCTCAGGTGATCCACCCGCCTCAGCCTCCCGAAGTGCTGGGATTACAGGCGTGAGCCACCATGCCCGGCCTATCAAAAAAATAATTTATAAACCAGGTAAGGGCAATATTTATAAAGGCAAACATCACATAGATAACTTTTATAGGCAATAGAAATCTCTGAATTATACATATATTTTAAATTGCTTCGAGTAAAACCTAATGATTTTTATTTGAATGAATTTTATTTGAATTAAACACCACATGGTCATAAAAGGTACAGAGTTGAAAATTACCATACAAATATGAAAATTAAAAATAGGCCAGGCACAGTGGCTTATGCCTGTAATCCCAACACTTTGAGAGGCCAATGTGGGCGGATCATGAGGTCAAGAGATCGAGACCATTCTGGCTAACATGGTGAAACCCTGTCTCTACTAAAAATACAAAAATTAGCTGGGCGTGGTAGCACACGCCTGTAGTACCAGCTACTTGGGAGCCTGAGGCAGAAGAATCACTTGAATCCGGGAGGCGGAGGTTGCAGTGAGCCGAGACTGTGCCACTGCACTCCTGCCTAGCAACAAAGCGAGACTCCATAATTAATAAATTAATAAATTAATAAATAAATGATGGAGGAGAACCTACATGAAAACACTCCCCAGTAAAATAGAGTTGAAAGAATAAAAAATTCTGATCTATAAAACACTGAATATAATATAGATGTATCATAAAAACAATCCTTTAACTACAGTTTTCAACTCTGACTATGTACTTAATGAAGATCTGGCATTTTGAATCCTTACATGCAAAGAAAATGCATCTCAATTAAAAAATGCTCTAATAAGAATGAAGCATTTCAATACAATTATTTATTACACAATGAGTAAATGTGAGCATTTTATTTCAGAAATTTTGAATTTGAAATCAGATAAATTTGACATAGAATGTATCAGAAACTGAAAACACAGTAAGATGGCAGGAGGTTCTCTACCCACAACTTCTACAGTTATAAAAAAGCAGCAGTTATGTCCTGAAAAAAGGAACTTTATGGGAGCTTTGGAATCCATGTCAAGGGTTGTGAACCCAAGACTGAGGAGGGCTGTATTGAAAAGACATGCCCTTGCTTGAGTGGCATGCTTGCCCATCACAGTCCCAGCTACAGAATAAAATGTGTCCAATTTTCATTGTAGACTTAGCTGTAGACCATTTGGTTTTGTTCCTGCTACTAGCACCATCTGTGAAGACACCTAAACCAAGACACCTATGCCTCAGGTGAAAGGCCTTTAGAAGTTGGTTCTATCTGTGATCTCTGAATTAGCCCAAAATCCACCCTTTGCACATATCAGTCATGGTGTGGAAGAAATCCTGCCCAGACACCCACAGAGAGAAACATCCATCTGTGCCCCTGGATGTAGACTTGCCAATATTTATTTATGGTGGATCTTGACGTGGCACTATAACCTGATTCCAAGTCCATGCAACCAAAGTCCGGAAGAATTTTTTCCTAACCTGGGACCTGCCAAAAGACACACCTGTATGTGCCCCTGTAGGCATGCTGACTTTATTCCCACTGTGAATCGTGAAGCAGTCCTATAACCAAGCTCTGGTCTCTGTCACCTAGAGTCTGAAAGAAGTCCTGCCAACCCAGAAATCTGGAGGGAGAAATGCCATGAACCCAAAAACAGACCTGAAGACTTTGGTCTCAGCTGTGTATCCTGAAGCAGCCCTATGAATCAGTTCCACACCCTCTTAGCTGTGATCAAGGGTCAGTACTGCTCATTTAGGAACCTGTCCAATGACTAGGTTAGAGCATTTCCAAATACCTCGCAAGAGCGACACAGCGGGAGCCACACCTGCTCACATTGATTTGTATCAGCACCTTAATCTGCAGATATAACTGGAAGCTTTTTTCCTCAGTGCCAGTCATATTGATCAACATCTTGAAGAAAGTTCAGTCTTCTCAGAAAATAGATAGAATCCACAACTGTCTGATGCCCAGATAACAGGTCTCCCAAGCATGAATTTCACTGCAGACCCAGTAGGACTTATGTGACCTGGATCTGAAACACTTTATTACAATCTCAGTGGAAATCTCATCAGCCCAGAATCCAACAGAAGATATTTACCTCCCCAAACTAGTCTATAATGACTGAAAGAGGTATTTACTCCTTCAGATGCAAGGACATCAAAACAAGGCTTCATGACTTATGAAGGATCAGGCAAACATAACACCACTAAAGGAAACTAAAAATGCTCCAGGAACCACTAACAATAACACACAGATCTAAGCCAGGCGTGGTAGCTCACGCCTGTAATCCCAGCACTTTGGAGGCCAAGGCGGGCATATCACCCAAGGTCAGGAGTTCGAGACCAGCCTGGCCAACATGGCAAGACCCCATCTCTACTAAAAATACAAAAATTAGCAGGGCGTGGTGGCATGTACCTGTAGTCCCAGCCACCCAGGAGGCTAAGGCAGGAAAATCGCTGGAACCCAGGGGGCAGAGGCTGCAGTGAGCTGAGATTGCGCCACTGCACTCCAGCCTGGGTGACAGAGCAAGACTCCGTCTAAAGAAAAAAAAAACAGATCTAAAAAATGCCTAACAGAAAATGTTCAGGGCAGCCAGAGAGAAAGGTCAGGTTACCCACAAAGGGAAGCCCATCAGACTAACAGCAGATCTCTCTGCAGAAACCCTACAAGCCAGAAGAAAGTGGGGGCCAATATTCAACATTCTTAAAGAAAATAATTTTCAACCCAGAATTTCATATCCAGCCAAACCAAGCTTCATAAGCGAAGGAAAAATAAAATCCTTTACAAACAAGCAAATGCTGAGAGATTGTCACCACCAGGCCTGCCTTAGAAGAGCTCTTGAAGGATGGACATATGAAAAAGAAAAACCGGTACCACCCTCTGCAAAAACATACCAAACTGTAAAGACCATCAACACTATGAAGAAACTGCACCAACTAATGGGCAAAATAACCAGCTAGCATCATAATGACAGTATCAAATTTACATGTAACAATATTAATCTTAAATGTAAAACGGCTAAATGCCCCAATTAAAAGACACAGACTGGAAAATTAGAGTCAAGACCCATCAGTGTGCTATATTGAGGAGACCCATCTCATGTGCAAAGACAAACACAGGCTCAAAATAAAGGGAGGGAGGAATATTTACCAAGCAAATGGAAAGCAAAAAAAAAAGCAGCAGTTGCAATCCTAGTCTCTGATAAAACAGACTTTAAACCAACAAAGATAAAAAACAGAAGGGGTCAGGTGCAGTGGCTCACACCTGTAACTCCCAGCACTTTGAGAGGCCGAGGTGGACAGATCACGAGGTCAGGAGATCAAGACCATCCGTGGTTAACATGGTGAAACCCCGTCTCTACTAAAAATACAAAAAATTAGCCGGGCGTGGTGGCGGGCGCCTGTAGTCCCAGCTACTCAGGAGGCTGAGGCAGGAGAATGGCGTGAACCCAGGAGGCAGAGCTTCCAGTGAGCTGAGATTGTGCCACTACACTCCAGCCTGGGCAAGAGAGCAAGACTCCGTCTCAAAAAAAAAAGGTGGGGGAGGGGGCATTACCTAATGGTAAAGGGATGAATGCAACAAGAAGAGATAACTATCCTAAATATATATGCACCCAATACAGGAGCACCCAGATTCATAAAGCAAGTTTTTAGAGACCCACAAAGAGACTTAGACTCTCACACAATAATAATGGGAGACTTTAACACCCCACTGTCAATATTAGATCAATGAGACAGAAAATTAACAAGGATATTCAGGACTTGAACTCACCTCTGGACCAAGCAGACGTAATAGACATCGACAGAACTCTCCACCCCAAATCAATAGAACATACATTATTCTCGGCACCACATCGCACTTAATCTAAAGTTGACCACATAACTGGAAGTAAAACACACTTCAGCAAATGCAGAAGAAAGAAAATTATAACAGTCTCTCAGACAACAGTGCAATCAAATTAGGACTCAGGATTAAGAAACTCAAAACTGCACAACTACATGGAAACTGAACAACTTGCTCCTGAATGACTACTGGGTAAATAACGAAATTAAGGTAGAAATAAATAAGTTCTTTGAAACCAATGAGAACAAAGACACAACCTACTAGAATCTCTGGTACACAGCCAAAGCAGTCTTTGGAGGGAAATCTATACCACTAAATGCCCACAAAAGAAAGCAGAAAAGACCTAAAATTGACACCTTATCATCACAATTAAAAGAACTAGAGAAGCAGGTGCAAACAAATTCAAAAGCTAGCAGAAGACAAGAAATAACTAAGATCAGAGCAGAACTGGAGGAAATAGAGACACGAAAGACCCTTTCAAAAAAAAAAAAAAAAATCAACAAATCCAGGAGGAGGTTTTTTGAAAAGATCAACAAAATAGATAGACCACTAGCAACACTACCAAAGAAGAAAAGAGAGAAGAATCAAATAGACACAATGAAAAATGATAAAGGGGATATCAACACTGATCCCACAGCAACAAACTACCATCAGAGAATACGATAAACAACTCTACGCAAATAAACTAGAAAATCCAGAAGAAATGGATAAATTCCTGGACACATACACCCTCCCAAGACTTAACCAGGAAGAAGTTGAACCCCTGAATAGACCAGTAACAAGTTCTGAAATTGAGGCAGTAATTAATAGCCTACCAACCAAAAAAAGCCAGGACCAGATGGATTCACAGCCAAATTCTACTAACGGTACAAAGGGGAGCGAGCTGGTACCATGCCTTCTGAAACTATTCCAAATAATAGAAAAAGAGGGACTCCTCCCTAACTCATTTTATGAGGCCAGCATCATCCTGATAACAAAGCCTGGCAGAGACACAACAAAAGAAAAAATTTCAGGCCAATATCCCCGATGAACATCGATGTGAAAATCCTCAATAAAATACTGGCAAACCAAATGAATCCAGCAGCGCATCAAAAAGCTTATCCGCCATGATCAACTCAGCTTCATCCCTAGCATGAAACACTAGTTCAACATACGCCAATCAATAAATGTAATCAATTACATAAACAGAACCGATGACAAAAACCACATGATTATCTCAATAGATGCAGAAAGGGCCTTCAATAAAATTCAACACCCCTTCATGCTAAAAACTCTCAATCAACTAGGTACTGATGGAATGTATCTCAAAATAATAAGAGCTATTTATGACAAACACAGCCAATATTATACTGAATGGGCAAAAGCTGGAAGCATTCCCTTTGAAAACTGGGACAAGACAAGGATGCCCTCTCTCACCACTCCTACTCAAAATAGTATTGGAAAGCCGGGTGTGGTGGCTCATGCCTGTAATCCCAGCACTTTGGGAGGCTGAGGTGGGTGGATCACTTGAGGTCAGGAGTTCAAGACCAGCCTGACCAATATGGTGAAACCCTGTCTCTACCAAAAATACAAAACTTAGCCAGGCGTGGTGGCACATGCCTGTAATCCCAGCTACTCGGGAGGCTGAGGCAGGAGAATTGCATGAACCCAGGAGATGGAGGTTGCAGTGAGCCAAGATCACGCCACTGCACTCCAACCTAGGTGACAAAGCAAGACTCCATCTCAAAAAAATAAAAATAGTATTGGAAATTCTGGCCAAGGCAATTAGGCAAGAGAAAGAAAGAAAGGGTATTCAAATAGGAAGACAGGAAGTCAAATTGTCTCTGTTTGCAGATGACATGATTGTATATTTAGAAAACCCAATCGTCTCAGCCCAAAATCTCCTTAAGCTGATATGCAACTTCAGCAGTCTCAGGATACAAAACTGATTTGTAAAAATCACAACATTCCTATATACCAATAATAGACAAACAGAGAGCCAAATCATGAGTGAACTCCCATTCACAACTGCTACAAAAAGAATAAAATACCTAGGAATACAATTTACAAGGGATGTAAAAGACCTCTTCAAGGAGAACTACAAACCACTGCTCAAGGAAATAAGAGGACACAAACAAATGGAAAAACATTCCATGCTCATGGATAGGAAGAATCAATTATCATGAAATGGCCATACTGCCCAAAGTAATTTATAGATTCAATGCTATTCCCATCAAGCTACCACTGACTTTCTTCACAGAATTGGAGAAAACTACTTTAAATTTCATATGGAACCAAAAATAGCCCATATAGTCAAGACAATCCTAAGCAGAAAGAACAAAGCTGGAGGCATCAAGATACCTGACTTCAAACTATACTACAAGGCTACAGGAACCAAAACAGCATGGTACTGATACCAAAACAGAGATACAGACCAATGGAACAGAACAGATGCCTCAGAAATAACACCACACATCTACAACCATCTGATCTTCGACAAACCTGACAAAAACAAGCAACAGGGAAAGGATTCCCTATTTAATAAATGGTGTTGGGAAAACTGGCTAGCCATATGCAGAAAACTGAAACTGGACCCCTTCCTTACACCTTATACAACAATTAACTCAAGATGGATTAAAGACGTAAATGTAAGGCCTAAAATCATAAAAACCCTAGAAGAAAACCTAGGCAATACCATTCAGGACACGGGCATGGGCAAAGACTTCATGACTAAAACACCAAAAGCAATGGCAACAAAAGCCAAAATTGACAAAAGGGACCTAATTAAACTAAAGAGCTTCTGCACAGCAAAAGAAGTTATCATCAGAGTGAACAGGCAACCTACAGAATGGGAGAAAATTTTTTTGCAATCTACCCATCTGACAAAGGAATAATATCCAGAAACTACAAAGAACTTAAACAAATTTACAAGAGAAAACCAAACCACCCCATCAAAAAGTGGGCAAAGGATATGAACAGACAGTTCTCAAAAGAAGACATTTATGTGGCCAACAAACATATGAGAAAAAGCTCATCGTCACTGGTCGTTAGAGAAATGCAAATCAAAACCACAATAAGATACCATCTTATGCCAGTTAGAATGGCAATCATTAAGAAGTCAGGAAACAATAGGTGCTGGAGAGGATGTGGAGAAATAGGAATGCTTTTACACTGTTGGTGGGAGTGTAAGTTAGTTCAATCATTGTGGAAGACAGTGTGGCGATTCCTCAAGGATCTAGACCCAGAAATACCATTTGACCCCATAATCCCATTACTGGATATATACCCAAAGGATTATAAATCATTCTACTACAAAGACACATGAACACGTATTTTTATTGCAGCACTGTTTACAGTAGCAAAGATTTGGAACCAACCCAAATGCCCATCAATGGTAGACTGGATAAAGAAAATGTGGCACATATACACCATGGAATGCTATGGAGCCATAAAAAAGGATGAGTTCATGTCCTATGCAGGGACATGGATGAAGCTGGAAACCATCATTCTCAGCAAACTAACACAAAGACAGGAAACCAAACATCGCATGTTCTCACTCCTAAGTGGGAGTTGAACAATGAGAACACATGGACACACCAAGGGAAACATCACACACCGGGACTTGTAAGGGAATGAGGGGGCTAGGGGAGGGATAGCATTAGGAGAAATACCTAATGTAGATGACGGGTTGATGGGTGCAGCAAACCACCATGGCATGTGTATACCTATGTAACAAACCTGCACATTCTACACATATACCTCAGAACTTAGAGCATAATAATAAAAAATAAATTGCTAATACAGATGAAAAAAATGGCTAACAGAGAATTCAAAATAATTATCTTAAAAAATCTCGATAAGATGCAAAAGTACAAAGATTACTAAATTTTTTGCAACAATGTATGAAGAAAATCAATTATAATAAAGAGAAATCATTAAGAAGGAACCAAGGAGATATGCTGAAGCACACAATAGTAGAACTAAAAAATTTTAACAGAAAGCTTTAACAAGGAGACTCAATTATACACAGGATAAAATCAGCAAACTTTAAAGTCATTTGAGGCTGGGTGCGGTTGCGCACACCTGTAATCCCAGCACTTTGGGAGGCCAAGGCGGGTGTATCACCTGAGGTCAGGGGTTCAAGACCAGCCTGGCCAACATGGTGAAACCCATCTCTACTAAAAATACAAAAATTGGCTGGACATGGTGGCAGGTGCCTGTAATCCTAGCTACTTGGGGGCTGAGGCAGGAGAATCGCTTGAACTTGGGAGGCAGAGATTGCAGTGAGCCGAGATCACACCACTGCACTCCAGCCTGGGCTACAGAGCGAGACTCCACCTCAAAAAAAAAAAAAAAAAAAAAGTCATTTGAAAGTTCCTAATTAAAAAAGAAAAAAATGAAAGAGTGAATAAAGCATATAGCTTCAATAATCTGTTAATGGTACATAATAATGTAATATAAAAAGATGTAAAGTGTGACATAAATAGTGTGTTGAAGGGAGTAAAACTGTTTAATATTTTTATACATAGAGGTTAACTTTTGCTTGAGGCCAGGAGTTCAAAACCAGTTGGTCAATATAGCAGGACCCTGTCTCTAAAATAAATACAGGAATAAAATAAAATAAAGATTTCAGAATGCTATTTAGTCTTTTTTTAAAAAGCAGCAGCTGGGGCTGGGCGCGGTGGCTCACGCCTGTAATCCCAGCACTTTGGGAGGCCGAGGCGGGAGGATCACGAGGTCAGGAGATCGAAACCATCATGGCTAACACAGTGAAACCCTGTCTCTACTAAAAATACAAAAAAAAAAAATTGGCCAGGTGTGGTGGCAGGTGCCTGCAGTCTCAGCTACTCGGGAGGCTGAGGCAGAAGAATTGCTTGAACCCAGGAGACGGAGGTTGTGGTGAGCCAAGATCGTGCCACTGGACTCCCGCCTGGGTGATAGAGCAAGATTCCATTAAAAAAAAAAAAAACAGCAGCTGGGCCTGATGATACATGCCTGTAAACCTAGCACTTTGGGAGGCCATGGCAGGTGGATTTCTGGAGCCTAGGAATTCAAGACCAGCCTGAGCAACATAGCAAAACCCTGTCTCTACAAAAAAATACCAAAAAACTTAGCTGGACCTGGTGGCGTGTACTTGTATTCCCAGCTACTTGGGAGGCTGAGATGGGAAAATTGTTTGATATTGGAGAGTTGAGGCCGAACTGAGCTGTGAATGCACCACTGCACTACAGCCTGGGAAACAAAGCAAGACCCTATGTGAATAAAAAAGAAGTTAGATTGTTATCTTAAGCTAGGCTTTTGTTTTTTGTTTTTTTTTTTTTTGAGACGGAGTCTCACTCTGTCGCCCAGGCTGGAGTGCAGTGGTGCCATCTCGGCTTACTGCAAGCTCCGCGCCCTGGGTTCACGCCATTCTCCTGCCTCAGCCTCCCAAGTAGCTGGGACTACAGGCATCCACCACCATGCCCGGCTAATTTTTTTGTATTTTTAGTAGAGATGGGTTTCCACCATGTTAGCCAGGATGGTCTCGATCTCCTGACCTCATGATCGGCCTCGTGATCGGCCTCCCAAAGTGCTGGGATTACAGGCGTGAGCCACTGTGCCTGGCCAAGCTACGCTTTTATAATTATGAGATATTTTATGTCTCTTGGAAATTACAAAAAAAAAACAAAACAAAACTGTAGTAGATACACACACAAAAAAGGAAACCAAAGCATATAACAATAGAAACAAAACAACTCAACACTACACAAGGGAAGACAGCATGAAAGGATTAAAAAACAGAAACTACTACATGGTCAGAAAACAATGAACAAAATGGTAGTCATAAGTTATTTCTCTGCCTTTTATCTTTTTTGTTGTCGTTTTTCTTTTCTTTTTTTTTTTTTTTGAGGTGGAGTCTCACTCTATCGCTCAGGCTGGAATGCAGTGGCACAATCTTGGCTCACTGCAACCTCCACCTCCAGGGTTGAAGCGATTCTCCTGCCTCAGCCTCAGTTATTAAAAGAAAACTGCAGAACTCCTCGTTGGTTTTCCTTTACCTAATGATTTCTGTGAAGTGAGACTTGGGTAGTAAGAAAAAGGAATTAAGACACTCTACCTGCCACCCTGCATGCGTGTGCACTCGCACACATGCTGTCTTCATGTAATCCAGTACCTTTACTTTCCTTTGAAACTGGTAAGGTTAAAATGGGGGGAAATCCTATATGTTTGCAATAATACCTTTTTGGAAAATTTAAGAAATCAAACTCCCCAGGCTCTCCATCTTCATTTATGCTTGAGTTGTTATGTGCTTTGAACTCTGATTATCAGAAGTTTTACTAAAATGTTGAAGAAATAATTCACTTTCATCTGCTTTCTACATTTTGTACATCTCAGTTCATAAAGGAAAGCTTGTTGATAGTGTAGTTTTCTAAATGCTGCAAATTTGCAGCCATTACCACTACCAAAGAAGTCTGAATGAGGGATTTTTTTCTTTCTTAAAATAGTTCCTGTTTCTGTAGAAATTTCATTTGTAGATTAAACTGCGATGGATGAGATATCAAAAAAACAAAGAAAGAAAGTGACATCTCAGGAGAAATCACTCATTATGGCAAAGAGAGTACCAAAGGCAATGGTATTAAATGATTCATGAGAATCCAACCATATAATCCAGTCACCTCCCACCAGGCCCCACCTACAACATTCAGGCTTACAATTTGATGTGAGATTTGAATGGCGCCACAGATCCAAACCATATTACTTACAAAAGCCAAAAAGTGAAAAACCTCAAACATCCTTCAACAGATGAATAATTTAAAAGGATGCGGCTTGGCCGGGCGCGGTGGCTCACGCCTGTAATCCCAGCACTTTGGGAGGCCAAGGCAGGCAGATCACAAGGTCAGGAGATAGAGATCATCCTGGCTAACACGGTGAAACCCCGTCTCTACTAAAAATACAAAAAAAAAATTAGCCGGGCGTGGTGGCAGGTACCTGTAGTCCCAGCTGGAGGCTGACGCAGGAGAATGGTGTGAAACCAGGAGGTGGAGCTTGCAGTGAGCCGAGATTGCGCCACTGCACTCCAGCCTGGGTGACAGAGCAAGACTCCATCTCAAAAAAAAAACAAACAAACAAAAAAGGATGTGGCTTACATGGCTTACACATACAATGAAAAATTCTTTAGAATCAAATGAAAATATCTTGTCGGATCATACAATAAGGATAAATCTTAAAGCCATTATTTTAATAAGACACTATTTAGACACCATTATTTAATAAGACACTAACAAAGTGACAATGTATGATTCCACTTACATAAGATATTTTAAGTAGTAAATTCCTAGAAAACATAAGTAGAATGGTGCTTGCCTATAGTTAGGGTTGTGAAACCTCAGTGGAGTCAAAGACCAAGGAAGGGTTATTTGGAAAAAGCAGGCCCTCACCCAGGTGGCCAACTCCAGAGCCCATAGACATGGCTACAGACAAGAAAATGGTGCATGCAGCTTGGTCTTACTGAGGATTATGAAGCAGTTCTCAATCTCAGCTGTAGTCCAGAAATGGTCCTTCCCATCAAGAGACCTGCAGGAAGACACACCCAGCCATGACCCTGGAGGCAGGCCTGCAGATCCTGGCCTCAGTTGTGCTCCTTGAAGCAGCCCTGTGACTCAGTTCAAGCCATTTGTAGTCACAGTCCGTGGCCACTCGTACACACTCAGAGGCCCACAGAGAGACCTATAAAAACTGTTCCCAGGGGCTGGGCGCGGTGGCTCACGCCTGTAAGCCCAGCACTTTGGGAGGCCGAGGCGGGCAAATCAGGAGGTCAGGAGATCAAGACCAGCCTGGCTAACACAGTGAAACCCCGTCTCTACTAAAAATACAAAAAATTAGCTGAGCGTGCCGGGTGCGGTGGCTCACACCTGTAATCCCAGCACTTTGGGAGGCCGAGGCGGGCGGATCACGAGGTCAGGAGATCGAGACCGCGGTGAAACCCTGTCTCTATTAAAAATACAAAAAATTAGCCTGGCACGGTGACGGGCGCCTTTAGTCCCAGCTACTTGGGGGGCTGAGGCAGGAGAATGGCATGAACCCAGCAGGCGGAGCTTGCAGTGAGCTGAGATAGCACCACTGCACTCCAGCCTGGGTGACAGAGTGAGACTCCGACTCAAAAAAAAAAAAAAATTAGCTGGGTGTGATGGAAGCGCCTGTACTCCCAGCTAGTTGGGAGGCTGAGGCAGGAGAATCGCTTGAACCTGGGAGGCGGAGGTTGCAGTGAGCCAAGTTCATGGCACTACACTCCAGCCTGGGCGACAGAACCAGATTCCGTCACAAAAAAAAGAAAAAAAAAAACTGTTCCCAGGTAGTCAGTAAAAGCTAAACCCATTTATACACCTGGTATTTGGGCCATCATATGCAGACAAATTTCAAAACCCAATCCTACTGCCTGCCATATAGATTAATGTCCTCAAGGAAATCTAATCTTTCCAGGGCCCAGAAAGAATCTGTGACTGTCTAAATCTCTGGTAACACAACCCTCAAAGGCAGGCCACACAGCAGACCCAGCAGCACCCTTGAGACTCAGCTACAACCCTTCTTCTCTGCAACCCCAGAGGTAATCTCATCAGCCTGGGGACCCAACAAAAGGAGATGTTTACCTGTCAAAAAACAGATTATACAAACTGTAATCATTGTTAAATCCTTAAAATATACAGACACAGGGCTGCTTCAGGGACCACAGCTGAAGCCAAGATCTGCAAGCATGCCTCCAGGACCACAGCTTCTATCTTAACATTATTACCAAAAGTTTGTATCAGAACAATTAGGCAAGAAAAAGGAGAACAAAGCTCTCCTGCCTGCAAAAGAAGAAAAAATGTTACTGTTTGTAGATAATATGATCATGCATATATATGAAACCCTAGAGTAGAATAACAAAAACTGAACTAATAAATGCATTCATTAAGGTATCAGGATACATAACCAACATGTAAATACTTGCAGGTTGTTTTTTTGTGTGTTTTTGAAACATGGTCTCACTCTGAGGCCCAGGCTCATCTCAAACTCCTGTGCTCAAGTGATCCACATGCCTTGGCCTCTGAAAGTGCTGGGATTACAAAAATGAACCACTACACCTGCCCCAACATACAAATATTTGTTTCATTTCCATAAAGTAACAACAAAATTTCCCAAAAAAAAGAAAAAAATTCAATTTACAATACTATAAAAATAAGAAATTCAAAATAAATTTAACAAATGAAATAAAAAATTTATACATTAAATACAATAAAGCACAAAATCTAGTGTATAACAATAAATGTATACACTAAATACAATAATGACAGAAATTGAAGCAGACACAAACACATATTTCATTAGGATCACTAATATTGTCAAAGTATATTATCGAAAGTGATTTGTAGATTCAAACGCGATCCCTATCAAAATTTTAGTGTCATTTTTCACAGTAATAGAAAACACAATTGTAAAATTTAAGTGTAACCTTAAACAACTTTAAATAATCTGAGCCATCGTGAGAAAGAACAAAGCTAGGGGCATCATACTTCTTAATTTTAAACTTTATGTAAAGGTTGTAGTAAGCAAAAGAGTATGGCATGTGCATAAACACACATACAAAAACCAATGAACAGAATAGAGAGCCCAGAAACAAATCCATGCATACAAGGTCAACGAATTTTGGCAAGGGGATCATGAATATACAATTCAGAAATTATAGTCTTGTCAATACATGGTGCTAGAAAAACTGGAGAGCCACAAACAAAAGAATAAAAGTAGAACTTTTTTTTTGAGATGGTCTCGTTCTGTTGCCCAGACTGGAGTGCAGTGGCGCCATCTCGGCTCACTGCAAGCTCCCGCCTCCCGGGTTCACGCCATTCTCCTGCCTCAGCCTCCCGAGTAGCTAGGACTACAGGCATCCGCCACCATGCCCAGCTAATTTTTTGTATTTTTAGTAGAGACAGGGTTTCACCACGTTAGCCAGGATGGTCTCCATCTCCCGACCTCGTGATCCACCTGCCTCTGCCTCCCAAAGTGCTGGGATTACAGGCGTGAGCCACTGTGCCTGGCAAAAGTAGATCATTGTCTTATACCATACCCCAAAATTAACTCAAAATGAAACACTTACACGTAAGACAAAAACCTTAGAACTCCTGAACAAAACATATGGAAAAACCTTGATACTGGTCTTGGCAATAATTTTTTGATATGCCATCAAAAGCAAAGCAACAACAAAAAATACAAACAAGTGGGATTGTATCAAAGTAAACTGCTTCTTCACAGCAAAGAGAAACAAAATTTCTAAAAACTCTACAGGATAGAAATATTTGCAAGCGATATACCTGATAACAAGTTAATTTTGGGAGAACAAGGCGGGAGGATCACTTGAGGTCAGAAGATCGAGACCGGCCTGACCAACATAGAGAAACCCCATCTCTACTAAAAATACAAAATTAGCCAAGTCTAGTGGTGCATGCCTGTAATTCCCAGCTACTTGGGAGGCTGAGGCAGAAGAATCGCTTGAACCCAGGAGGCAGAGATTGCAGTGAGCCGAGATCATGCTACTGTACTCCAGCCCGGGCAACAAGAGCAAAACTGTGTCTCAAAAAATAAAATAAAATAAAATAGAAGGCTGGGCGCAGCAGCTCACACCTGTAATTCCAGCAATTTGGGAGGCCAAGAGATCGAGACCATCCTGGCCAACATGGTGAAACCCCACCTCTACTAAAAAATACAAAACTTAGCTGGGTGTGGTGGTGTGCACCAGGAATCACAGCTACTCGGGAGGCTAAGGCAGGAGAATTGCTTGAACCCAGGAGGCGGAGTTAGCAGTGAGCTGAGATCATGCCACTGCACTGTAGCCTGGTGACAGAGGAAGACTCTGTCTCAAAAAAAAAAAAAAAGAAGTTAATATCCATATCCAAAATGTTTAAGAAACTTCTGCAATTCAAAGCAAAACAATAATAATGATGATAACCCATTCAAAAATGGGCAAAAGGTTAGATTTTTTTTCCCAAAGACATACATACAAGGTATATGCTGTATGCTGTTAGTGAGATGTAAATTGATAAAATCATCATAAAAACCAGTAAAAAATAAAAATGGACATATCATATAATCCAGCAATACCACTTCTGGTCATACTACCAAAGGAAATTAAATTAACACCTTGAAGAAATATCTTCAGCCCCATGTTCATTGTAGTATTTTTACAATAGCCAAAATATAGAGTGTATATATACACAGTAGAATATTATTCAGCCATAAGAGAAAAGAAAATCTAGTCTTTTACAACATGGATAGACTTGGAGGACATGATGCTAAATGAAATTAGCCAAACACAGACAGACAAAGAAACTGCTTCTTTTTACATAGACGGGTAAATCTAAAAATGTAAACTCATAAAAGCAGAAAGTAGAATGGCGA
This sequence comes from Homo sapiens, assembly GCF_000001405.40. NCBI lineage: Eukaryota > Metazoa > Chordata > Mammalia > Primates > Hominidae > Homo > Homo sapiens. Next base: position 471,537 of record NC_000004.12, read on the forward strand.
TTGTTAGTGCCTAAGGGTGGGAATATGAGATGTTCAAAGAGTATAAATTTTTAGTTATAAGTTGAATAAGTTGAATAAGGAGAAACCTAAGGAGAAACCTAATGCTAATGTACATTAGCATTAGATTAGCAAAACAGTATTCCATTTATAATTAATAATACTGTAATGTATGCTTACAATTTGCTAGGACACTAGGCCTTAAGTGTTCTTATTACCAAAAAAATCATGATCTATATGAGGTAATAGATATGTTGATCAACTTGATTATATTTTACTTTACAATAAAATATATGCATATATTACAAAATATATGCATATCAAATCATTACATTGTACACATTAAATATAGTTAAACAATTTTTATTTAACAGAAAAATCCATGTCACACAAACACAGATGAAGAGTAAGTCCTCACTTAATGTTCAAAACAGGTTCTTGAAAACTGCAACTTTATATGAAGCAATGTTGCTATATACCAAACATAACTCGTTTGTATCAATTAAACTTTGCTAAAATTATTATTTTTTGTTTTTTGGTTTTTTTGAGACGGAGTTTTGCTCTTGTCTCCCAGACAGGAGTTCAATGGCGCAATCTCGGCTCACTGCAACCTCTGCCTCCCAGGTTCAAGTGATTCTCCGCCTAAGCCTCCCAAGTAGCTGGATTACAGGCACCTGCCACCATGCCCAGCTAGTTTTTTGTATTTTTAGTAGAGACAGGGTTTTGCCATGTTGGCAAGGCTGGTCTCAAACTCCTGACCTCCTGATCTGCCCACCTCAGCCTCCCAAAGTGCTGGGATTACAGGCGTGAGCCACTGCACCCAGCCCTAAAATTCATTTTCCTAAATGATATGTTGCTTCACTTACAGTTTCTGAGAATCTATCAACAATGTTAAGAATTTACTATACACATATATAACTTACATAGCTGTGTGTGTGAGACACACATTTTTATATAGATATATCTCAAAAGACATTCTACAAAAATAGAAAATAAAACTCAGAGGGAGTATTAGGAATTATGCATTAAAGTTATCCTCACCTAGGGAGACCAGGTTTCTGTAGTTCTCCAACATCACATCTCTATACAAATTCTGCTGGGCAGGGTCCAGGCATTTCCACTCTTCTGGAGAGAATTCTATGGCCACATCCCTGAATGTTAAGGGTTCCTGAAAATACATATGTATCAAGTGACAGAGTTCTTAATTTGACTACAGGTGAAATGTGTTAAGAGAACCAGTTCTGACATGTGACTGACTGGGATTATCTGATAAAACAACTTTCAACACAGTAATGTTCTCTAAAGTATTCTATAGCTCTGCGGAAAAAGGAAGGCATTCCAACAGTTTCTGTTCCTGCAATAAAAATAATGGGCTACACTGACCTGCCCCTACCAAAACCAAGCAGAGTAGGCCCTGTGACCTCCTGGAAAACAGGTTGAACTCACCTCTCATGAAAATATCTGGAAGTCCTCATGCTTGACCTTGGCCTTGCTATAATATGCGAGGAACTTAATTTAAAAAACAGAAATGTTTCCACCCAGAACAATAGACAGGATGTGAGGGGAGGGCACAGGTGATGATTTCACTTCACTACGGGAAGACTGGGCTGAGAGTCACTTAGCTAAGCACTGTCTCTCAAGCTTCAATGCGCATATCAATTATTTGATGTTAAAGGCCTCACTGTACCAAAATTTTGCAGGTTTGAAAAGAGTCCATGAGTTAGCGTCTTTTATCAAGTCTCCTGTTAACGGTGATGCTCCTCCACCTGGACCCATTATAGTACTACTCGGCTAGAGAAAGCAGACACAGCACACAGAGTCCCTTACCCCAACACAAACGCTTTTCATCCCAAGACAAGACCACCAATCATCATCCTGATGCCACTCGGGAGCAGCCACGCGGAGGAGGCGCACAGGGCAAGGGGACTGGTGGGAAAGTTGGGGCGGGCTGGTGATTCGCTTCACTTCCTCACACACCTCACAAAAGTCTTTTTTTTCAAGACCCGCTGGCAGCCCCCAAGCCACGAGCCACAGCCGGCGCTGCCCCATTAATGAGTCCCCGTTTGCTCACATGAACTCTATGTTTTGATGGGGCCTCGATCTCATTCCGTAAAGTAGGGACAGGACCCCTGGACCACAGCTCCTCCTACGCGGTACCTGCGCACGCCGCACCTGGCGTCTTCCCGATGAGCTTCTCCTCACCCCACAGCCCGGGGAAGGTGCAGGGTTGCGGCGCAGAGCTGCACAAGGAGGGCTGCAGGCTGGGCCAGAGCAGCCTTGCGGGGACCCCGACAGGAGCGCGGGTCCCTCACCGGAGGGGACTGAGGACCGAGGGCTAAGCGGCGGCAGCGGGGACTCCGTTCGCAGACTCAGTCCCGCCGCCGCCATTTGCCGCCGGTTCTGATGAGGCCTCCCCAGCCTTGGGACGCCCTGCCCCGCACACTCACCATTTCTCAGCTTCAAGGGTGTCGCGAAGTCTTAGCTACGAATCATCCAATACCCGCAGGTTACAGAGCGATGGAGGCTGAGGCTCTGGCAAAATCACCGAGGCCTCCCTGAGGTGTGGAAGCAGGGAAGTGAGGCCCTAACCGAGCTCAGGCTGAAGCAACAGGCCAAGGCCGCCGAAGATCCCGGATGCCGCCCCCTCCTCTCAGACTGCGCGCCTGATTGGGCAGTTCTCAGTCAAGCGCTCTGATTGGATATGGGTCCAGGCTTCACGCCCTCAGGCTTTGAATGACAGAAATTGTGACCATACAATGCACTGAATGAGGCAAGAGTGACAGACTAGTACCTCCAGGCACTTTCAGGCGGCGCTTAATCTCTGTGCTAGGCTTGGCTCTGCACAGGGTTCATTTTAACCTTCTGGTGTGTAACGTTACGTCAATTTATAAATTGTGCACGCGCGCGCGCACACACACAGACACACTTGTTCACAAATGGAAACAATATAGTGACAATTATTTTAATATTTTACATTTCATAACCTTTCTGGCCTGTGGTGTTTTGAGTAGGACACCTGAGATTTGAAGAGGAAAGCAAACCTCTAAAAAATAAAATGTTAGGCTGAGCACGGTTGCTCACGCCAGTAATCCCAAAGCTTTGGGAGGCCGAGGTGGGGGGATCACGGGGTGAGGAGTTCAAGACCAGCCTGGCCAAGATGGTGAAACCCCGTCTCTACTAAAAAATATAAAAATTAGCCAGGCATGGTGGTGGGCGCCTGTAATCCCAGCTACTCATGAAGCTGAGACAGGAGAATCGCTTGAACCTGGGGGGTGGAGGTTGCAGTGAGCTGAGATCGCGCCACTGCACTCCAGCCTGGGCGACAGAGTGAGACTCCGTCTCAAAAAATAAACAAATAAATGAATAAAATGTTGGCCGGGCGCAGTGGCTCACGCCTGTAATCCTAGCACTTTGGGAGGCCGGGGCGGGTGGATCACGAGGTCCGGAGATCGAGACCATCCTGGCTAACACGGTGAAACCCCGTCTCTATTCAAAATACAAAAATTAGCCGGGCGTGGTGGGGGGCGCCTGTAGTCCCAGCTACTCGGGAGGCTGAGGCAGGAGAATGGCGTGAACCCAGGAGACGGAGCTTCTTGTTAGTTGAGATGGCGTCACTGCTCTCCAGGCTGGGTGACAGAGCCAGACTCCGTCTCAAAAAAAAAAAGCTAGCTTTATCTAATATGAATTTTTTTAGCCTAATTATTTAGTTATTTTACTTTTGACTGCCTTAGTTCATCAGCAATTGTTAGTAATATTTTGGCCTTTATATTACAAGTCATAATACTCTTTGCAGACTTACTAATATTTTTTTTTACTGTAAACCATCACCCTCTACAGGGAAGTGTTTGCTATGCCCCTCCTAGATTTAAACCTCAAAGTCATAATCTGAGTATTGATCTCTCTCTCTAATACTCATTGTGTTCACAGTATCTCTTAATCAGCAAGCATCTCACTTTGGTCCTAATCTACTTTCTGTGGAACTATGCAACCTAATGCTCTATGGTCATTACTCATACTTCTGGCTAAAATCACCTTCATATGCACTAATTGTCAACAACCTTTTTTTAGCACTCTATAGGCAGCTCCACAACTACTAAAGTCTACCAATTCTTCCTATGCCTCAACCTGTTAGCTATGCATGAATTCCTCTTCATTCAGGGTAGGAATGTCCTACTTGGTCATAGTACAAGAATGGCCAACCTCTTAGTCCCAATATAGCTTCAACTACCACCGAGACCTCACTATACCAAAGCTTCCCCCTACTAACGTGCTATTTCTAACACAAGCTAAAGCAGCCTTTAAAGATTTTCTTAAGCCCACCCCCACCGTTTTAAGCCCCTTGTTCTCCCGTTACCCTTATTGACCTGATTCCTCTATACATCTATGCTACCATAAATTCCAGAATCCATGTGGGTGTATTTGACTGAGCACAATGCAACACAAACAGCACCATTATTGATACTTCTCAAACTTTTTTTTACTTTCATGAAATATTCCCAATACCAAATGAGATTCTCTGGGCCCTTTAAATATTTTAACTCCTGGACCATTCATCCAAAATGATACCACTGAATTCTGCTTCAGTCACCCTTCTTGCAGTCAATCCAACTCATGGTATTGACCAAGCCAGTATGGATTATGCAATAAGTTTCAAGTCTTTCATTCCTTCCAGAAAACCCTTCTCCTTGATACTACTAGACACATGGTCTTCTAAGAAAATAGGACCCATTGTCCTACTCAAACTAATCACCCATGTCTGGCTCCCCTGATAGCAGCAACTGTATTGGCAGAATATCATATATTGGGTAGCCAGCAAGGACACTGGTCAATGTTTGAATCTGAACTTACCTCCTGAATTCATTCTTGTTTTTCAACTGCAGAACTTTACTTCCTCTGGGAAATGCAGGCTTATCTCTGCCTCCCTGCAAACTGGACCAGAACAAACATTCTGGCTTACCTCACCCCTTAAGTTTCCATTGTCCCAGGTGATGCTTCTCTGCTATTACCCTTATTTACCACACCATTTAACAATAATTAACACTTATTTACCCACACCAGATCGACTGAGCAGTTGATCTAATTTCTTTCCGCAATGAGCTTGGCACCACAAGTGCCACCACAGAAATAGCTGGCATTATTATTGCCTCCTCAGCTTACCACAGCCTGTCTCAGGAACTGACTCACAAAATAGAAACCACTGCTCCAACTCTAAGTTACAGCAGCAATTTGATTCTCTCATGGTTGTAGTTCTCCAAAATTGTAGAAGTCTTGACACACTGGCTGCAGCTCACAAAGGAATTTGCCTTATTTTAGGAGAAAAATGCTGTTTCTGGGTTAACAGCTTAGGGAAAGTCCAGAATTAAGTTAGAGATCTTATAAACTAAGCCATCCTAAACACGCCACTGAGAGCTAGTTCTCCCAGGGTGCCACCTGGTTCCAATTCTCATGGCATCTCATTTTCTTGGGATCTCTGGCCTTTTTCTTGTTTGTTTTTCCTCACTCCTTTTTGGGCCTTGTTCACTAAATCTACTAACCAGGTTTGTCTTCTCTGACCTCAGACTACAAGTGGTCCTGCAACAGGAATATTGATCTATTTTCCTCCCTTCTGGACAACCATCTTCCTCCACATTTCCTCTGACACTGCAAGTCAAACCTTCTGGGAAAACATGGAAAGTATCTTTCCCTGACAAAGAGCAAGAGAATGAGACACTGGTGAGTTCCTTTTTTTTTTTTTTTTTTTTTTTGGAGACAGAGTCTCGTCTCACTCTGTATGGGCTCACTGCAAGCTCCGCCTCCTGGGTTCATGCCATTCTCCTGCCTCAGCCTCCCAAGTAGCTGGGACTACAGGCGCCAGCCAACACACCCAGCTAATTTTTTTGTATTTTTAGTAGAGACGGGGTCTCACCATGTTAGCCAGGATGGTCTTGATCCCCGGACCTCGTGATCCGCCTGCCTCGGCCTCCCAAAGTGCTGGGATTACAGGCATGAGCCACCGTGCCCGGCGCATTAATGAGTTATCTCATATCACCAGGAAGTAGTTACAGAAGACCCACAGTGCCCCTAGACTCGAAGATTTTTAGTCTCAACCTATTGAGGAGGGAATGTTAGAGTAAGCCGATAGTTTAAAATGAGCAGAAAAAAGAGCCCCTGGGGAAAGAAAATTTCATGCTCCAAAGACCAAACAAAACATGCATGCTAAATTTGAGCAGAGAGGAGGGGAAATACCTATAAAGAAAGAACACCCTGATACACCCCTAAGAGATATGCGGGCACAATAAATATGGATTTGACCGCTATATGACCTTCCTGGGGTGATAGTAATAAGCAATGCTGCCATTAGATAGGACTGCTATAGATCACAGGAACCCATGCATGTATGTCAGCTGACAATAAGGAAGCATCTCACAGACCTGGGCAGAAACTAAGTGGGGACAAAGGCAAAGATTTACCACAGAAGCAGGAACCTAGACAAAGACAAAGGCAGACACTTAAGACCGATGTGGAAATTTTTTTAAAATGCAAGATAATAAAAACTGCAACACGGAACTCTCAGGGCAGTTTTCAACTGGACCAGCCGACTCCTCTTGTAGTGTACTTTATTTTCCTTTAATAAACTCTCTGCTTGTTTCATTAAATTGCCTCTTGGCTGAATTATTTCTCTCAAGAAGACAAAAATTAAGGACCTTGCACTTCTTGGTAACGTGTTCCTCCTCCCTCAGCTCTTGACAAACACCATTCTACTTTCTGTTTTTATGAGTAGACTACTAAAAATATTTCACATAAATGAAAGTATATACTCGCTGTTACTTTGTTTTTTTTGCATATTTCTCTTTACATGTTGTAAAGATTTACCCCTTTTCTATAGAGATGCACTCTCCCTGTGTTGTCCAGGTTGATCTTGAACTGTTTGCCTCAAGAGATTCTCTCTCCTCTCTCATTTTTTTAACTTTCCCAGTTATGTGGATTACAGGCATGAGTCATCACACCTAGCCCTCAAGGTTTATCTTTATAATAGCATGTGACATAATTTCCTTTTATAAAATAGATTTTCCATTGCATGTACATTCCATTTTAAAAATCCATTTATATGTCAAGGGTTATGTAAGTAGCTTCCAACTTTTGATTTTGGAATAATACTGTTTATGAACATGGGTGTGCAAATGTCATTTCCAGTTCCTGCTACGCATACATAAATAGATAAGTAATGTTTTGTACATTGTGCAAAGGAAAGGTCTGATTTTTTTTTTTTTTTTGAGATGGGAGTCTCACTTTGTCGCCCAGGCTGGAGTGCAGTGGCACGATCTCAGCTCGCTGCAACCTCTGCCTCCCGGGTTCAAGCGATTCTCCTGCCTCAGCCTTCCGAGTAGCTGGGATTACAGGCACCCACCACCATGCCAGGCTAATTTTTTTGTATTTTTAGTAGAGACAGGGTTTCACCGTGTTGGCCAGGCTGGTCCCAAACTCCTAAGGTGATCTGCCCACCTCGGCCTCTCAAAGTGCTGGGATTACAGGTGTGAACCACCGCGCCCGGCCCAAGTTAATTTTTAAAAATTTCAATATTGAGTTTTTAAATACCTTTTGTTGGAGAGTCAGCCCTTTCCCCATTGCTTGGTCACGATAACAGCCATGCAACTCCAAGATGAAGCTGCTGCTTCTTCCATTTCTGTAGCACACAGTCACGAATGTGTTTAGATCTCCCCCTGGCAACCCTGGTTAGAGTGTGGGGATGGTGGAAACCATTGGATCTTCTGACTTCCTTGCCCGGGAAGCAGCCAGCCCTGCCTGCCCTACCACCCATGACATCATGCACGTGGTGGTCCTGTCACCCAGCCCTCAGCCAGCCACTGCCTCTGGCTCCCCCAGAACACCTCCTCCTTATTCTCATGGTTGGGCACATGGATCCCTAGAGGCACAGAAACAGCACAGATCCCTATATCCTGCACAGGTGAAATAAGAAGGTGTGGAGGCTGGAAGCAAAGCTATGTGCCTCCTGGAGAACAGGACGTTCAGGGACCAGGGGGCTGCAGGCACAGATTACAACAGTGACAGATGCAAGGGCCCTGATGAGAGGGGTGATGGCCTGAGGGCTCCTTTGTTGGCATGCACCAGTGTGCCAGAGGCTGGGGCCTACACCGGAGCCTGCAGTTGCCCTCCAAAACTCCAGAAGCAGTGCTCCTGCTGTCCCACCCCATGTGCCACCAATGCTCCATGTGGCCTTGTGGTCTGTGAAGCCAGAGGATTGTGCCAGTGTCTTCCTGAGAGTGGAGGTGCTTGCTCTCTGAGGCACCTTTTTCAAACAGTTCTGATTTAAAACATCTGCCCTTCATGTGTGCACATATCCATTTGGAAATCTATGGGGATTCTTTTTCAGTAGTAGGTCTAGGTTGTATACAGGATTGTTTGGGTGAATGCTTTTCTCATTCTTGTTTGGTAATTTCGTATTTTTTTTATGGTAGGTTTCTTGGTGTCAGTGTATTGTGTGTTTGGTTTCACCTGGGTATGGTGATTTTGGATGTCAGTGATTCAGGATGTCAATTTGGAACTCTACAGAAACACTTTAAGTCAATGTGGGGCTGAATTAAAATAGGAATATGCCATATTCATCACCAATCACATTATGCATGTATTTGTCTTCCTCTAAAAACATAACCCCAACTTTCTGCATGGCTTATCTTGTCTATTTCTGTTCTTGGCTTGTGCTGAAGGTTGTTTTACCCTGTTGAGTCAAGTAGTCATAAAAAGAATATTAATTTCACTATGTGCTTTTGGATGAATCTAAGTGATTTTGTGGGAGCAAAACACTTTTGTAATTTGAATTTAGGAACACTTTCTTATGCTGACTCTTAAGTACTTATTTCACAAATTTTTAACTGTCAGAAAAACTCAAAACATTGGTCATCTTTTATTTTTTAATGTGTACAGTTTAGTAGTGCTAAGTATATTTACATTGCAGCAAACCTCTAGAACTTTCACATCTTACAAAGCTGAAACTAAATACCCCTGAAGCATTAACTGCCCCTTTTACTCTCTCTCCAGCTTATGAAATACATCATTCTACTTCCTGTTTCTGTAAGTTTGACTACTTGAGATAGCTCGTATAAATGGAATTATATGAGCTTTGTCACTTTGTTTCTGGCATGTTTCACTGAATGTCCTAAAGTTTTATACTTTCTGTAGCATGTGCATAATTTGCTTTCGGAAGGTAGAGCCGTATTCCACTGCATGCATATGCCACATCTTCTTTATCCATTTATCTATCAAGAAACTTTTAAGTAGCTTTCACCTTTTGTGGGGGGGGGGGGAATGCTGTTATACACATGTGTGTGCAAATGTCCATTCCAGCTCCTGCTTTGCATACATAGATACCCAGAAATGGAATTGCTGGATTGTATGACAATTTCATTTTTCTGATAGCATCTTACTTTTCCACACAGGCTGGAGTGCAGTGGTGTGATAATGGTCACTGCAGCCTTGACATCCTGGGCTCAAACAATCCTCCCAACTCAGCCATCCAAGTAACTGGGACTACAGACACAGGCCACCACACCTGGCTGATTTTTGTATTTTTTGTAGAGATGGGGTCTCACTATGTTGCTCAGGCTGGACCCAAACTCCTGAGCTCAAGTAATTATCCTATCTCAACCTCCCAAAGTGTTGGAATTACAGGCCAGAGCCACCACACCCAGAGGCATTTTATTTTTAATATTTTGAGAAATCTCCATCCCAATTTTCTTGGGGGCTGCATTATTCTCTTCCACCAACAGTGCATGGGGGTTCCAAATGCTCTGTATCCTTGACAACATTGACTCCCTTTTTGTGTTGAATAGTGGCCATCCTAATGGGTAAGAGGTAAGAGCTCACTGGGATTGTGCTTTCCATTTCTCTCAAAAACTAATTTTGATTATTTTTTCAAATGTCTCTTGGCCATTTGCATAGCTTCCTTTGGGAAATGTCTTTGAAGACCTTGGTCCATTTATTAAAAATCAAGTTATTCACTTCTGGCTGTTGTGTTTCAGAAGACACATCTTTGTTCTTTTCTTTCTTTTTTTTTTTTTTTGACAGTCTCCCTCTGTCGCCAAGGCTGGAGTCCAGTGGCATGATCTCAGCTCATTGCAACCTCCACATAAGGAAGAAATTGCAAGTGATCTATTTGACAGGAGTTAACATCCATTCCATTATCTTTTTAAGTGTTTCACTGTCAAGTCAGGAAGGCAGTAAAAATGCCCTTCAGCAGTTGAACACAGCGTCCACCTTTGGCTCAGTCTCACAGACAAACACCCAGAATCTGTGCTTCTCAGCTGTGGTGCCTGTGCAAATGCTGGAACTCAAAAGAATATTTGGTAGTAGACACGCATACGCTGCCTAATAAAATTATGTAAGTTTAATATAAACAGAACTTAAAACGTCATATAAAATGTTACTTAATTTGATCAGAAAACTGAGTTAGATTTTATAAAGGCATTATATATAATTTTAATAGGAAACTATGAAATTTATGTGCACTTGGTGTATAAATGACCGAATTTTGGGCGAGTCAGTAAAGGTCACATATGACTGTGAGACATTGTTGATGAAATGCTCCCACAGGTCGCATATTGCACATGCATTTTGATTTGTTATTTTATCTGAGGTCGATTTTCCTTTTTTGAAATGGAGTTTTGGTCTTGCTGCCCTGGCTGGAGTGCAATGGCGCCATCCCGGCTCACTGCAACCTCCATCTTCCAGGTTCAAACGATTCTCCTGCCTCAACCTCCTGAGCCACTAGGATTACAGGCATGTGCCACCACACCTGGCTAATTTTTTGTATTTTTAGTAGAGAGGAGGTTTCTCCATGTTGGTCAGGCTGGCCTCAAACTCCTGACCTCAGGGGATCCGCCCACCTCGGCCTCCCAAAGTGCTGGGATTACCAGCATGAGCCACCGCGCCCGGCCCAATTTTTCTTAATTTTATTCATCAAGTTGTTTCTGTTTTTGTTTTTTTTGAGAGGGACTCTCACTCTGTCACCCAGGTTGAAGTGAAGTGGCGTGATCTCGGCTCACTGCAACCTCTGCCTCCCAGGTTCATATGATTCTCCTGCCTCAGCCTCCTGAGTGGCTGGGACTACAAGCGCCCGCCACCATGCCCAGCTAATTTTTGTATTTTTAGTAGAGACGGGGTTTCACCATGTTGGCCAGGCTGGTCTCGATCTCTTGACCTCGGGATCTACCCGCCTCAGCCTCCCAAAGTGCTGGGATTACAGGTGTGAGCCACCGCGCTTGGCCTTATTCATCAAGTTTTATACACTTTAGACAAAGAGGGCTTGTAGTTACCATGTGCTCTATGGATCTGTACTTTGTTAGAAATACACATTTTCAGGCAAAAACCCAGATATATTGTATCAAAATCTGTATTTCAAATATTTCCAGGTGATTCACATGCACATTAATAATTGTTAACTGGTAGTAATTCTGTAATTGAAAGGGAAACGCTTATACAGATGTACTGATTTGTCAGACAGGTACAGTAATGACTGTATGTTTCGATGCATATACATCTTATCTTACAGAAAATGAAAATAATAAAGTGGGGATGGGGAAGGAGTTGAAGTAGAAATTAAACAGAAATGAGACATAATTAGCAGATGTTCAGGTGGAGCATCAGCCTATTATACTATTTTGGTTACTGTGTATAAGTTAAAAATATTCTCTAATAAAACACTTGTATAAAAAGACAAACAATCTATAACATTGCCTCTTGGCTGGGCACGGTGGCTCACGCCTGTAATCCCAGCACTTTGGGAGGCTGAGGCAGGTGGATCACCTGAGGTCAGTTCATGACCAGCCTGGCCAATATGGTGAAACCCCGTCTCTACTAAAAATACAAAAAAAATTTAGCTGGGCATGGTGGTGAGTGCTTGTAATCCCAGCTACTTGGGAGGCTGAGGCAGGAGAATCCCTTGAACCCAGGAGGCAGAGGTTGCAGTGAGCCAAGATCGCGCCACTGCACTCCAGCCTGGGTGACAGGGCAAGTCTCCATCTCAAAAAAAAAAAGAAAAAAAAATTAGCTCTTAAGATTGTGGTTACATTTGGGGAGGAGGAAAAAAGAAGAGGAAGTGGTTTGTGGGCAAAAACGGGTAGTTCTAGTCTATAGCTACACAAATGTATTAGCTTTGTTATAATTTATTGAGCATTACATTAATCCTTTACTGTGGATGTATTTCTGTATGCATGTTATACATCAATAAAAATCGAAATATTACATATTTAATCCTAACATAATATTTCAGAATAATAGCAATGTTCATTTGTTTGTTTGTTTGAAATGGAGTCTTGCTCTGTCGCCAGGCTGGAGTGCAGTGGCACGATCTCAGCTCACTGCAACCTCAGCCTCCTGGATTCAAGCGATTCTCCTGCCTCAGCCTCCCGAGTAGCTGGGACTCCAGGGATGTACCAGCACACTCAGCTGATTTTTGTATTTTTAGTAGAGACGGGGTTTCACCATGTTGGTCAGTGTTATGGGAAGTCAGGGGCCCCAAATGGAGGGACCAGCTGAAGCCATGGCAGAAGAACATGGATTGTGAAGATTTTATGGACATTTATTAGTTCCCTAAATTAATACTTTTGTAATTTCTTATGCCTGTCTTTACTGCAATCTCTAAACATAAATTGTAAAGATTTCATGGACACTTATCACTACCCCAATCAATACCCTTGTGACTTCCTATGCCTGTCTTTACTTTAATCTCTTAATCCTGTCAGCTGAGGAGGATGTATATCGCCTCAGGACCCTGTAATAATTGCATTAACTGCACAAATTGTACAGCATGTGTGTTTGAGCAATATGAAATGTGTGGCACCTTGAAAAAAGAACAGGATAACAGCAGTTGTTCAGGGAATAAGAGAGATAACCTTAAACTCTGACCACCGGTGAGCCGGGCGGAACACAACCATGTTTCTCTTCTTTCAAAAGCAAATGGGAGAAATATCGCTGAATTCTTTATCTCAGCAAGGAACGTCCCTGAGAAGGAGAATACACGCCTGGAGGTATAGGCTTATAAACAGCGCCCCCAGGCATGGCCATCTCTTATGGTCGAGGCTGCAGAGATGAAATAGACTCCAGTCTCCCATAGTGCTCCCAGGCTTATTAGGAAGAGGAAATTCCCACCTAATAAATTTTGGTCAGACCGGTTGATCTCAAAACCCTGTCTCCTGATAAGATGTTATCAATGACAGTGGTGCCCGAAACTTCTTTAGCAATTTTAATTTCACCCTGGCCCTGTGGTCCTGTGATCTCGCCCTGCCTCCACTTGCCTTGTGATATTCTATTACCCTGTTAAGTACTTGAAGTCTGTCACCCACACCTATTCGCACACTCCCTCCCCTTTTGAAAATCTCGAATAAAAACTTGCTGGTTTTTGCGGCTTGTGGGGCATCACGGAACCTACTGACATGTGATGTCTCCCCCAGACACCCAGCTTTAAAATTTCTCTCTTTTGTACTCTGTCCCTTTATTTCTCAAGCCGGCCGACACTTAGGGAAAATAGAAAAGAACCTATGTGAATATCAGGGCAGATTCCCCAATAGGTCAGGATGGTCAGTGATCTGCCTGCCTCGGCCTCCCAAATGGCTGGGATTACAGGTGTGAGCTACCACGCCCAGCGAGTATTGTTTTGCTTGAAAGGGAGCATTTACACTCAGGCATCATGAGATGGGTATTAATATTCCAAGGTATTTATTCTTGCCCTGACCCTTGGGAGTCCCCCTTAGTCTTTCATTTTTTACCTCAGTTGAGTAAATATCATGGTTTCAGTTTTGGGGAATGCAATTTCTTACAGCAAAGTCCTTCCTCCACAATAATATTCACCACGGTCAGGCCACCTAGCACAGTGGGCTTAGTATGTGTGGAACTGGTTTGAATCAGGAGCAAAACAAGCAGTAGAGGTGAGTAGAGAACACAGGCGGGACTGAAAGGCCACAACTCAACAGTGGTGAGTAGAGAACAAAGGCGGGACTGAAAGGCCGCAACTCAACAGCAAACACTTTTCACATTAATTTGAGAAATATTATTTTCAACTGGTCCTCCGAAAGATGTTGGTTTACAGCAGACATTTGGGAGCATGGTTGCATATTGTAATCACCTGGAGAGCCTAAAATCGCCATTGCCTGGGTCTCACTCTAAAGATTCTGGCTTAACTGGCGCACGCCTGTAATCCCAGCACTTTGGGAGGCCGAGGCGGGCGGATCATGAGGTCAAGAGATCGAGACCATCCTGGCCAACATGGGTGAAACCCCGTCTCTACTAAAAATACAAAAACTATCCAGGCGTGCTGGTGCGTGCCTATAGTCCCAGCTACTTGGGAGGCTGAGGCAGGAGAATTGCTTGAACCGAGGAGGTAGAGGTTGCAGTGAGCTGAGATTGTGCCACTGCACTCCAGCCTGGCGACAGAGCGAGACTCCATCTAAAAAATAAATAAATAAATAAATAAATAGATAGATTCTGGCTTAATTATTCCGTTGCAACTTAGATTTGGGAACTTTAAATACCACCACCCACATGCACAGCAGGCTATTCTAATATGCATCCAAGGGTAAGAAGCATTGATTCAGGGTGAGAAATGCATTGGTTGAGTGTGATTTCTTTTTTTTTTCTTTTCTTTTTTTTTTTTGAGACGGAGTCTCGCTCTGTCGCCCAGGCTGCATGCAGTGGCGCGATCTTGGCTCATTGCAACTTCTGCCTCCTGGGTTCACGTGATTCTCCTGCCTCCGCCTCCCGAGTAGCTGGGACTACAGGCGTCCGCCACCATGTCCGGCTAATTTTTTGTATTTTTAGTAGAGACAGGGTTTCACCATGTTAGCCAGCATGGTCTTGATCTCCTGACCTCATGACCGCCCGCCTTGGCCTACCAAAGTGCTGGGATTACAGGCATGAGCCACCGCGCCCGGCCTTAGTTGTGTGTGATTTCTATGTGTGCTCTAGGCACTTGCCCTATAGTTGCTCCTAAATGTGGGGTCTTAGAAAACATCTTGGCTCTTCAAAGCATACTCTGCTGGTCGGCTAAATTGCACTGGGAAAAAAAAGCAGCAGCCCTATTGCTATGTCATTTGTCTACAGAGCAAAAGTTGATTCAGGAACAGTAATTTGACTTTGTCTATATTAAAAATCATAAATAGTCAACAAATACAAAAAATACAAAGAGTTTGCAGATATGATCAGTGCATTATAGGTGTTTTCAAATTTCTCCTATGATAAATTAAAAATGTAATGTTGGACATTAATTTCCTAAACCCAATGCTCAGCAATTTTCTCAAATTGTTTCGCTTTTCCCAAGAGACTTCAGAACCATTCCCTGGAGTGAATTATTTCCAATGGTGAAGAGTAATGGATGGATGGGATGACATTCTCAAAAAAATCTTGCTCCTATTTCAGAAGTGTCACTCCAGCCCCTTGAAGGTCCAGGAAACCTGGCTGAGTAGTGTGGTCTATGGAGGTGCATGGGCTTCAGAGTCAGGCCAACGTTGATCCTGAGTCCCAGCCAGCTGCTTAGTAGCTGTGGGATAGTTATACAAGACACATCTACAAGAAAAGTCATGATAAAATTGATTGCAAAAACAGCAATTTGAAAAATTTCTTATTGTATTCATGTCCTTGGAAATGGCTTTTATAGTCGTTCCTATCAAGAGACAGATTCTGTTTCCCAAACTTGAATCTCTTATTTGCACTGGCATAGTGTGCCAGTTTGGGGCCCAGGTTTAAAGTTCCTAAATGCTTCTGTTATCTTTTTCAGAATTCTTCCATCTCTATGACAACAAGCCCATTTTAACTTTCTGGAGAATAAAGTAGCATGCTGAGGAAAGCCAAAGTGCCTCAGTTTACAGACAGCTCACTCCCAGAAGCGGAGCCACCTAATTCACCAGCATCTGACCACTCACACCTGAAGGAGGCAAACTGAGCCCAGAAGAATGGCCCAGCTAAGCCCAGCCTAAATTTCTAACCAGCTCAATCCTGAGCTAGTATGTTTTGGGATTGTTTGTTATGCAGTTATAGCTTAGTAATATATACACCCATTAAAGACAGGATTCCAGGATTCCAGGACAAATTGATTACAAATGACCTGCAAATGCTTGGCACCCTGTAAGTATTGATTTTCTTTTTTCCTTTATTTAAAGTTAGATTTGTTTTAAGATGGTATTGACTTATACAGAAGTGAGGCAGGAGAATAGGGTCTGGAGACAGGGAACTTAAGGCCAATTCGTGCTGACTTCCTACAAGAAAAAACACCAAGGTCTGGGAGCAGGGAACCTAAAGCCAGTTAACGTGAACTTCCTACAACTAAACCAAAAGGAAAAACCTCATCTACACCCGAGTAGCAAAGGATCGAAGGCGACTGTCACTACAACCCTCCCCCTTGTACCAGTTCTCTGATAGAAAAGGACAGTGCCTTGGAGTGGCCGTGGGCCAAGCACAGACCATGCCTTCATCTGCATGGGGTACCAATTCGCCTCAGCCTTTGATTAGCCAAGGACAAAATCCTTCATTCAGATAAGGGGTAGCTGATAGGAACCTCAAAAGGAGTACTTAAAACCCAGAAAACATTATAACCAGGTCCTTGGGCTGCTTGCTGGGGCCCACACCCACCCTGTGGAGTGCTTTCTCACTTTAATAAATTCTTGCTTTTGCTGCTTCCTTCCCGTTTTTCATTCCTTTGTGCTTTCTGTTCAATTATTTGTTCAAAATATCAAGGACCTGGACAACTCACACTCACGGTCTTCCTTCTGGGAACAGAAGTGCAGGTACATGTGGATGTATGTGATTGGTGCTTAAACTCACGCAGTGCCCCACACCACAGGAGAAAAACACACAGTTACAGCCTGACAGGTCCAAAGATAAACAGCAAAACAAGAAGTTTGCCTTTAATCTATTCCCTCCACATCTAAACTCTGGAGGGCAAGGCTGTGAGGAGATCTGAAGACATGGTGGTCTCTCTTCCTGTGGACCCATCATTCCTTGTTTACTGTATGATATTTAAAAGAAAGAGGAAACCGGGCGCAGTAGCTCACACCTGTGATCCCAGCACTTTGGGAGGCCGAGGCAGGCGGATCACAAGGTGAAGAGATTGAGACCATCCTGGCCAACACTGTGAAACCGCATCTCTACTAAAAATACAAAAATTAGCTGGGTGTGGTGGTACACACCCATAATCCCAGCTACTCAGGAGGCTGAGGCAGGAGAATCACTTGAACACAGTAGGTGGATGTTGCAGTGAGCCGAGATCACGCCACTGCATTCCGGCCTGGCAACAGAGCGATACTCCATCTCAAAAAAAAATAAAATAAATAAAATAAAATAAAAGGAAGAGGAACCCCTGAGAGAGGAGGCAGTCAGAGGCTGGTTAGGAAGATAGGGAGGGAGGGTCTCAGGAGAGGAAAAACACCCAAGGGACCACACCTGCACTACCCCAGTAGCTAGCGGGAAGAAATGTGATTAAGAACTTCCTCTTATGCCAGGATATTGATCAGAAGGGACTGTCGCAACTTAGGCCTAGGTGTAATAAATGAACCTAAATGTCATTAACTTGACCCAGCTCCTTATAATGTTACTGACCTATGTATTTTGGTTTTAGCTTCACCCTTTCCACCCGCCGTGGGTTTCCCTTGGGCACTCATAGGTAATAACCAAGATGGAGTCACTGTGGTCAACCCCAGGCATGCTCAGATCCAACACCCTTAGGGGAGAAATTGACCCCTCCCATTTGGGCAGAACCCACAGAAGACTTCCTTATTCTTGCCACATAAAAGACCCAGAACTCAGCCCCACTTCTGGCAACCCGCTTTCATGTCCCCTCTTACTGCTGAGAGGTTTCCTTTTGCTTAATAAATCCTACTCTGCTTTACTCACTCTCTGGTGTCTGTATGTCTTATTCTTCCTGGTCATGGGAAGAGAGCCCAGACCTGGCTGAACTGAGACCACCACACCGGCACCAAACAGTGACTGGGAGACCATGGTCTTCACGTGGACACTCTCAGCTTGCAGCCCCTGCTCTCTCTAGGGGCACTGTCCCACCCACCCTTGAGCCTGAGGAGAAAAGTTGGTAGAGAGGCTGTTCCCTCACTTCCAGCAGAAAAGACGTGTTCAGGCCCTCACTTTCTTGAGGTCAGAGCCCTCATGGCTGCACTCAATGTGGCAGCCACCTGACATGTGTAGCTACTGGGGAGGAATGTAGCTGGTTTGAAGTAAAATGTGCTGCAAATGTAAAATAGTGAGTTTAGAAGAATCAGATCAGAAATATACCTTATTTCTAATTATATATTGATCACGTATTAAAACAATAATATTTTGGGTTTTTAAATTTAATTGTATTTATTTATTGAGACAGAGTCTTGCTCTGTCGCCAGGTTGGAGTGCAGCAGTGTGACCTCGGCTCACTGCAACCTCTGCCTCCAGGATTCAAGCAATTCTCCTGCCTCAGCCTCCCAAGTGGCTGGGACTACAGGCACATGCCACCATGCCTGGCTAATTTTTTGTATTTTAGTAGAGATGAGGTTTCACCATGTTGGCCAGGATGGTTTAGATCCCCTGACCTCGTGATCCACCCACCTCAACCTCCCAAAGTGCTGGGATTACAAGAGTGAGACACCGTGCCCGGCCAACATTTTGGATACAGTAAGTTAAAATTATCACAAACAGCCGGGTGCGGTGGCTCACGCCTGTAATCCCAGCACTTTGGGAGGCTGAGGCGGGCAGATCACGAGGTGAGGAGATCGAGACCATCCTGGCTAACACGGTGAAACCCCGTCTCTACTAAAAATACAAACAATTAGCCAGGTGTGGTGGCAGGCGCCTGTAGTCCCAGCTACTCAGGAGGCTGAGAATGGCGTGAACCCAGGAGGCAGAGCTTGCAGTGAGCCAAGATTGTGCCACTGCACTCCAGCCTGGGCAACAGAGTGAGACCCGTCTCAAAAAAATAAAAATAAAAATAAAAAATAAAAAAATAAAATTATCACAAACAATTTCACTTGTTTCTTTTTATTAGTTTTGATGTGGCTAATAAAAAATGGAAAATTCACAAATAGCTAACATTTTATTTTTTAGAGGTTTGCTTTCCTCTTCAAATCTCAGGTGTCCTACTCAAAACACCACAGGCCAGAAAGGTTATGAAATGTAAAACATTAAAATAATTGTCATTATATTGTTTCCATTTGTGAACAAGTGTGTGTGTGTGCACGTGTGCATGCGTGCACAGTTTATAAGTGGATGTAACCTTACACAGCAGAAGGTTAAAAATGAACCCTGTGCAGGCTGGGCGCGGTGGCTCATGCCTGTAATCCCAGCTACTTGGGAGGCTGAGGCAGGAGAATCTCTTGAAGCCGGGAGGTGGAGGTTGCAGTGAGCCAAGATGGCGCCACTGCACTCTAGCCTGGCAGGCAGTGCGAGACTACATCTCAAAAAAAAAAAAAAGAACAGGAAGGAATGTTTGTTACATCCACCCACCACAGCTCTTCCTCCTCCTCAGTATAGCACTGTGCCATTAGGAGTAAACTGCCAACTCCTGTCTTCTTCCTTAAAAGAGAAGAAAAATACTGACACGTGCATCCTTACTTCTGGCTTTTGGGGGCTTTACAAAAACTGATTTTGGGGCTGGGCATGGTGGCTCACACATGTAACCCCAGCACTTTGGGAGGCCAAGGCGGGTAGATCACGAGGTCAGAAGTTCGAGACCAGCCTGGCCAACATAGTTAAAGCCCGTGTCTACAAAAAATTAGACGAGTGTGGTGGCAGGTGCCTGTAATCCTAGCTACTCAGGAGGCTGAGGCAGGAGAATGGCTTGAATCCAGGAGGCGGAGGTTGCAGTGAGCCAAGATCGTGCCATTGCACTCCAGCCTGGGCAACAGAGTGAGACTCCATCTCAAAACAAAACAAAACAAAAACTGATTTTTGCCTCCAGTAACAAAGAGTGCTGAAACAAATGGTGATACACTTTGGAAGGACAGCTCGGCTCTGCTAAGACCAAATGTAAATGTTTCAAGAGCAGACTGAAATGTTAAATACAGGCAACAGGTAGAGCAAGTAATTAGAGACTCTTAAGAGGAAACATGAACAAACCCTTTTAACTAAAAAATAAACACAAAATTCCAGACAAGACACATCCTTCCAACATGTATGAGAGGTTCCCATAATCTCTATCAAAGACAATTGGCTTCAGACTACGTCATGACAAAGGAACATTGTGTTTAAGATTTAGCAGGACTTGGTGTCCTTTTTAGACCCAGGACTGAAAGCCATGTAACTTAATGTCACAAGTACTTTAAAAGCACATACAGAAAGATAAACGGATGTAATAACCTTAATTAAAAAAAAAATTAGGCCAGATGCAGTGGCTCATGCCTGTAATCCCAGCACTTTGGGAGGCCAAGGCAGGCAGATCACGAGGTCAGGAGATCGAGACCATCCTGGCTAACACTGTGAAACCCCATCTCTACTAAAAAAAAAAAAATACAAAAAATTAGTCGGGCGTGGCCGGCGGGCGCCTGTAGTCCCAGCTACTCGGGAGGCTGAGGCAGGAGAATGGTGTGAACCAAGGAGGCAGAGCTTGCAGTGAGCCGAGATCACGCCACTGCACTCCAGTCTGGGTGACAGAGGGAGATTCCGTCTCAAAAAAAAAAAAACAAACAAACAAACAAAAAAAAAACCTTAAATTTCAGTTTTTTCCTAAGCAAAATCAAACTTTATAACTGAATAGAAATTATTTCAATAAAACATAAAATCTGTCAGGCCAGTTACCAAAAGGCAAAAGAAAAAGACCTTCTGCAGTGCACAGAATATTATGTTGGAAAAAAACATTCCCGTTAGACCTCTAAGAAAATGTATCTTTTCAAAGGGTAGAGAAAGCCAAAAAATGGCAAGATGCAATAAAAGCTGAACTTCAGGTTAAAAAAAGTTAAAATCTCTTATGATTTATCAAGAGTAAATCGATCCCTTAAGAAAATTTCATTTTTCTAACAAATAATTTAGTGTATAAGTGTTTTTTTACACCAAGCCCAATCTCTAGAAAGAGCATTATAATTTCCCTTTAAAGACAACTTGATCATATAAAAGTTTTGGGTTTTTTTTTTTTTCATAAATCCTTTTATTGTGACTTACACAGAACATTCATGACATGTTTGGATTTTCTGGTTTGTCCTGAACATCCCTCTTTCTTAAACAGTCATTTTATTCTAGGTCTAAATTTACTATACAAGATTCTTTCTCATATAAAATTATTTTTCTTTAAGCCTTCTTACCAAAAAAAAAAAACAAAAAACCTCACTTTATTTTTGTAACTTTATTTACATCTTTCTTATTTCATGGTTCTTTTACCTTGTTTTACACATAACCTTTAAATAAGCTTTGAATTAGACAAAACTTATTCACCTTTTTAAAAAGGTTACACTTTTTTTTGGGAAAGGTTTTCCTCCAATACATTTTTATTGGAAAATACCCAAATAATGAAATATCTATTATTTAATATAGCTTTATATTCTAAATTATGACCAGTTTGTCCACAAGTATTTATCACATTACATTTACCTATTTTAATTGTTTACCTAGATTATTTATGATAACTGTGGTAGTCATAATTTAAAGTTGTGAAACCGCCATTGCAAAATTATAACTGAGACAGTAAAAAAAAAAAAAAAAAAATATGGCCTAACAGATTCCATTTTCCTTTTAACCTCCAAACTGTCCTTGTTCATTCCTAGGCATAGGCTGAACTAACTTTGGGAGGAACTTAGTTTATAGTTTAACTTTAAAACAAAGATGGTAACAGTCCTTTCTCAAAACAAACCTCTCTACTCCCTGTGTACTACACTGCCTAAAGCCACAGGATTAGAACGTATGGTAATCTAGGCCAGATGCAGTGGCTCATGCCTATAATCCCAGAGCTTTGGAAGGCCAAGGCAGGTGGGTCACCTACGGTCAGGAGTTCAAGACCAGCCTGGCCAACATGGCGAAACCCTTTCTTTACTAAAAATACAAAAATTAGTGGGGCATGGTGGTGCACACCTATAGTCCCAGCTACTCAGGAGGCTGAGGCAGGAGAATTTCTTAAACTCAGGAGGTGGAGGTTGCAGTGAGCCAAGCTCATGCCATTGCACTCCAGTCTGGGCAACAGAGGAAGATTCCATCCCCCCCGCAAAAAAAAAAAAAAAAAGGTTATGGTAATCTTACTAAATTCCATATGCAGCTATTTTCATTAAACCAATATCAGTGTCTCATTTATTAAAACTTACACAGGCAAAGATCAAAAGATCATTCTGTTTGGGGCTGGGTTTATAGTTTTGTAACTTCTATGCCAAATTTTGACAACTTATAGTATTTGGCAGGGATAATTATAAAATTGCTTGATTAATAAATGCAAACAAAAAATGTCTGCTGGTAATTCTTAAGACATTTCTAATATTACTTTGCCAATAATTTTAAAGCTAGCTTATTTATTGAAGAATTTACTTAAGTGACATAAACTTCAAAAAGCATTTGACTAGTCTTTTCTTTTTTCCTGATAAAGTATTTAAGTGCTTTTATTTTTCTTTAAGCCAATTAATTAGAGTTCTTTTATATATTTTCAGTAGTGAAACACTATATAGACAATACATAAACACATAGACATATTAGGCATGCCAATGGAAGTACATCTTTTTTTTTTTTTTTTGAGACGGAATCTCGCTCTGTCACCCAGGCTGGAGTGCAGTGGCGCCATGTCGGCTCACTGCAAGCTCCGCCTCCTGGGTTCACGCCATTCTCCTGCTGCAACCTCCCGAGTAGCTGGGACTACAGGCGCCCGCCACCATGCCCATCTAATTTTTTTTTTTGTATGTTTAGTAGAGATGGGGTTTCACCATGTTAGCCAGGATGGTCTCGATCTCCCGACCTCGTGATCCACCCACCTCGGCCTCCCAAAATGCTGGGATTACAGTCGTGAACCACCGCACCTGGCTGGAAGTACATCTTATATATTCATAAAGATTCAATTTTTTTCCTATTTTAGACTTTCAGATTATTAATAACTGGCTTCACAACCCCAGGCAGTTGTCAGCTAAGTAGTCTTACATTTGCATAAGAAAGGAAACAACTCAGGTGAAAATCAAATAGCAAAATTTTCATCATAAGGTATAGAGAGAAAAAGTCTGCTGGTGCTAGAGGGAGACAGCTTTATTTTTCTTTGAGCCAAATCAAATATAAATTATAGAAATCTATCATAGGATTGTATAAGGAGACCAGTTTTATTTAGATAGGGACTACTGGATCTCAGAGCTCTAGGGAAAGCCCACACTGAGTCCTGGGTCTCCAGAAAAAGGGAGAATTATTTTGAGGTTAGACCATGTGATGCTTTTACAGTGCACTTATTTTTTTTTTTTTTTTGAGACGGAGTCTCACTGTCGCCCAGGCTGGAGTGCAGTGGCGCCATCTCGGCTCACTGCAAGCTCCGGGTTCACGCCATTCTCCTGCCTCAGCCTCCGGAGTAGCTGGGACTACAGGCGCCGGCCACCATGCCCGGCTAATTTTTCGTATTTTTAATAGAGACGAGGTTTCACTGTGTTAGCCAAGATGGTCTCGATCTCCTGACCTCGTGATCCGCCCACCTTGGCCTGCCAAAGTGCTGGGATTACAAACATAAGCCACCGCGCCCAGCCTAAATTTTTTTTTAACAAAGACATTTTTGTGTGTCTAAACTACATACTTCCTTAAAAACTCAAGAGCAGCCTGTTGCAGTAACTATTTTAGTCAAAAAATCAGGTGAAAACAGAATTCAGTCAACTGAACAAAAAAAAAAACTTTTGCTCAAAAAAAAAAAAAAAAAGACAAGGTCCTAGGAGAGAAAAACAAAAACCAAAAACATGAAACCTTCTAAATATAAACATGCACACATACACACCCAATTCTTGGATGTTAGCCTTTAAAATTGACTTTTTTTTTTTTTTTGAGATGGAATCTCTCGATCAGGGGTAGCTTTGCCACAGATTTCAGCAATGGATAAATTGAGTGTGAGATCTCAGGTGCAGACAGAGAAGGAAAAATAATCTTTGTGTGGCAAGTTTTAGAGGAAGTTTGCCATTTCTTCTTTTTTTTTTGAGACGGAATCTCACTCTGTTACCAGGCTGGCGTGCAGTGACGTGTGATCTCGGCTCACTGCAACCTCCACCTCCCGGGTTCATACCATTCTCCTGCCTCAGCCCCCCAAGTAACTGGGATTACAGGTGCCCGCCACCACGCCCAGCTAATTTTTTGTATTTTTAGTGGAGACGGGGTTTCACCATGTTGGCCAGGATGGTCTTGATCTCTTGACCTCATGATCTGCCCACCTCGGCCTCCCAAAATGCTGGGATTACAGGCGTGAGCCACTGAGCATGGCCAAATTAAGCTGACTTTTAACCATTGAGCTCCTTTAAAAAAATCTTTTTAAATCTCATTACCATATTTCGGCCGGACAGAATGCTACTTTCAGAAATACAGCCATTGCTCTTTCGGTTTGGTCTGGCTGGCAAAAAGGTGGCGTTGTTATGTAAATAAAATCCCTTTAGCAGTGAAAATTTAAAAATCTTTTCTCTGTTTTTTCCTTTTGCTGGCCGTTTTCCTCCCCCAACCATACCGCCTTTTTTGTGTGTGGGGGGTAGACGGTTGGGTATTTAGCCGCTTCAGAGGCCTTGTTCCCATAATTTAGAGTTCCCCTTCGGATTTCGCCAAGTCAGAATGTGTGTCGGACCCAAAACGTGCTGCTTGCAGACCTAGCTTTTCAGGGCTGTTACCCCCCGAACTGGTTGGGTTCACCCGTGTGGTGGCCACCTGGCACAGTGTCAGAGGCTCAAGGTGCGGGAGGGGTCACCTCCTTATATGCACCTGCCAGCTGAGATTAGACTCTAAGTATGTTCTTCTGGGGGGGAAACCTATTTAGACCCACTGCATGTCTTAGGCAGCATTCCTCCCAGACACCCTCACGTGATTCTCAGTTGTCTGAGAATGCCCCGAAAAGCTGAGGGGAGGCAGGTGCTCTTATTTCTTCAGAGGGGAAGATTCTACACTCATGAGCTAGAGGGTTTGGAGTTGGTCAAATCCGATAAGGGAAAGGACCAAAACACACAAAAAAAACCCCAACAAGACAGAAACAAACAACAGAACAGGTAAGCAAAACTAACAATGATCACACAAAATACATGACTTCTTTTTTTTTTTTTTTTTTTTTTTTTGAGACGGAGTCTCGCTGTCGCCCAGGTTGGAGTGCAGTGGCGCGATCTCGGCTCACTGCAGGCTCCGCCTCCCGGGTTCACGCCATTCTCCTGCCTCAGCCTTTTGAGTAGCTGGGACTACAGGTGCCCGCCACCGCGCCCGG
The DNA here is from genome assembly GCF_000001405.40 of Homo sapiens. Taxonomy (NCBI): domain Eukaryota; kingdom Metazoa; phylum Chordata; class Mammalia; order Primates; family Hominidae; genus Homo; species Homo sapiens. The sequence continues at coordinate 496,876 of NC_000004.12, forward strand.
CTAATTTTTTGTATTTTTAGTAGAGATGGGGTTTCACCGTGTTAGCCAGGATGGTCTCGATCTCCTGACCTCGTGATCCGCCCACCTCGGCCTCCCAAAGTGCTGGGATTACAGGCGTGAGCCACCGCGCCCAGCCTATGACTTCTGAACGCTCTAAGTGTAAGCAGAAATAAACACCAGCTGGTTGTTAATGTTATCTTTAGTCATTTAAAAAGAATTTGCAAGACAAAATTCCAAATCAATTTTCTTACCTAGTGATGGGGCTCAAGCTGAAGACGGCTATCTGTCGATGCAGAAGCAGGCAGGCTTGCCTTCCTTGATGAAGCGAGTGGGAACTCCCAAAAAAGGAGTTTTTTAACAGCAAATAAACCTCAGACCCCCCACCGAAAAACGTTGGAAGATCAGGGATCCCTGGAGGAACAAGGTCCCAGATTTCAGCAATCATCCTACCAGTTTGGGCAATAAGGTGCCAAGCCAATACCGAGGATCAATAGGCGAACTGCTGCAGGCCGGGTTACCTTCACTGAGGATCTCTCAGTGCTTATCAATGTCAATCGAGAAAAATGACAAGTCTTAATCATTTCAGGAGGCTTATTTCCCAAAGTTAAGGACGCCCATGACACAGCCTCCGGAGATCCTGACGACGTGGGTCCAAGGTGGTCGGGGCACAGCTTGGTTGTATTCATTTTAGGGAGTCACGAGATATCAATCATATGTATAATAACAGGCCGGACAGGGCGCGGTGTCTCACGCCTGTAATCCCAGCTCTTTGGGAGACAGAGGCGGGCGGATCACGAGGTCAGGAGATTGAGACCATCCTGGCTAACATGGTGAAACCCGTCACTACTAAAAAATACAAAAAAAAAAAAAAAATTTGACGGGCGTGGCGGCGGGCGCCTGTAGTCCCAGCTACACGGGAGGCTGCGGTAGGAAAATGGCGTGAACCCGGGAGGCGGAGCTTGCAGTGAGCGGAGATGGTGCCACTGCACTCCAGGCTGGGCGACAGAGCGAGACTCCGTCTCAAAAACAAACCAACAAAAAAAAAACAGGCCGGGCGCGGTGGCTCATGCCTGTAAATCCCAGCACTCTGGGAGGCCGAGGCGGGCGGATCACGAGGTCAGGAGTTCAAGAACAGCCTGACCAACATGGTGAAACCCCGTCTCAACTAAAAATACAAAAATTAGCCGTGCGTGGTGGCACGCACCTGTAATCCCAGCTACTCAGGAGGCTGAGGCAGGAGAATTGCTTGAACCCGGGAGGCAGAGGTTGCAGTGATCTGAGATCACGCCACTGCATTCCAGCCTGGGCGACAGAGTGAGATTTCATCTGAAAAGAAAAAGAAAAAAAAAAAAAAAAAAAAAAAAAGAAGGACATTGGTTCTGTCCAGAAAGGCGGGGGCAACTTGGAACAGGGAGGGGGCTTCCAGGTCACAGGTAGGTGACAGACAAATGGTTGCAGTTTCTGGGTTTCTGATAAGCCTCTCCAAAGGAGGCTATCAATATGCATTTATCTCAGTGAGCAGAGGAATGACTTTGAATAGAATGGGAGGCAGGTTTGTCCTGAGCAGTTCCGAGCTTGTCTTTTCCCTTAGTTTAGTAATTTTGGGGCCCCAAGATTTTCCTTTCAGAAAAAAGAAAATGTGGTATATATACACAATGGAGTACTATTCAGCTCTAATAAAAGAATGAAACCCTATCATTTGCCACAACACGGATAAACCTGAGGATATCATGTAAGCAAAATAAGACACAGAAAGACAAATACCTCATGATCTCACTCATGTGGCATCTTTAAAACGAAGTTAATCATTAAGATATTTACCAGTTGTCTGAGGTATTGGGTTGAATTTTCTTTTTTTTTTTTTTTTTGAGACGCAGTCTCGCTCTGTTGCCAGGCAGAAGTGCAGTGGCGCGATCTCGGCTCACTGCAACCTCCGCCTCCCAGGTTCAAGCGATTCTCCTGCCTCGGCCTCCCGAGTAGCTGGGACGACAGGCACCCGCCATCACGCCCCGCTAATTTTTTGTATTTTTAGTTGAGACGGGGTTTCACCATGTTGGCCAGGATAGTCTCGATCTCCTGACCTCGTGATCCGCCCGCCTCGGCCTCCCAAAGTACTGGGATTAAAGGCGTGAGCCACTGCACCCTGCCTTCCAAATTAAAAACTTTTTAAAACCTCGTACCTCGCCGTGGGCGGCGACCGTCGCGGACTCGCCGGGAAGACGGCCCCACGGAGCCGGGAACACCGCCCGCTGTTCGTATGTCCGAGGTGACGCCCCGCTGTGGCGGGCTGGCGGAAGTGACGCGCTGCTGTGGCGCGCCGGCGGACGTGACGCCACTGTCGCTGCGACGATAAGGCCTGGCGTTATTGCTTAGAGGCGGCTACCTGGAGCCGGAAGCGCGGCTGCAGCAGGGCGAGGCTCCAGGTGGGGTCGGTTCCGCATCCAGCCTAGCGTGTCCACGATGCGGCTGGGCTCCGGGACTTTCGCTACCTGTTGCGTAGCGATCGAGGTGCTAGGGATCGCGGTCTTCCTTCGGGGATTCTTCCCGGCTCCCGTTCGTTCCTCTGCCAGAGCGGAACACGGAGCGGAGCCCCCAGCGCCCGAACCCTCGGCTGGTACGGACCCCTCCCCGGCGTCTCCGCTCCCCTGACCCCACATCCCCTAGAAGACCTTTTTTCTGAGCCTCGCTGCTCGGATTTCTTCTCGGCGCTCCCCGGTGGTCTCTTCCATTATGGTCCCCACCTCAGAAATTTTTTTTAACCGCTCCAGCGTCTCTTTTCTGTATTCTTACAACTTTGTGGCAACCACCTCTACTGGCCCCACTTCGACCTTCCTTCCTGATCACCACAAAGTAAGCTGTGTCCATACCTGGGATCCAGCCTCTCCACTTCTACTCGTCCAGAGCTCCCGCCCCTTTCCTGAGCAGCCTTTGGGTCACTCCCCGTTATAGGCGCCCTTTTTGCCCCCTAGCACACAACAGATAAGACCCCTGCCGATCCCCTCGCGTTTTGGTCTCTTATATTCCTCCAAGATGTTTTCCCTGCCTAGGGGCTAAGGCCTCTCTGCGTTAGGCCTCTTCCTAGGCTTCACCTACCCAGCCATATACAGCAAGTAAAGGCGCCCTGGTTCTGGACCACTTGCACACATCGCCAGCCGCTGACCATGTAAACGCAGTATGTAAACGCCCAGCCATCCCGTAGCTGCAGCTCTGCGTTTTAGGTCAAGCTCCCTAAATGTCCCATTCCAGGACCCTTACGTAGGGATTCTCCTACCCCAGTACTCTTCACCATACTGAGGATAATTCACTGCTTGCTACTGTGGGTCCCTAAGATTACTCCTGTTAACCCCCGTCCTTTCCCCCCAGCACTACCTACCAAGTACAAGTCGCCTCCTTTTGGGTTGGGTTATGTAGATATCGCAGGGTATGTGCTGGAGAAGTAGGTAGAAGCTAGATTGTGAAGGTGCTTGATGCTAAGGAAAGTTTAGAGTTCAATTTCCTTTTTTTTCTTTCAAACACTTAGGAGCCAGTTCTAACTGGACCACGCTGCCACCACCTCTCTTCAGTAAAGTTGTTATTGTTCTGATAGATGCCTTGAGAGATGATTTTGTGTTTGGGTCAAAGGGTGTGAAATTTATGCCCTACACAACTTACCTTGTGGAAAAAGGAGCATCTCACAGTTTTGTGGCTGAAGCAAAGCCACCTACAGTTACTATGCCTCGAATCAAGGTAAGTTTGCCTTAATGTTTTATGAATCATGGTTTGGCTGTTTTGAAGATTTAGAGGGGGTCTCTGTAGTCTTTCGCTTGGAGTTGCAATTTTAAGAAAGTGGAAATTTTGTGCTGTCAGTTGGCTGGGGCAATAGAATGTTGAAGGAGCCTCACACGGGATGGAACTGAGACCCATCATTTGTGCCCCATGTCAAGTAGCCAAAGCTCATGCTTCATGGCAAATATAAAAGATTTAGAGCAAGATCATCCAGGCTAACCTACCCCAAGATATGCCATTCTTGGTGACCTGCTTTCTTCTTTAATCGTCACTGGGTCATTTACAATCTTAGAAGGAGCCTTTAGAGTTAATCTAGTTCAGTCTCTAGACTTTATAGATAGGAAAGCAAACTCAGATAAGTTAAATGTGACTTCTCCAAAATTATCCACCAGTATACATAATGATCAAATCAGTATGTTCCGGCCTCAACAATTACCACTGTTTCCACCATATCCTTCAGGTGTCCAGCCTACTGACAGCAGCTTTGAAGTACATAGTGCATTTCCCAAGAACCGTGGGTAAAGAAAAAAGTAAGCCTTTATTGATTGGCTCAAAACTTTTGAGCAACGACTATGTGGTGATACTTCAATGGGTATGCAATTGGGGAAAAAATAGTATCTCTGCCTTCATGTAGCTTTTAGTCTTTAGATATACAGCCACTCAACAAAGGAGCATATGAAAACATGCAGTTGTAAAGTGTGGTTAATGCATGATGAGAAAGAACAGGATGTGATGATTAGTGGGTGAGAAAGCCTGGCTGAGGAAATTGCATTTAAACTGAGACTGGAAGGATGAATAAAGGTGGGGACAGAAAGGAGCAGAGGGGTTGAAGTGTGTGAGTGTATCGCATGTGAGCGTGGCATAAAGTCTCTGACGGAGCCTTAGCTGTGTTGTTGATCATGTGAAACATTATTTGGTGAGAAGGAGCTACTTATTGATTTAAGGCTTGGGGGCAGCCCCATTTGCAGATGCTTGGCAGATGTTCACTGGATGAAAGCAGTCTGAGACTGAAGGAAGCACAGTGCCATATCACTCACTGACTTTTTCCTTGAATTTCTTACTCTCTCTGCCGCATTTCAATGTGATGTGACTTCCTTCAGCAATATTTATTGAGCATCTACTGTGTGCCACACTGTTCCAGACAGGAGGGAGGCAGTGAAGAACAAGACAGCATTGTCCTCATGGAGCTTACTTTCTAATTGGAGGGATAGAAAATCGGTAAAATATGAATCAATGAAGATGGTTTCAGACAGTGACAACTGCTCTGGAAGGAATGGAGAGGGAGGTGAGAGAGAATGAAGGGGAGAGGGGCATGCCCGGCACCTTTGAACACAGCACTCAGAGTTTTTGCCGTCCTGCTGAAACTAGCTGTGGGAATCTGGAAGAAAGACATCCAGCCCCTGATTTTCAGGAACACCGGTTTCTTTATCTGCTCTATCAGAAGTGTGGAAGGAACCCTTTTCTCCTTTTCTTTTAAGATTTAACAGGCAGATTTGAGAAAATGTATAAGTGATTGTGCAGGTTCTAGGTTCTATTCAGACCAGTCCGTTGGCACTGTGGTTCTTGGGGCCTCTGTCTCCAGCTTATTGGTTTTATTTCACCTTTGCTGGGGAGCCTCACCCCAGAGCTAGTGTTTTGTTTCATTTTCAGTCCTTTGAGGATTCTTGCTCCTTATTTCCCCATCAGGGAGGAGCTAGAACAGAAAGCCCATACTGGAGTTAGGATTGTACAGCTCTGGAGTTTGGTAGGTTGGGGTTGGGCAGTGTTGGTTGAGGAAAGTGTCCCCTGCCCTGCCTCCAGTCTGAGAAAGGGCTCAGAGCATCTCCTGGTGTTGATACATTTGTAACCAGACGCCAACCCTGACATGTCCAGTGTGCTTTCACTTGCTAAGACCCTGCAGCAGCTTTGTTTTAAAGTCATGTAACTCATTTTTGAATGCCTTTTCTTTCTTAAAGAACTTTCTGGTCATAATAATAGCTGGCATTGATTGACAGACCTGAGCTTTCCCTTAGATTTCTTAGGACTGTAAATGCAGCCCACTCGCTGTCTGCACGCTTTCTGGGATGAGGGGATGCCAAGTAGTCCCTACCCTCTTTAAAAATATCGGTGGGAACCCAAGCTAGTGTGAGGATGAGGGAGGTGCCTTGTAAAAGCCACAAAAGAAGGGATGAAAACAGAAAACTTTTATATTGTCAAATGTTGTAAACAAAGTCAACAACATGATAAACTGAAGAAATTATTGACAGTGGACATGGCATACAAGATGTTAAGTCCATGATGTATAAAGAGGTTCGGATCAAGGAGGGACAGTCCTATGGAAACTGGGCCGAGTATATAACGGAATCCACCAAGGAAGAAAGCGGAATGGCCAATAAGCATATGCAGAGATTCTTGACTAGTAATCAGAGCAGGGCAAACAAAACAACCCATATGCCAGTTTTTGTTTATCATATTGTAAAAATTTAAAGATTGATGATCTCTACCCCGCACAAGAAACGAGGTGAACAGGTGCTCTTGAAATACTGTGGATGTGAATACAGGTTGACTGAGCTGGTATCTCCACTGCCACCACCGTCGTCCAGGCTGCTGTGGGCTCCAGCCTGAACTGTTATAAATGCCCTAGCACCTTTTCTTGGCCCAAATCACTTCTGGACACAAATCAGACCCTGCTACACTACTCTTTAAAACCCTTCAGTAGTTTACGCTCTGCCCAGTTTGAACACTGAACCCCATCACCCGTCCCTCAAGGCTCTGCGTGGCCTCACTCCCGTTTACCTCTTCATCCTCATATAGGCCCCCTTCCGTGTTCCCTTGCCCTTCATCCACACAGGTCACACGCAGCTCATTTCCTCCCGGGTGCTGCTGTCTTTTCTGCCTGGAGCCTTTGCAGTTTGCAGGTGTTTTACTCTGGAAAGTCCCACCTCACCTCCACAACTTTTCAACCTTCAGGTCTCAGCTCAAGTGGCACTTCCATAGGAAGCTGTTTAAAATAAATGCCCAGTAAAATGGTCTTGGTTAAATACGTTATTGTACAGCTACACACTGGAATGCTCTGTAGCTGTTTGGAAAAAAGATAAAATGCTTGTGTTTTCCCTAGGTAAAGATGTTCATGATGTGTTATTAATTGAAGAAGTTTGAGAGTAATTTGTATAGTTTGCTACCATTTTGGTAAAAAATGTGTACCTTCATATATTTGTGATTTTATACACACACACACACACACACACACACACACACACACACACAGAAAAGAGTCCAAAAGGATACTCACCAAGAGTAATTGGCTGCCTTTTAAGGAGTACAATTTTGGGGTGAGGTTCACATTTTAAAAAATAACTATTGAAATATAATTTTTATACAATTACATTTTTGCATGTACAGCATTTAACAAATGTGTGTATCCAGGCAAACCCCACCTCAGCTCAATTCTGGCCCCACCCTAGGAATGTTGGTGGCTGTTAGGGTTATTTTGGTTGTTTGTATAGTGAGTTCCTGCAGTCTGTCTCCCCGGGAGCGTGCGGCAACTGATGTTTTGACTTAGGTCTTTTGGTTCTTTTGGTTTTTAAGTTCTTGTTTTTATCTTTAAGCCTGTCTTCCTGAGTGCTGGCCCTGGCTCCGCATAGCTTAGTGGTCAGCCACTGATTGGTCAGAGGTTGTGCTTCAGCACCCCTGATGTGTTTTCATAACCTCCCTGGGTGTGGGGCTTCTCAGTGGCTGCTGCAGCGTGGAGCTGGAAAGGAGGGAAGTGGGAGCCGCCCTGTGTAGAAACACCATGGGCACTTGCTGTTCTTACTGAGATTCCGTGTTTTTTCTTAAATAAGCACTTCTCAATCTGTTCTATAATTTTGGTGAATTTCCAAAGTACTAAAATGGTTGCTTTTGACAGTTTCATCCAGTTTTATTATTGCTCCTGGGAGAGAGATTTTGCCGAGCTCCTCCCTGTGGCATTCCAGAAGTCTGGATAATTCATACTTGCATTTATTTATCGTTAAAGATGTCTCGGTAAAATTATTTCACCTGCTGATGTTACCCAGGTTCCCGTTTATTTTCATTGCACAGGTTCCAGGATGCCAGTGCTGGCTGGGGTGGCTGTATAACTCTAAATCACAGAGATCTGTTACCCATTACCATGGCCTCTTAGGTTCTATGCTAAACTCAGGGAAATTCTTGACTCAATTCTATTATCAGAAGGGTATAAGGGCAAGTCACCTCCCACCCCTCCCAGAAAATATGGGGCAACATTGAGGGTGGGAGCAGAAGAGACTATCCCAGTGGCCTCCCTGGCCCCCAGTTCACTTTGCAAATTGCTGAAAGTTCACGCTTTAGGACTGCTTTCATCCTGGTTTTCCACTCAAAGGTAGACATTGGAATTGCTGGATTGTTAGGAGTCGTATGGACTTTGCTTGTCACGTGGAGATTTGAATCTTAATTGGGACCTGGCAGAGGCTTTGAATACACAGGTTAATGTTTCTAATGTATACCTCACTTTGCCGTTTGCTTCAGCTACATCGCAAACCCATAGCTGCTTCTCTGGCTGTTGCCGTCGTCTCGCTATCCCTAGCCGCCTCCTTTAACCTCTTGTCAGCTGGAAAGATTATTAGGAGCCATGAATGTCCTTTAATATGGTTATCTTTGTTACTATTGAGTTTACAGTTTTTCACCAGAATCTATGTGCCTCTTTCTCTTCTTTACCCTAATTACTGTCCTAACATTGACCCAGCCACCAGTACTAGGGATGCCCTAGCTTTATGCTCACCTATTTTATCCATAAAAAATCTTCAGACCAGCCTGGGCAACATAGCGGGACCCTGTATCTACCAAAAAAAAAAAAAAAAAAAAAAAAAAAGCTGGGTGTGGTGCCACACACCTGTAGTTCCAGCTACTTGGGAGGCCAAGGTGGGAGGATCGCTTGGGCCCAGGAGTTCAAAGCTGCAGTGATCCCTGATTGCATGACTGCACTCCATCCTGAGCAACAGAGAGGGACCCTGTCTCAAAAAAAAAAAAAAAAATCTTCAGTGCCCTTTTCATGCTCCGGTTTTGGATTCAGTGGCCTAATTCTTGCATTTTCTGACTGCAGGCATTGATGACGGGGAGCCTTCCTGGCTTTGTCGACGTCATCAGGAACCTCAATTCTCCTGCACTGCTGGAAGACAGTGTGATAAGACAAGCAAAAGCAGCTGGAAAAAGAATAGTCTTTTATGGAGATGAAACCTGGGTTAAATTATTCCCAAAGCATTTTGTGGAATATGATGGAACAACCTCATTTTTCGTGTCAGATTACACAGAGGTCAGTTTTTAAAATAAGAAAATATATCATACTAGAATATCATACTAGATAGAGCCTGGCATCCCATTACTTAGTGAGAGATGATACCATTTTATATTTGGTTTTATTAATTTATAGGGAGTACTATGGACAGGTGTAAAAATTATTCACTCACATAATCAGTTAACAACCCAGAAATACAAACCTGAAGCAGGTGTGAGCAGAGTTTTATGGAACCCAAAGCTTAGAACAGCTGAGTGCCATTGAGGGGCAGAGAGGATCAGGAAGGGTGACACAGCCAAGGGACTGTCTGAGCCGAGATATGATGGGTGAGTGGGGACTCCCCAGGTGGGCAGAACAGGCTGGTAGCTTCTGCACATGGCAGAGCTGTAGGACTCCACAGCCTGTTGGTTCTGCTGCAAGCGGAGCCTCATCGTGCCCTGAGGGCAGGTGGCCGACTGGGTGGGGCCTGGTCCTGAGGGGGTTTTCCTGGAGCTTTTCCAACAAAAATTAGACCTGCATGTTAGAAAGCAGACCTGGGGCTGAGGTAGGAGCACACCAGCACACCTGCCTGGCCTGGGGTTTAGCCAGCTTCACCTCCTAGATGGCTGGGCCTTATGGAGCATCTGTAGTCCTATCCTGTTCCAAAGTGGGGCGCTTTTCAACAGTTACTTTTCAGTAATGACTGAGTTTTCCTGACTATATATGGCATCACTGAGAAACACTTCTCTTCATAGGAGATTTTTTTAGTGGGAGGGAGATGAGCTAGCTGAGGGGTCAGGGCTCACCAGGCTGACAGCTCTATTGGGGGCTGATCAACTGCTCATCTCTCCTCCGTGATGTGTTTATTTCAGAAATCAATGTGATCATTGAGTGCTGTGTCTTTTTCAGAACAGCCTTCTTGTAGGACACATGTAGATGCCCTCAGCTTCATCATCCTGCTGGTTACTTTAACGCTGGGTACTGTCCTGTCTTTAATTAACTGCCCTTTGCCCTTAGTTACCTCATGACAACTTGGGATCTATTTAACTTGCCCATTTGCTCACCTTCAGTTATGCCCATTAAGCCCAGCAGTGATCCCACAGAAAAATATTTTTGTCAGAAGAACCCTTGCTCATTTAAATTATCTGTAGAATATATTCGATCCATAGCCCAGAAACATAAAAACAATATTAGCAAAAGTTTAATCCAATGCTAATGTTCATTTATTTATTATAGACGTGGGGTCTTGCTATGTTGCCCAGGTGGGTCCTGAACTCTTGGCCTCAAGCAGTCTTCCCGCTTCAGCCTCCTCAAGTGTTGAGATGAAAGGCATGAGCTGCTGTGTCCAGCCTATTTATTTATTTTTAATGACATAGATTTTGTTGTGTTTCAACTCCCCCAAATCCTGTAACCTGAATAAACCCCTAGATTTTAAGATGACTGTTGCGTTTTCCCCGGGGAGTGAAGATCCAGGGAAATTAGGTGAGTTGTTTATACGTGTGTTTCCCCTTCAAAGGTGGATAATAATGTCACGAGGCATTTGGATAAAGTATTAAAAAGAGGAGATTGGGACATATTAATCCTCCACTACCTGGGGCTGGACCACATTGGCCACATTTCAGGGCCCAACAGCCCCCTGATTGGGCAGAAGCTGAGCGAGATGGACAGCGTGCTGATGAAGATCCACACCTCACTGCAGTCGAAGGTGAGGCTCGCCGTCGCTCACTGTCTGCTGATGTGGTTTCACGTGGATGTTCCCTAGAATAAATGCAACCGCCTGAGTTATTCAGGGTGCCTGTGTGAATGTCCACCATCAGTCTGCTAGCCAGGGGCCGCATGCCACACGGGCAGCACTGTCTCAGTGTCCACTGCACTGACTCCGTCTTCCAGCAGCCCTGCAGAACAGCAGCTCTCACTCCTACCCGTGTATGCATTCATTCAACTAATACCTCCTGAAGACCTTTTGTGCCACTCTCTCTGTTCTGTATCACTCTCTCTGTTCTGTGCCACTCTGTTCTGTGTCACTTTCTGTTCTGTGTCACTCTCTGTTCTGTGTCACTCTCTCTTCTGTGTCACTCTCTGTTCTGTGTCACTCTCTCTGCTCTGTGCCACTGTCTCTGTTCTGTGTCACTCTGTCTGTTCTGTGTCTCTGTTTCTGTTCTATGTCACTTTTTGTCCATGCATTTGGGTGCATCAGTGAAACAGTCGATAATCCCTCGTGAAGCTCACGCTCTAGCCAGGAGAGATGAGAAAGATGAGTAAATAAGTATGTGAGGAGGTGATGGGTGCTGCAGAAACTCAGAGGGCAGGAGGAGGGGCTTTCAACAGCGTGTTGAGAGAAGCCTTCCCTGAAGACGTGTGCAGGGTGAGCAGAGACTTGAAGGGAGGGAGGGGCAGACCATGTGGTCTGTGCACGAGTGTTCCAGGAGGACCAGCAGCGAGGGTCAGGCACAGCCTGCCTGGCTTGTCCCGGAGCAGCAAAGGATGTGTGGCTGCAACCCCAGGGGCAGAGAAGCCTGGTGGGTGCCCCCACATGGCTCAGAGCTCTTGCCTTTTGCTGTGTGTTGTGTTCTCACCAGAGTCCTGTGAAAGATTCCATTTGACAGATGAGGCGACCAAGGCACAGAGTAGAATGCGTCCAGAGTCTCACAGCTTGGCAGTGGCAAAGACAGAAACCAGATACAAACCGTCTGCCATCAGAGGGCAGAAATGCAGCCTGCTGTGCTCCATGAGCTGTGTACAATTCTGTGAACTTCATTTATGGCATTATTTGACTGTGACCCTGTGATCTGGCTATGAGCTCATAGGAAAAAAAAATCTAATTCATTGAGAAAGAGCTACAACTCTATAAAGTAAAGCTAAAACCGAAAATTGTCTTCTTAAGATGATGTGCTCTCTTCAGTCTGAACGCAGTTGAAATGTTTTTCCTTTGCCTTAAAGGAGAGAGAGACGCCTTTACCCAATTTGCTGGTTCTTTGTGGTGACCATGGCATGTCTGAAACAGGAAGTCACGGGGCCTCCTCCACCGAGGAGGTGAATACACCTCTGATTTTAATCAGTTCTGCGTTTGAAAGGAAACCCGGTGAGAATTTAGGAATGTTAACAGTTGGAAATTGTATTACATTTGTTTTCTATAGTCTGGTTTTAATTTTGAAAACCTATTTTTTAGAAGCTCCATAAGGTTGAAGTCCCCAAGCAATGTGAGCATGAAAAGTAATTGGGCAAAAGGCTTTTGGGATCTGAAGTTACGTTCCTTCCCGAATCCTTAAAATACAGTTATTCTTTGTCAGAATTTTGTTGTATGAATGTTGCTGCCTGGATATCTGGAACTGTTGAGAAAAATTGCCAGTAGCTCAGAGACATCTGGACAGCATGTGTGAACTGAAGGAAACGTGAATACCTCGGCTTTTTTAAAAGTTTGCATTATTGTAAACCATCTATTGAATAGCAGTGTCAACAAGAGTCATGGGACCCGGCCAGAGCAGGACAGACAGAGGCCCCGTCTGTCAGTATTCAGACACGCCCCAAACACACACACACCCCACTCTGACCTGTGCCCAGACTCAGCCGCCAGCCTATGCACTCTGCCCTCGCGGCCGCCGGCCTTGCTGTCCTGTCGGCGGCTGCCTTCCACTTGCGCCTGGCTTCTGCTGCCACACTCGCTGCCTCACTCTTGGTGAGCTCAGCGGTAATTTCTGCCGTCAGGCACAGCAGACGCTTTCGGGCGCTGCTCTCACTGACCCTTCAGCACCCTTAGTGCTGCTGGTCCCGTAGCTTCTGGGACCTCACATCTTTCTGGTTTTCCTCCTTTTCTCTCCTTTGCCAGCCTAGTTTCCTTTCCCTGGTCTTTTTTACTGGACTGCCTTCTTGTTTCGTTCTGCATTAGCCCTGGAGATACGGTCTCATCTGCCTCTGTGGTTGTAAATGCCGTGGATAGGCCCCACACCGGTCAGATTGATCTCTCTAAGTGTCCCCATTCATCATTCTTGGCATAATTTGTCATTGCAGACTTATTGATGGATTTTGTTTATTTATGGGATTCATGTAACATCTGCCTCCACATTACACTTTAAGCCAGATGAGGACAGGACCATGTCTCTTTTGCCCACCATGATCTCCACCTGACCTCTTATATCTTTTTATGAAGCTTCTTGGCCGAGACCAGCTCGGTCCGGGAGACTTTGACCCAGCAGCGCTAGAGGAATTAAAGACACACACACAGAAATACAGAGGTGTGAAGTGGGAAATCAGGGGTCTCACAGCCTTCAGAGCTGACAGCCCTGAAGAGAGATTTAGCCACGTATTTATTAACGGCAAACCAGTCATTAGCATTGGTTCTACTGATTCTAAATTAACTAAAAGTATCCCTTATGGGAAACGAAGGGATGGGCTGAATTAAAGGAATAGATGGGGCTAGTTAACCGCAGCAGGAGCATGTCCTTAAGGCACGGTTCTCTCATGCTATTGTTTGTGGCTTAAGAATGCCTTTAAGCGGTTTTCCACCCTGGGCGGGCCAGGTGTTCCTTACCCTCATTCCCGTAAACCCACAGCCTTCCAGCGTGGGCGTCATGGCCATCATGAACATGTCACAGTGCTGCAGAGATTTTGTTTATGGCCAGTTTTAGGGCCAGTTTATGGCCAGATTTTGGGAGGCTTGTTCCCAACACTTCTTCATCTTGAATGTCTGACCTGAGCAGAGCTAGGAATGGTGGGGGCAGCTGCATGCGTGCAGGCTGCCTGCAAGTGCCGGACTCATCACCAGCTTCAGTCCTGAGAGTTGGTTCTGTTTTGTTTTCTTTATTCTCATCATACCTGTTTCGTGAGCCAGGACTGTACTCTGGTGTACTCACAGCATTGGGCCACCATCATCACAGTCAATTTTACATCATTTTCCTCACCTCAGAAAGAAACCCCATACTCTTCTGCAGCCACCTTCCTCTTCCCCAGCCCAGTCTTCTCTCCCTCCCCCAACCCTAGGTAATCAGCGTCATTGTCTGTAGATTTGCCTCTTCTGCATGTTTTGTGTAAATGAAACCATATGGTCTCGTGTGCCTGGCTTCTTTCATGTAGGATAGTGTTTTTCCAGGTTCATAGTTATAGCATGTATCAAGACTTCATTTCTAGGCCAGGCACTGTGGCTCTCACCTGTAATCCCAGCACTTTGGGAGACTGAGGTGGGTGGATCACCTGAGATCGGGAGTTCGAGACCAGCCTGACCAACATGGAGAAACCCCGTCTCTACTAAAAATACAAAATTGGCTGGGTGTGGTGGCGCATGCCTGTAACCCCAGCTACTTGGGAGGCTGAGGCAGGAGAATCACTTGAGCCCAGGAGGCGGAGGTTGCAGTGAGCCGAGATCGTGCCATTGCACTCCAGCCTGGGCAACAGGAGTGAAACTCCCCATCTTTAAAAAAAAAAAAAAAAAAAAAGAAGACTTCATTTCTTTTGTTATTAAATAGTCTTCCATTGCATGGATTTAACACATTCATTGACCATTCTTGAGCTGATGGACATTTGGGTTGTTTCCACTTTCTGGCTGTGATGAATAATGACGCTGTGATCATCTGTGTGTAGCTTTTTGTGTGGATGTATATTTCCTATGTTGTCATTTTCTTACCCAGTATAGCTGTGCCCCCACCCGCCACCTCTGTGCTGTTATTGTCAAATATGTTGCTTTTCTGTATGTTATAAACTGATGGCATAGTGATATAGACATGGTTTTATATAATTGCTTTTAAATCAGGAGAGGAAAGAAGAAAATGCTTTTATAGTGTCTTTCATAATTATATGATTACCTTTACTGATGCTCTTTGCTTTTTTATGTACCTGAAATTTGATCTAGAGTCACTGGCTTTCAGCCTGAAGAACTTCTTTTAGTATTTCTTGTAAGGCAGATTTGCTAGCAAAGAATTTTTTGTTTTAGAAAATATCCGGGATGTCTATTTTGTCTTCTTTTTGGAAGGAGTTTTGCTGACTGTAAGACTGGGTTGGCTGTTTTTTCTTTCAGCACTTTGAATGTGCTGTCTCACCGCCTTCTGGCCTCCATGGTTTCTGATGAAAAGTCAATTCTTAATCTAATTGGGTTTCCCATTTCTTTGTCTTTTACCATTTTTGCTATAATGTATCTGTATTTTATGTTTACTCAACTTGGAGTTCATTGAGCTTCTTGCATGTGTAGGTTGATGTGTTTCATCAAATTTGGAAAATTTTCAGTTGTTTAAATTGCATAATCTCTATTGATCTATCTTTAAATTGCTGGTTCTTTCTTCTGCCAGTTCAAGTCTATTGTTAAACCCCTTTAGTGAATTTTCTGTTTCAGTTATCATACTTTTTTTTTTTTTTTTTTTTTGAGATGGAGTCTTGCTCTGTCACCCAGGCTGGAGTGCAGTGACACGATCTCGGCTCACTGCCACCTCCGCCTCCCGGGTTCAAGCTATTCTCCTGCCTCAGCCTCCCGAGTAGCTGGGATTACAGGCACCCACCACCACCGGTTAATTTTTGTATTTTTAGTAGAGACAGGGTTTCACATTATTGGCCAGGCCGATCTCAAACTCCTGACCTTGTGATCTGCCCACCTCGGCCTCCCAACCATTATCATATTTTTTTAACACCAGAGTTTCATTTGATGCTTTTTAAAAAATAATTTCTGGCCTGGCACGGTGGCTCATTTGTAATCCCAGCACTTTGGGAGGCCAAGGCGGGTGGATCACAAGGGCAGAAGTTCGAGACCAGCCTGACCAACACGGTGAAACCCCGTCTCTACTAAAAGTACAAAAATTAGCCAGATGTGGTGGTGGGCGCCTGTAATCCCAGCTACTCAGGACGCTGAGGCAGGAGAATCACTTGAACCCGGGAGGCAGAGGTTGCAGTGAGCCGAGATCGCACCACTGCACTCCAGCTTGGCGACGGAGTGAGACTCCATCTAAAAATAGTAATAATAATAATAATAATTTTTATCTCTTTATTGATATTCTCTATTTGATGAGGAAAAGAAGAGCATGGGGAGATGGGAAGGAGATCGCATAATCCTCTATCGGGAGCTGGGGGAATGAGAGGGAGATCGTATAACCAACCCTCCTTCTGGAGCTGGGGGAAAGGGAGCTCTGTGTTCTGGGCTGCACCCACCACAGGAGAGTTTCTGCCCCACTGGGCTAGGAGGGGGAGGGAGGGAGCAGGCCACGGTTCAAGGGCTGCAGACTCTTAGGCTTCTTACCAAGGCCTAGTGGATTTTCTTGAATAAAGATTTCTTTGTTTGTTCTGTATCCCTAGACAATTTCCAGAGACTGTGAATGGTGGTAGTGGTGGTTTTTAAAATGTTTACCACTTATGCTTGTTTTATTGATAAGCAAGTTTATGGAGCTACTCTTAACACTATTCCCTATAGTTCTGAAGGATTTTTATCTTAAAAATGCACGGAAATTTTTGTTTTGTTATGTTAATAAAAATAAATGTTAAAATGCTTATTATTTTGAAAATAAGCGGTTTTGGATTGTGTAGTGAGTGACTTCAGAGACCTTCAGCCCACCACCGCCCACCCCTAGAGTGCTGACCTCCCTGTGTGGGCAGTACAGGTCTGGCCACTCCAGAGTCAAGGGGTGTGGGAAGGAGAGCATGCCTGTACCTGGACTTCCACAGAGGGCAGAGCAGGTCTGTTTTATTTTCGGCCTCTTGCTACTAGAATGTTTGACCCTGTTTGTTGTTCTGTTCCCCTGGTACCTGGCACCTAGTGGATGTTTTATCATTTGTGGATTGAATGTTGAAGACTCAGCAGGCGAGCCAGTGGAGGTAGAGACCGGCGGTGAAAGGATGCTGCTGGGCTGTGGGAATGGTTTTCTGAAGTGCTGGAACTTCTTTCATGGCCCCTTATCGTCAGTGGGGCGCAATCCACAGGCCTACCCTGTGTTTGTATTTCAGAATTACAGTTATTAAAATAGTTTGTGCAGGCAAGAACTGGTCACAAACCAATCAAAGGTGCAAAATCAAGAGGCCAGAAATAGACCTCAGTGTATCTGGGGACTTGGTGACAAAGGTGGCATCTCAGATTAGTGCAGAGAAGACATGGTGCTCAATAAATGATGCTGGTACCCCTGGCTGACCTTTTGGAAAAAGGTAATGCAGACTCTCTGCCTTATTCTTTACAACAATATCAATCCAGGTCAAAGCATGTTAACGTCTTTAAAAGACTACAGTATGGAAAATTCTGGATGTAGAACGGTAGTCACAGTCGTATAATAAACCCCCAAGTCCAGCTTCACCAGTTACTGGCCAATTACAGCCAATCTTCTTTCATCCGTGCCCACACTCATTTCCCTTCTCCTTTATTATTTGGAAGCAGACCTCTAAAAGGTACGTGCTCTTTACCCCCATAATCTTGATACCCTTATCACATTTAAAAAATAGTGTTAATTCCTTAATATCACTGAGTAGTGTTCATATCTCTAATATCTGTTTCTCTCTCTTTAGGTGTTTCAGCTTGTTTGAATCAGGCTACAAATAAGACCATACACTGTGATTTGTTTATGTGTCTCTTAAGTCTCTGTAAATCTGTAGGTCCCCAGCCCCAAAACTCTTTGCTTTACTACAGTTTACTCGTGCACATTTCCTTCTTGAGACCTACAGTCAGCGATTTCTCCAGGATGCCCTGCTTCTTTTTAGTGGAAGGTGGTATTTCAAGATCACTGTCTCAGAGCTACCAGTGCTAGCTCTGAGTGGTTGGTCATTGTTTCTAGACAGAAAGAAGAAATTGTTTTAAGATAAAATGATCTTGTGTTTGTATCGATTCACCTTCAAAACTGTAAAATGACTTCTTAGGTCTTACATCTGTACTTTCTTCTTCCTAAGTTTAGAATCTTGGTTGTCAGCAACTCCAGATATGATAGAATTAGCATATCACATAATGACTCATTGGCTTTATCCCGCAATAGACACGCAACAGTCTCAGAATAACAATGCCAGTGCTGCCACTACCAGTATGAGGGTCAAAAGCAATTTAAGGTGGGTTTGTTTTTGTCTTTGTGTTTTATTTTTTGTGTCAGCTCAAAGCACTTAATGTAAGAAAATACTAGAAGAAAGAAGTACTGGAAGAAAACGGCCACACTGGAGTGGAAGGTTCTTTCTAAGCATGACCTAGAAGCCGTCATTAGAGAGTTGGCCAAGACCTGATTAATAAATTTGACCAAATTAAAAACTCGCTACAAAAAACTTACCACAATCAAAGTAAAACCTCCCCAGACTCACACCTGAGTATCTAAAGACACCTCACGCACCACCTATCCTGAGTAGCCGTCCCTGTGGCCTCTTGGCGCCCTGCCGGTGTACG
Source organism: Homo sapiens (assembly GCF_000001405.40). Taxonomy (NCBI): domain Eukaryota; kingdom Metazoa; phylum Chordata; class Mammalia; order Primates; family Hominidae; genus Homo; species Homo sapiens. The sequence goes on from NC_000004.12 coordinate 515,208, forward strand.
TTGAATTCCAGGGTGTGGAGCTGTTTGCTGTCTTTACAGATGAAAACACTTCGACCAAGTTGAGTTTCTGCTCCGAAATCATAGTGGATGGTGGCAGAGCAGTGGCCTAGGCCCATGGTGCTGACATCACAGCCATTCTTGCAAGGAGATGGTAGGATAGCCACTCACTGTTCAGGCTTGAGCTTTAGCCAGCAGGCAGATGTCCAGCTTGTCCAAGTTGATTAGAGCACCCGGCCCAGCTGAACCTGCCTCATTCTGCGCTCCCCTATAGAAGCACCCACAGCTGCCCAGGAGCCGTGAAGGGTTTATTTTCTCCATGAGCAACAGCATGTGTGCTCGTAGAGGGCAGAGCATGGGATGCTCCAAATCCAGAGGGGCCGGGCTGTCAGCGATCCCAGCCTCACTTCATTCTCCGGTTGGCTGTTGACCTTGCCAAAGTGACAGTCCCTCCGTGTCTGCGGGACCACCTGCTTCCTCTGTGTTCAGCCCATGCTCCGTAGCCCTTACTGTATGGAATTCCTCACATGAGCCTCTCTCGCAGCCTGTTGCAGGCTACTGAAGGAAAGACACCGTCCCTGGCATAGAATGGGTTCGGTAACTATCAACACAGCAAGCACAGGAGGTGATTCCTGTACGATTCTGTGTTGAGTGGTGTGAAGAGACGGATCATTTGGCTCATGTTAGTTGTAGAAGGTCTAATTCAAGAATGAGTACCATCTTACACTTTCTAGAAGTCTGTTACTTAAAATGTTTTCTTTCTTCTAGGTGATATCCGACATCCAAAGCACGTCCAACAGACGGATGTGGCTGCGACACTGGCGATAGCACTTGGCTTACCGATTCCAAAAGACAGTGTAGGGAGCCTCCTATTCCCAGTTGTGGAAGGAAGACCAATGAGAGAGCAGTTGAGATTTTTACATTTGAATACAGTGCAGCTTAGTAAACTGTTGCAAGAGAATGTGCCGTCATATGAAAAAGGTCAGTCAACTCACCGTTTCGAGCTCTGTCAGAGCTGTGTGTTTCCACTGAGCTCGGGTTTCTCCGATGTGTTTCTGTGGTATGCAGTTTGTCACAGGAGTATTTTTTCATCACTACTCTTTGATGATACAGATTGTGTTTCTGTTTTCTTAGAACTTTGAACTATCACCATTGGCAGCACCCTCAGATGCAGTTATCTAAAGTTCTTTCATAAATTTATTCATTCAACAACTATTTACCAGGATCTTGTTATGAATGAGAGGCTGTTAACAGGCACTGGAGACAGAGCAGGTACGAGGCTCTGCCCTCATGGAACCTTCCAGAGGGAGGAGAGAAAAGGAAGTGATCGATGGCCGATGGTGACGAGTACCTTAGGAAAAGAATAAACAGGGCTGGGTGCGGTGGCTCACGCCTGTAATCCCAGCACTTTGGGAGGCCAAGGCAGGCGGATCATGAAGTCAGGAATTGAAGACCAGCCTGACTAACACAGTGAAACCCCGTCTCTACTAAAAATACAAAAATTAGCCAGGCATGGTGGCGGGCACCTGTAATCCCAGCTACTCAGGAGGCTGAGGCAGGAGAATCGCTTGAACCCTGGAGGTGGAGGTTGCAGTGAACTGAGATCGCGCTACTGCACTCCAGCCTGGCAACAGAGCAAGACTCTGCCTCAAAAAAAAAAAAAAAAAAAAAAAAGAAGGAATAAACAGGCGTGGGGTGGGAAGTGAAGCGGGTGGGGGAGCCACTGGGGCAGGCTGGCCGCTGGCCATCTGGGAGGGCACATTACAGGCTGTGGGGGCAGCAGACAGGGTCCTCCATGGGGCGCACATTCAGGGGATGGTCAGAGCAGGGGCCAGAGTGGCAAGGGCAGGGCAGAGGAGATGGCATTAAGGGGTGAGGGCCACTGGGCGCTGGAAGGGCTTTCACTTGTATTCTGAGTTAAATGGGGAGCTGCTGCAGGGTTTGGTGAGAGCCAGAGTCTCCCACTTGCATTTTCGAAGGCTGTCTCAGGCGCCCTCGTGGAGGATTCTGCTTTGTGCTGTAGGAGGAGACCAGTCAGGAGGCAGTGGCTGTACTTCTGTGAGAGGTGAGGGTGGCCAGGGCCCAGGCAAGGGTGGTGAAGAAGTGGTTGCATTCTGGAAAGATTCTGAAGGTCATGAAGACAGGATTTGCTCACGTGCTGCGATATTGGGTACGAGCAGACCAGAGGCGTTAGGTACGACTCCGGGGCTTTCAGCTGAAAGCAAAGAGAGTAATAATTTCCTCAGGAGGGCACGACTTAGGAGGAACAGTTCTGCAAGGCAGGTGCTTGTGGGTGGGGGTGTTGGTGTCCAGGAAGCCATGTAAAGAAGTAATTTCAGGAAGCATGGAGTGGGCAGCTGCGTCAAAGGTTGGTATTGAATAAAATCAGGAATTGAGAACTGAGCTTTGGATCTGGCCATGGAGGGTGATGAGTGGCTTCGTCAGATGGAGAGTGGGGGAAGGCCTGGCTGGTACTAGGCAGGCGAGAGCCCTAGGCAGCAGACACTGCGACTCTAATGGGAGTAGGAGGTGGAGTTGCCTGAGGCAGGTGTGGGGCCAAGGGAGGTGCCAGGAGACAGCTACAGGAAGGGTCCAGGAGAGGAACGTTTGTCTCCCTGGGATGTCTTCAGACAATCGACTCTGACGCAGCCGCGTTCATCAAGAATCATGTTTGATACTGGGACTCCTTTGAGAGCCCGGAGGAAGTCGACTCCTATTTGGGGGCAGCAGTTAATGTGGTGTTGGCAGATTTCCCTACTTGAAGTAGAGGGATACTATTACTACCAAATAGAGTGAACGTCCACAAGCTTGCGCTGAGATGTAAACCGGCCTCCTAGAGTCACGTGTGGAAGACAAACCTGGCCAGCCAAGGAGTGCTTGGGAACCGGATGTGATGAGTGTCTGGAGGCCCCACCGAGCACCAGCTCTCACCCTGTGAGGTGGAGGACTTTGGCCATGGAGCCATTTTAGTCAAGACCAGGGACAACAGTGACTTGTGCTTTTCGTTTTTTAAAAAATAGTATGAGTTTGGTAGCTTTTGCATATTGCTTGTTTTGTTACTGTGTCCTTTTTTCTACGCTAAGAGTGATAAAAACACCAACAAAATTGGCCAGGTGTGGTGGCTCACGCCTGTCATCCCAGCACTTTGGGAGGCTGAGGCGGGGGGATCACAAGGTCAGGAGATCAAGACCGTCCTGGCTAACACAGTGAAACCCCATCTCTACTAAAAATACAAAAAATTAGTTGGGCATGGTGGCAGGCGCCTGTAGGCCCAGCTACTCGGGAGGCTGAGGCAGGAGAATGGTGTGAACCCGGGAGGCGGAGCTTGCAGTGAGCCGAGATGGCGACACTGCACTCCAGCCTGGGTGACAGAGCGAGACTCCATCTCAAAAAACAAAACAAAAAAGATACCAACAAAATCAAAACAACAATGGAAGGGTTATTTGCCTGTTCCAGAAGTAGTGGCTGGGGGAAGATGGGAACCACAGTGGATATGAGAGGAAACCAGCCTGTTAAAGGAATGCAGGAGCCTCCCTTGACTGAAAACACAGCCACAGCGTCTGGAACCCCCCCTGGCGGCCCATTGTCTACACCGTCGGGGATCCTTTTTCCTAAAACAAAATGGGGTATGTGTTCTGACACTGAAATACGTTTTAGAACCCACAGCCAGGCCCGTGCAGTCCCTCGGTGGCGTCCAGTCTGTTGGAGGCTTTGTGCCCACCCGGCTCTCTCAGTGTAGTGGGACCGGCTTTTTCTCACCTCTGGACTTTTGCACATGCTGTTCCCATCAGCTTGATGCTCTTCCTGCAGTTTTTTGCCTGGCGAATTCCTGGGTACCGTTTACATTTCAGCGTAAACATCAGACCTTCCTGGTCCAGCGCCCACTCCCAATCCAAAATCAGTTCCTCCCCATTACCAAAAATCCCTCATTGATACCCTCTACTTTTCCTTCCTGGGAAACTTGTAATTACAGCTGTAATGCAGTCACAGTTTGTAATTACGCTTGTGTGCGTGCGTGCGTGTCTGTGAGCCCTACTGGATCCAAGCCCCAGCAGGCAAGGATTGCACCTGCTTGCTCGCCATGCTGTGTCTCCCCTGGCACAGCGCCTGGCACAGTGCCTGGCACGTCGTCCACGCTCCATGGATATTTGTTTCGATGCATGCACAGGTGCACCCCCATAGCTTTGTGACTCTCTGATAGGCGGTGGGGTGTGGACACAGGCGTCCCCCCATCCAGGGTGGTAGGTGTAGCAATGAAGGATGCCAGCCCTGGAACCAGACTGCCTGAGTTTCATTTGCAGCTTTTACCCACTGGCACTGTGGCCCAGGTGCGTGACTCACCCTCTGTGTCTCAGTTGCCTCCTCTGGATAACAGTTCTGATGCTCATCCCTGCCTCATAGGGTCATTAGGGAGGTGAAACGAGCGAGCCGCCTAGTGTTGCTGGCTACTGGCACTTAGTGCAGAGCACCTGGTGCCGGCAGCAGTGGGGTGGGCCTGCAGGCGTGTGGGTTCATGCTTAGGGACTTGGTGCCTGCAGCAGTGGGGTGGGCCTGCAGGCGTGTGGGTTCACGCTCAGGGACCTGGTGCCGGCAGCAGTGGGGTGGGCCTGCAGGCGTGTGGGTTCATGCTTAGGGACTTGGTGCCTGCAGCAGTGGGGTGGGCCTGCAGGCGTGTGGGTTCACGCTCAGGGACCTGGTGCCGGCAGCAGTGGGGTGGGCCTGCAGGCGTGTGGGTTCATGCTTAGGGACTTGGTGCCTGCAGCAGTCGGGTGTGCTTGCAGGCGTGTGGGTTCACGCTCAGGGACCTGGTGCCGGCAGCAGTGGGGCGGGCCTGCAGGCGTATGAGTTCATGCTCAGGGACTTGTGCCACAGCACCCTGGACCTCAGTGGCTTGAGCGCCTGTGGCAGCTCTTTCACTGCTGTGATAGCAGGCCTGGGGCATGCAGAGCCACAGGGTGGGGCGAGCCTGCCAAGAGGCACAGCTGAGACCCTTCTTGGCATGGCTCTTCTGGAGTAGGAAGCTCATGTCAAATACCGAGGGGGTCTCAGGAAGGAAGTTGTTGCTTTGCAGACCAGTCTAATCACAAGTGAGTGTGGTCCCGGCAGAGGCTCACGCATCAGCCAGCTCGGGAAAGAAAGAACATCAGCTGTGCCGTGAGCAGCATGGCACTGTGGTTTAAAAGAGGTTGCCATAGCAGAGGGGCAGGGCTCCATCCAGAGGCAGGGCATCCATGCGCCCAGCAGAGCTCACCCTTGTGAGCAGAGAGGGCTGGAAGCTCTCTTTCCAAAGAGGTTGTAAGGAAGTAACCCAGGCTGCAGAACGGGGGACGTTAGAGGTCGGGAAGGGCCAGTCTGCACTGGGGAAGTGGGTGTGGCAGAGAAGGGTCAGGCCGCTGCCTGCCCAGTCCCCATACAGTGCTGTAAGGGTTAGAAAGACTCTAAAACCTGACTGTTGACATAATGCATTTCAGGATTGTTTTTATATTGCACGTTGACAAGAAGGAGAGAGTGGAAAGAGACAGAACAGGGAGAAGGAAGTAAGAGCGATGAGGGAGGCAGAGAAGGAGGCCAGGCAGCACAGGGGTCAGTCACTGCCATCCGCGGGTGTATGCCAAGGACCAAGGCCTGCATCGCCAGAGGGCAGATGGATGCACATTGGCAGCTTTCCCAGCTTTACAGAAGGCGTTGCAGACCCCCCACCCAAAGGAATGATTGATCTTCATTAAGCGTCAGTTGTGAAAAGTGAAGGCTTTGCCGTGTGCCATGCATAACCGAATACTTTGAGATTATGTATATAAATGTATGTTCACGGTGTGTGTGCGCGCCTGTAACCTTTCTGTCTTCTTAATAGATCCTGGGTTTGAGCAGTTTAAAATGTCAGAAAGATTGCATGGGAACTGGATCAGACTGTACTTGGAGGAAAAGCATTCAGAAGTCCTATTCAACCTGGGCTCCAAGGTTCTCAGGCAGTACCTGGATGCTCTGAAGACGCTGAGCTTGTCCCTGAGTGCACAAGTGGCCCAGTACGACATCTATTCGATGATGGTGGGGACTGTCGTGGTTTTGGAGGTACAGATGCTCACACAGTCATGGCTCAGGTGTTGCATTGATTTGATAACTCAGCCAAATATTTATAGTTTTAAATATATATATAGGTGTTATTAAAAATGGGAAAATATTAATTTTCTTGTTTAACTCTTTCGTGGTGTGTCCTGATTTGTGACAAGACCCAGAGTATTGTCAGTGTCAATTGGCCTCACTCAGTATTGCTGCAGGTGATAAAAAAAAATCATGCCATGCATTTTGGGGCAGTTAATTAGGAATCATCTTTTCCTGAGCTTGCTTTTCTGTTTTTACTGTGTGGACAGCTGACACGAGAGCGGGAGCTGGGCTTATTTTTAAGTGGGTTTCTCCAAGCCCAGCAGTCTGTGGATGCTGCTGTTTCTCTGTTCCAGGTTCTCACCCTGCTCCTGCTCAGCGTCCCACAGGCACTGCGCAGAAAGGCTGAGCTGGAAGTCCCACTGTCATCTCCTGGGTTTTCTCTGCTCTTTTATTTGGTGATCCTGGTTCTTTCGGCCGTTCACGTCATTGTGTGCACCTCAGCTGAAAGTTCGTGCTACTTCTGTGGCCTCTCGTGGCTGGCGGCAGGTGGGGTGATGGTGCTGGCCTCGGCGCTGCTGTGTGTGATTGTGTCTGTTCTGACCAACGTGCTCGTGGGTGGAAACACCCCAAGGAAGGTACGTACGGCTGGTTCCTGGGAGTGTGACGTAGTCCTTCTGCTCAGGTTGTTCTTGTTATTTCAGGCTGCCTTTCGTTTACCAGACTCTGGTTGAACACCTGGTGTGTGCCACGTGCTGGCAGTGCCCTGGACAGGGGGCCTCAGGGAAGGACGTGGAGCAGCCTTATCCCAGGCCTCTGGGTGTCCCGACACAGGTGTTCACATCTGTGCTGTCAGGTCAGATGCCTCAGTTCTTGGAAAGCTAGGTTCCTGCGACTGTTACCAAGGTGATTGTAAAGAGCTGGCGGTCACAGAGGAACAAGCCCCCCCGCTGAGGGGGTGTGTGAATCGGACAGCCTCCCAGCAGAGGTGTGGGAGCTGCAGCTGAGGGAAGAAGAGACAATCGGCCTGGACACTCAGGAGGGTCAAAAGGAGACTTGGTCGCACCACTCATCCTGCCACCCCCAGAATGCATCCTGCCTCATCAGGTCCAGATTTCTTTCCAAGGCGGACGTTTTCTGTTGGAATTCTTAGTCCTTGGCCTCGGACACCTTCATTCGTTAGCTGGGGAGTGGTGGTGAGGCAGTGAGGAAGAGGCGGATGGTCACACTCAGATCCACAGAGCCCAGGATCAAGGGACCCACTGCAGTGGCAGCAGGACTGTTGGGCCCCCACCCCAACCCTGCGCAGCCCTCATCCCCTCTTGGCTTGAGCCGTCAGAGGCCCTGTGCTGAGTGTCTGACCGAGACACTCACAGCTTTGTCATCAGGGCACAGGCTTCCTCGGAGCCAGGATGATCTGTGCCACGCTTGCACCTCGGGCCCATCTGGGCTCATGCTCTCTCTCCTGCTATTGAATTAGTACCTAGCTGCACGCAGTATGTAGTTACCAAAAGAATAAACGGCAATAATTGAGTCCTCATCTTTACTTTTGACTGCTTTAAGTTAGTATATTTAAGAGACAGTACTGTGATGCCAACTTTGTCATTTCAACAGAATTAACCATTTTAGTGGAAACGTTCTGGATTTCTAGAATATTCCTGGAGAAATTTGAGGTCTGGTTTGGTGGGATGTATTGTTGAGGTTCTTTGGTTTCAAGAAGCAGGCACTGGCGACGTGCATCTGAAGACCTAAGCTCTTCCAGAGCCTGGAAGCGGGAGCGTGGAGGGCCGGGTCCAGGAGCCTTTGGGCAAGCTCTCTGGGCTGCACCACTGCCCAGAGGGTTCTGACCATTTTCAGTCTTTGTCACTCACCTTGGGACTTGGAGTCCAGTGTGAGAACAGCTGGCTGGCCGTGCAGTGTCCGGCTCCCCTGCCTGGGCTGAGGGCGTCTCCACTCCTGCAGGCTGCGTCCCAAGAGGAAGGTTCCTGCCGTTGGAGCAGAAGGGGGCTGTTCCAGAGTAGGGGCCCAGGTGCTGGGTGTGAGGAACAATGGTGTGTGTCCAGGGCATTCTCTGCTGTGAGCAAGGACTTGACATGCAGCAAGATGTGTGTCGTTATCAGACCGTCTCTTACAAAGTGCACTTTCCTTTTCACAGAACCCCATGCATCCCAGCTCAAGGTGGTCAGAGCTAGACCTTCTTATTCTGTTGGGGACGGCGGGCCACGTCTTGAGCCTGGGCGCCAGCAGCTTCGTGGAGGAGGAGCACCAGACCTGGTACTTCCTTGTGAACACCCTGTGTCTAGCTCTGAGCCAAGAAACCTACAGAAACTACTTTCTGGGAGATGACGGTGAGCCTCCGTGTGGCCTCTGTGTGGAACAAGGGCATGACGGGGCCACAGCAGCGTGGCAGGACGGGCCTGGCTGTGATGTCCTGGAGCGAGACAAAGGCCACGGAAGCCCCTCTACCTCCGAAGTGCTCAGAGGCCGCGAGAAGTGGATGGTGCTGGCCAGTCCGTGGCTAATACTGGCCTGCTGCCGGCTGCTGCGCTCCCTAAACCAGACAGGTGTGCAGTGGGCTCACCGGCCTGACCTCGGCCACTGGCTCACCAGGTGAGAGCGTAGGCCCGTGGCCACAGGCCAGACTTTCTACGGCCGATTGGTCACCTGCCAAGCTCTTCTTTTTCTAAATTGAGACCATTTTTCATATTAAGAATGGGATAGTATTTGAGATCTGAAGAATTGGGAAAATACACTAAAACCAGTGTTTTACTGGATACTAGAATCAATGTTGAGAAGTGAATTTATTTGGGGGCTAGCCTAACAGGTTTCATTTATTAGTGCTGAACCACTGTAACTGTTCATGATTGAAAACTTGTGTTTCAGTGATCATTATATAGTAAAGATGCTATGTGGGGGTCAAGCTTGCTAGTGGCTTGTTCTGGACGCCTCGTCCATGCCTGGGCTGTGTGCCCCCCGCCCATCACTCAGTGTCTGCCTGTGTCAGGCCATTCGTGTGTTGCTATAAAGAAACACCTGAGGCCGGGTCACATGTAAGGAAAGAGGTTCATCTTGGCTCTCAGCTCTGCGGGCTGCACAGGAGGCATGGTGTCGGCATCTGCTCCTGGAGAGGCCTCAGGAAACTGGCGGTCATGGCGAGGGCAAAGCAGGAGCCAGCACTTCACGTGGCGAGAGCAGGAGAAAGAGAGGGATGAGGAGGGTGTCCGGCACTTTTAAACATCAGCTCTCTTGTGAACAGCCACAGCGAGAATGCGCTCATTACTGCGAAGATGGCACCAAGCCATTCGTGAGGAATCTGCCCCCATGACCCAGACGTCTCCCACAAGGCTCACTTCCAACACTGGAGGTTCAGTGTCTTTTTTTTTTTTCTGAAACGGAGTTTCACTCTGTCACCCATGCTGGAGTGCAGTGGCACGATCTTGGCTTACTGCAATCAAGAGATTCTCCTGTCTCAGCCCCCTGAGTAGCTGGGATTACAGGCGCCCGCTACCATGCCTGGCTAATTTTTGTGTTTTTAGTGGAGATGGGGTGTCACCATGTTGGCTGGGCTGGCCTTGAACTCCTGACCTCAAGTGATCCACCCACCTCGGCCTCCCAAAGTGCTGGGATTACAGGCGTGAGCCACTGTGCCCAGCCTGAAGGTCCAAGTTCAATATGAGATTTGCAGTGGACAAACATCTAAGCCATGTCATTCCCCCAGACCCCTATCCTGCTGCTGATGATCCCCAGGGCAGCAAGAAGGACGGGGTCAGCCAGGCAAGGCAGGCGCAGCCTCTGTGGGCCAGCTTTGCCCTTAGCAAAGCTCCTTTCTCCTCCCCATCCTCCCTTTTCTCTCTCCTCATCCTGAAGGGACAGAGCCGTGTGGGGGAATTCAGCCACCTCCTGAGCCTTTCATTGGCGACTGGAAAACCACCTAGAAAGTATAGCAAATCATTTCAAGCAAGGCTCGAAATAAGTAGAAGAAACCAGGACAGAAAAATAACTAAGATTTGCCGAGACTTAAATTTTAATTGTCTGGCAGTGAAGACTTAGGAAACTAAAGCAAAAGAAGCAGCACAATGAGAGCATCTGCGGCGAGAGTAACAGCAAGGGTTGCGGTCCCGTCACTGCAGAGAACTCCTGTAAGAAATGGCAGCAGAAGGAAAAGGGAAATGCCTAGTCCTAGTAATGAGGGCACTTCCAGTTAAATGACAGGGTGTGACTTCATACCTGCTGAGGCAGAGAAGCAGAATTGAATGACGAGACTCAGTCTTGGTGAGCACGTGAGGATTCCTGGGGCCACGTTAGTGGCACAGTTCTTTTGGAAGATACTTGTAAGTTTACATCAGAAGCTGCGAAATTACAGATTCTTCTGATTAAGTAATTCTTGTGGGAGGCTAAGCATTAACTAAATTACGAAAACCTCGGTTAGCCAAGTCATCGCAGATGGGTCCTTCTATCTGCCTGCTGTGTGCCTGCACGTTTCCTTTCCAGAGAAGCCCCGGAGAGGGGACTTTGGTTGGTCCCCACTCCAGAGGTGAGGAAGCGGAGGGGGGACGGGCTGCTGGGAGGTTGTGCGGGGCACGCCAGCATCGGGGTGGGATCCCAGGCATGTAGAGCAGCCGGGTGTGTCAGGGAGCTCCGTGTCCCGGAATAGCACTTTGACACCTTGTTTCTTACTTTCCTGGAAAATTAAAGCATTAGGAAAGAATTGGCTGGCTTTCCGCCCCACATGCAAGAGCCACCCCCAACCGCATTATCCGCGGTTTTCCTTACGCGAGGTCAACCATAGTCTGAAAATATGACAGTTATTTTGAGGCAGCCCACATTCATATAATTTCTATGACAGTAACAATTATATTGTTATAAATGTTCTATTTTATTATTATAACAATCCTGAAGATTGTGTAAAAACGCGTGCCATTTAAAAAGCAACAATACACAGACACCCAGGTACCCCTTCCCGGGGTGAGGCCCAGGCCCCCGTGTGGCCCCAGTCTCCCCGTCATCCTGGGAGGCTTTGAAGCGGGAGCTGCAGTGAAAGAAACAGAAGGGAGCCCGGCCTTCCCCACCCTCACACAGGCCAGGACTGGCTGGTGCTGCACCACCGCATCGCGGTCGGGACTCCGGGCTCTGCCCTCTGACAGGCCGTCAACCTCTGCACCATCTCCTCACCCAGGAGCGGGTGACAGCAGACCCTGTGAGGCCATGTGGGTCTAGGGACGTATCATGCGTTACTGAGTTAATGGGAGGAGGCAGGAGAGGGGAGGTGAGCTGGTAGGTGCAGGGCTGACCCCGAGAGGGTACCAGGGAACAAGAGGACGGTTTCTATTTGTCACCGCCTGGCCTCTGGGCATCCACATCTGATGGTGGGAGACCCGTTTGTGAATGAGAAGTGAGAGTTCAAGTTAACTGTCTTTTTTTTTTTTTTTTAATGAGTTCTCACCATGTGGCCCAGACTGGTCTCAAATTCCTGGCCTCAAGCGATCCTTCCGCATTGGCATCCTAAAGTGCTGGGATTGCTGGTGTGAGCCACCACACCCCACTGAGGTTGACCATCTTTTATTTGTTACACTTTAAGAACCTTTGTTTGAAAATAAAAATCAACAATTTCATGTAATCTTTGGTTTTTGGGAAAATCAGCTATTTTTTAATACCGTTCTTTGAAAGCCACTTGGTGTAGATTGATCTTGTCGCTGTTTGTTTACGTAATGCTGGCATTTTCCATCTCATTTCAGCTCTGACCACAAAGCCGAGCTCTCTGTCCTGGCTGCCCTCTCCCTCCTCGTAGTTTTTGTGCTGGTGCAGAGGGGGTGCTCCCCTGTGTCCAAGGCTGCCCTGGCGCTGGGGCTGCTGGGCGTCTACTGCTACCGGGCGGCCATCGGGAGTGTCCGGTTCCCGTGGCGGCCGGACAGCAAGGACATTTCCAAGTAAGTGCGTGGCGGACACGGGGTGCATAGAGCCACTTTACTGTTTGAAGAACTGGCGGACACGGGGCGCGTGGAACCACTTCACTGTTTGATGAACTGAGAAGACCAAGCCAGTCTTCAGAGCATTGGAGTTTGGTGTTTGTGAATTGTGATTGTGTCAACAGCTACTGGAGTGTAACTAAGAAAACCTCAACCAGCTGCGTTGTTAGCACTTTTTATGTTTTATGTGTTACTTTTAGGAGACAAATCACTTGGAAGTAAGATTTTTTAAATTTAAAATAAAACCTTCAGGGTGTGTGATGGGACAGACAGATGAGCGTGAATCGGTTTCTAAGTTAGTGGCAGCACGTGATGGCCAGGGTTCTGTTTTCCTGGTCAGGGTGTAATTGGTGATGAGGATGATGAGTGGATGTTTCCCAGCAGCTGGGAAATGAAGCTTGCTGGAAAATCAGACCGTCCTTGTAATTTATAACGAGCCCCCGTAAGGGGCCAGGAGCTCCTGTTGATTGGCGGGAGGGCTCAGTCAGGAGGACCATTTTATTTTCTTTGTGTCAAAGCAACTGTGTTTCTGATTTTAATTGTGTTGTGGTGGTGAACACAGGAGTGGGATGAGCAGAGGCCGTTCTGGAGGGCAGCTTGTAACATGTGGGTGACCCTCTATTTAAATTTAAATAGCTGTTTCCATTTATCTCAAGAATATAAGCAGAGGCAGGAGCCTGGGATGGGACAGAGGCATGTCCACTGAAGTGTCCTTCACAAAGTGTCCTTGCAAAAAGGAACAACCAGGGTAATTATCCAGCAGCAATACAGTGATCCTCCCAGTGAGGTCGGTGCTCTGACAGTGACCGTCCCAGTGAGGTCGGTGCTCTGATAGTGACCCTCTCAGTGAGGTCGGTGCTCTGCAGAGGGGTCTTCTGGCTGTTAGGCAGCCTATTTTCACAGAACAGAGAAGCATGTTGTGGAACAGGTATGACCCCAGCTTACTAATTGTGTACCTGTTTTTTTTTTCATACTTATATGAAAGACTACATACTTAAAATACTGGTGATTATATTTAGGACCTGAAATCATAAGATTGTGGTCTTGCTTTTTACTTATTTTTGTATCTTAGCGATGTCTAGAGTTAATAAGTGTTGCTTTTCTAATCACAGCAAGTCAAGGTGACTGCTGAGGGCTGTGGCCAGCCTGAGGGGTGGCCGTGGGGCTCCGGGGGCACCCCTGGAAGTACTTCCTGGCTGAGTGGGGAGTAAGGGGTGGGAGTTAGGGTGACCTGAGGCCTGGCTGAGGCAGTGAGAGTGTAGCAGGCCGTCATACGGGGCCGGGGCCTGGGGCAGAGAGGATGCTGACGTGCAGGTACCAGCGGTGTTCTGTGGAGATGTCTCAAAGGCTGTTGACTTTGGAATCTGAGACTTAGGGCTCATCCAAATGGATGTTACATTTGCGGGTGTGTGTTTAAGGTGCAGCGTATGAATAAATTCATTTCCTCACAGATCTATACACTGAATTTCAGCATCACTCATCTCAAGACCTTGGCCCTCTTCCCTTTCCTGGCCTGCTTCCTGCAGCATGTAATTTGCTAGTGTCCAGAACTAGCCAGTGTGCCTTTTCTTTCCACACGCACTGCCTGGTTCACCTTCTTCCTGTAAAGTGCCTCCGTCCTTTGTCCCCATCTGTCCCGATCGTAAATAGGTCCTGGCTACAGAGGCATCCTGGCTCTAGATCATTGTAACAGCTGCCGCTCTCCTGTCAGTCCCCCGGGCCCTGCCATCCACTGAGAGTCTGAAATCCTTTGCACTCAGTTCCTGACTGTCCTCCACTCAGAAGCCCAGGGATGGCTGGAGTGGAGGTGGAAGCGGGGTGGGCCTGGTTGAGCAGGATCAGACTCTGCCCGGCCAGGGGAGGAGGAGGAGGACCCACCAAAGGCCCTGGATGATGCCCCTCCTGCTCATCACCCTGCCTGCCCTAGCATCCTCTCGACACAGAAACCAGTCCCTTTTCTTCTATGAAACTTCTCCAGTGATTGTGACCTTTGCTGATTTCTCCCTTCTTTGAATGCAGATGGGCCTATAATTCACTCTTAACTTAGCACACACCTTGGCCTGTGGGGGTTGCCAGGTACCTGACCCCAGCTCCTCAGCCAGGATGTGGGCCCCTCCTGGCAGCCACACTGCCAGGCACATGGTATACAGTGCTCAGGCTGTTTGAACTAAACTGATCAAAGTTTACTTTCTTAATGTAAAAGCTTTCTAAGAAAATCTAATATAGGAAAATTCAGTTTTCACAATATTATGATATTAAAAATTACGATTATTTTAAATGATCAGATTTGTAGGCTGTGTGAAGCATTTCATTTACAAAATTTATTTAAAATATTATGTTTTAGGAACATACGTGTTTTGTAAGATGAAATTTTTTGGTAATTGTATCCTTTACAGATAACTATCATAAGAGTACTTAATTTTACTGAGCTTACTGTGTGCCAAGCACTCCCTGCATTCCCTTGCTTAATTCCTAGGATGACTTTGTGAAGTGTAGAACCATTTTCTCTCCATTTCACAAATAGCAAAGCTGAGGGTCAGAAGTCTTGATTGACACGCCCGAGTAGGAGAGCTAGTGAGCAGAGCAGCAGGGCTCGGACTGAGCAGAGCTCTGCCTTTTCTCAGAGCCCGCGGGTTGGATGACTGCACCACTGCACGCGTGTGTGCCTGTGAATGTGCAGGTGCTTATTTACCTATAACTGCATGTATGTGTACCTGTAAATGTGCAAATCCTTCTTTAAATCTGCTCAGTTGTGCAATGAACATTTATGAACTTACAGCAGTTTCTTAGAGTTGACTCTTATACTAGTGCGTTGGGTTTTTTTTAATTAACTGCAAAGCAGGCGGGCCACGAGGGCACCGCTTGGGTCGTGCCACCAGATGAGCCAAATGAGCAAGATCTCCCCGAAGCCAGCCCCAGCGGAAGAGTCTGCACGAGGACACACCTGTGGGCCTGTGGCGGCGGCTCCTCAGGGCTGCTGTGCGGAGGAGACATGCCCACTGCCATGACAGGACCTGGGGGGTAGGGAGGGTGCCGCGGCTCCTTTAGTCAGCAGTGCTGGACATTTACTGGTTCCCTGGGTAGATAGGTGTGTTTTTCATGGGAAAATGTTTTTGAATTTTTCTCACTGGTGCTAATGAATCTAACTTGTTTTGCTCTTTTTTAGGGGTATTATTGAAGCTCGTTTTGTTTATGTCTTTGTCCTTGGCATTCTGTTCACGGGCACCAAAGACTTACTTAAATCTCAAGTCATTGCTGCAGACTTCAAACTCAAGACTGTAGGTTTATGGGAGATATATAGTGGATTAGTTCTTCTGGCAGCCTTGCTCTTTAGACCACATAATCTTCCGGTCTTAGCATTTAGCCTCTTGATTCAGACTCTAATGACTAAATTCATCTGGAAGCCCCTGAGACACGATGCAGCTGAGATTACTGTGATGCATTATTGGTTTGGTCAAGCATTCTTCTATTTTCAGGTAGGTTTTCATTATTATCATGGGTAGTAGACTTCATGTTTTACATATTTATTTTAAATTTTTCTTTGAGAAAATGTTCCCATAAGTTGGAAAGTGACTGTCAGTGTGGCATGGTGAATTACGCTGAACTCTCGTGTATTTTATAAGACAAAGTACAGCCGGTTGTTTAAGACACGCGTCCCAGGTGTGGATGTGTGGGTGCTTAAGACAGCAGACTGCTGCTTTGCTGGGCCAGGCCTGGGTTTATTTATTACAAGCAGTTCAGGAAGCACAGACATCACGTTGTTCACTTGCTTCACTGATGAATGTAATAATTGTTCTCGTTCATGCCCTTTGCCCCTGGTGTCGGGGCTGTCCACACTGGGGACCATTGGTGCCCCCATGATTATTAGCTCCCTGAAGCCTGGTGGGTCGTCAGGGCTTCTGTCCGGTGTTTAAAGACCCATCCCAGACAAGCCCAAACCACCTCAGTTTGAAGAGACATAGAGGGACAGGCAGACGGGGCCTCAGAGGGATCCAGCCTCATCCAGCCTCCCGGCAACCTCAGGAGAGCAGGCCAGATGGGGCCTCAGAGGGATCCAGCCTCATCCAGCCTCCCGGCAACCTCAGGAGAGCAGGCACAGCCCTGCTGGTTCCCTTCCAGTGCCGACTCCCAGGCTGAGTCGCTTTGCAGCAGCTGAACGTCGTGGTTGCATTTTGGTCTCTACCGTGAGGTCTGTATTTTCTTGGTGTGCACCGGTGTCTGCCTGTCCGCTGTCTCGTACCCAGGAGGCATGTGCAGTTCTTTGTGTCCCTACAGGGCCTCTCTTCCATCCTCTTCTCCTTTCCTGGTGCTCCCAGCCTTTCCCATGGAACAGCCCACAGTTGCAGGATTTTCTGTCTTTATGTCTGTCCCCCTGATCCTGAAGCCCAAAGGTGGTAGGCGTGAAGTTACAGAAGTCTGTGTCTTCAGGTACAATGAGTAGGTGGCCAATGGCCAGCTTCTTAGCCCCGTCCTGGTGCTTCCCCGACCCTTCTGATCCGCTCAGGCCCCTGTCCTCCTCGTACACAGCTGCAGCTCTCCCTGCCATGTCCACGCAAGGCACAAGGGTGTCCCCAGCAGAACTGCAGGCCTGGATGCTGGTATCCAGCACGTTCAAGCCAGGTGGCCTCCGGCAGGCTCTTGCCACACCTTCGTTTCCTTATCTGTAAACCAGGGATAGTGGTCTCCCGGCCTCCCCAGGACCCAGCCCTCCCTGGTCTCCCCACCTCCCCGTGGCCCCTGTTTTGAGGCTGAGTCCGCTGCCCCTCAGTGTTAGATCTCCTCTGAGAGGAACCTGTGGCTTTGCTGCCCATCCCTACTTCCTGCCCTCGACTGGGCAGTTCCTTAACAGATCAGGGATCAGGAACATGACTGCCCTTGCTCATCTGCTGGCCCTCCACATTTGCCCAGTCCCTGGGTCTCTCTGCCTCCGTTTCCTCCCTGTTTGATGAGGATAATCACGAAGCACATCAGGACTGTTGGGTTAGATGAAGTCATGCAGGTAAAGCTGCTGTGCAGCTGCAGACATGTCAGCATGGCTGGCAGTCTCTGTGCTTGGCTGAGCCTGCTCAGAGCCACAGTGACCTCCTAGGTGTCCTCCTCCCCTGCTCCCATCGTGGCATCTGGGACTCTGTCCCCCTGCCACCCTCCAGGGTCTCCTACTGCTTCTGCCTGTTTGCTCTCTCCTCAGTCTCCCTGCAGAAGAGCTTCCAAGTGGAGGAGACACATGACTGGGGTGGCACCGTCCAAGAGAGGCAGTAGCTGCGAGTCCAGTGGGTCTCAGGGCAAGCCAAGTCAAAGGGCTGGGGCCTAAGACAACAGGGATAGGAGTCAATGCACATCTGTGAGATAATGGGGAAGCAGCATCAACATGACTTGGGGACCCCCTGGGCCCACAGCTCTCTGCATGGAAAGGGAGGAAGGAGCCAAGCTGGTGAGCACCCAGCCAGTGTTTTGTGGACATGAACAGTTCTGGTTCTGGAGAGGGATCTTCGTTGAGCTTGATAGAGACATGTGCTGTCGGACTGTAGATGTCATGAGTTTCTGAGGAAAGGTCAGCATGACAGGCAAGTGACAGACATCAGAGTCAGTAAAGATGGAGCGTGGGGAGGCGGGGCCTGGGAGCAGAGAGGAGGGGCCTAGGAATGGAGAGGTGGGGCCTAGGAGTGGAAGGGTGTGGTCTTGGAGTGGAGAGGCGGGGCCTGGGAGCAGAGAGGAGGGGCCTAGGAATGGAGAGGTAGGGCCTAGGAGTGGAAAGGTGTGGTCTTGGAGTGGAGAGGCGGGGCCTGCGCAGAGAGGCAGGGTCTCTCAGAAGACCCCTTTTTGGGATCCAGAATCACTAGGAGCAGGGTAAGCTGTGTGGCATCAGCGCTTGCATCCTGCAGGGAGTTACCTACCAGGGCTGGGCCGGGACTGGCCAGAACCTTGACAGATGAAGTTTGACCAGACCAAGTGAGTCCTCATGGTCTGATACGTAAGCCAGATGTGAGTTACCAATTTGCACCAGGGGCTGTGCTCCCCCAGTGGCTGGCCTGCCCTCCACCATATAACCCACTGGCAGCACCTCACCGTAGATGGGACCTGGCTGGGTGCCCGTTCTAGTCTTCAGCCCAGCTCCCCGCTTGGCTGGGCCCAGCAGCTGGCCTCTCAGGGCCCTATGCGCCCCTCGGATGGGGGTCCTTGAGGGGAGCTTCATGTGCTTGTCTTAAGTCGATGGGTCTGGACAAGGGTCTTAGATGTGGCACAGTCAGCCAGCCGGTCTGTGTGTGCGTCCCTCTTCAGAGGGGGCCCCAGCTTCTGCACGGTCCGCTCACGTGCCCTTCCGCAGCCTGGGCACTGCAGGCAGGGGGAGGGGGTGCCACCTAGGCAAGGCCAGCTCGGCAGTCTGAAGGAACGGCTGGGCAGCCACCTCTGACCACACGTGTGTCCGTGCCGGCGTGGTTATCTGGGCTGCCTACACAGTTCACGCTAACATCGTGGCTCACGCTAACATCGTGGCTGTTGATGCCACGTGTTGTGAGGCCTTTGTCAGCTCTTCTCCTGTATTCCAGGGCAACTCCAACAACATTGCCACCGTGGACATCTCCGCAGGCTTCGTGGGCTTAGACACCTACGTGGAAATCCCAGCCGTGCTCCTGACAGCGTTTGGGACGTACGCAGGGCCTGTGCTGTGGGCCAGCCACTTAGTGCACTTCCTGAGCTCAGAAACACGCAGGTGAGGCGCCTCTCTGCCGTCAGCACAGTTCTGGGGGCCGGCTGCCTGGTTTTAAGGGTCGTACTTTGTTCCAGATGCAAGGGGGTCTAAGCTCCATGGGTCCAACAGTCTTTTCAACAGTTTTCTTTTCCTTAAATAGGGAACGGTCCAAAGCTCAAGGGCCAGAAGCCGGCCTGAGGTGTCCGTGTAGGGCCAGGGTCGGGTCTGACGGGGCCTCGCCGGGCTCCCCAGGGTTGGGTCTGACGGGGCCTCGCTGGGCTGCCCAGGTCACACCAGCACATGGTTTCTAGACACAGGAAGGAAAATTCCTTTTCCCGCCACTCCAGGTTTTTCTGTTTGCTGGTGGCCAGATGGAGGGCGGGTCGTCCTTCCCCTTTGGGGACATGAAGATAAAAGACGGCTCTCGGCCCCCAGAGACCCTGCTGGAGCGCGCAGGACCCTGGAGAAGGCTCCTGGCCAGGGCCGTGGCTCTTCTGAGTCGTCCTTGAGTAGCTAGGGGCATGTCCCTTCCACACATAAGCTGATTTGGGTTGGAAAAACAGGGTGGGGGGCACAGGGAAGTTCAGAGACGTGAGCCCCGTCCCCTGTCGCTGAGAAGTCCCTTCAAGCTGCGTCTGGCCTGCCCTCCATGCTCTCCTGCCTGGTCCACCTCGTTCCCTCCAGTGAGCCTGAGGTCTCCTCTCCAACACCCACCCGTCTCCTGGCAGCTTCGTGCAGAAGTTCCACCGGGGGGACCCCAGATCAAGGGTGCAGTGCAGCCCCTCATCCACATCCCCATCTCCTGGCAGCTTTGTGCAGATGTCCCCGGGGGATCCCAGATCAAGGGTGCAGCCCCCCATCCACACACCCGTTTCCTGGCGGTTTTGTGCAGAAGTTCCCCCCGGGGGACCCCAGATCAAGGGCGCAGCCCCCCATCCACATGCCCGTCTCCTGGCGGTTTTGTGCAGAAGTTCTCCCGGGGAAACCCAGATCAAGGGTGCAGCTCCCCATCCACACGCCCGTCTTCTCTGCAGCGTTCCCACCGCCGCACACTCTCTGCTTCCTCATCGTATGTTTCTTGCTCCCCCAAGAAAGGAGGCTTTGTGAGGCAGGGGCTTCACCCGCTCTGTTCACCATAGCAGCCTCAGTGCCTGGCCTGGCGGAGTCAGGTGCTGAGTGGAGTGTGGCGGGGGTGGGTGATTCTGTACCTCCCAACTTGGTCTGGCAGAGACCCCAGGGCCTGCAAAGTTATTCGACTCACATGTGCCTGGTTTTCCCATCTGTAAAACGGGAGTTGCTGGGAGCTCAATGGGGGACACTTGGAAGCGTTCACAGCCTTTGGAGGGGCTAGTGGCCCCTGCGGCATCTACTAGAGTGCCCCGTGCTCCACGCTTGTCCCTGCTGCCAGCCACAGTCACGAATCCCCGCAGCGCCTATGCATTTCTGCGTGTGCTGAAACCGCGCACCGCGGCCCGGCCTCCTCCCGGGCAGGCGAGCGTCTGGGACACTGACTGGACCAGCCTCCCGCACTTTCTGGGTGGCTTTGGGCAGGTCAGCCAGAGCTTTGCGTGTGTCCTGTGGTGACCGGAGGCCCCAGTCCTGCCGGGAGCCCCAGGGAGCGCGCTGTGGCCTCTCCGCTGAGCAGTGAGGCTGGAGGGCTCCTACGTCCTCCCATGACTGAACCGTCGCTCTCGCGGTGCTGACTGCTGAGCCCCCGTGCCAGCCCTCCCAGGACACTTGGAGGCTTCTCCTGCCGAGCTGCCGGCGACTCCACAGAGCATCTGCACGTTTCTGTGGTCCCGCTCCGCCCTCTGGCTTCTGCTCCACAGCCTCCTTCACCAGGTCATCCTCTCAGCTCCACGCAGGTCCTCTCCCCGCCTCACTCCCCTCCCCAGACCAGCTCCTGAGACCCAGGCCACAGGGACCCTTGGCCTTGCCTCCAGACCCAGATGCCCAGCCCCCTGTCGACATTCCGCAGAGGTGTCCTCGGGCTGACAGGACTGAGGAGCCCTTTACAGGACATGCGGGCAGGGCCCACGCACCCAGGCACGCACACCCGTGCCTGCCTTTGAGCTTTTCCCACCCTGAAAGGAGCCCCTCGCCGCTCACGTCCTGTGTTGAGGCTCTCACAGCATGAGTGCTTCGGAGCCAGAGGAACCGTCCACCATGGTGGAAGTGTTCGTGCCCCGCAGACTCGGCGGGCCCGGGCTGGACCCCTCAGTCGCTCACAGGTTTCCGTAAGGGGTCGGGGGAGCATTGGCCTTGCTTCAGCAGTGATAGGCGCGTGCCTTCCCACAGCGGACATGGAGCCTTTCCAAGGGGAGAATCGCTCCCTGGCCAGACTGCAAGCTTCCCGGGGACAGGAATGCCTGAGATCCACCTGCCTTTTCTTCAGGTGCCTGTGGACGCTTGACACGCCCACTTTGGGGCAGTCTGTGGACAGACCCCCGTAATTTACAGTCACCGCTGAGCTTGTCATCACAGCAGAAAGCTGAGGCTCTGCGGGCGGAAGCCACCAACAGACCAGCTTGGGAGACACCCACTGTGGCGGCGCTGTGTGGAGACGTCCTTCCAGACTTCGATTCTGCATAAAAACAAACATCTGCCACGAGACCCCTGCTCGGCGTCCGCCTGTCTCAGCAGCTGCCCTGGGACGTCTTTCTCTGACTTGGTTTTGAGGCCAGCCGCGTGCTCACACTGGCCTTACAGAAACAGGAGACGCCGTCCTCGGCCGTCTGGGGTGGGCTGTCAGCACGTCGTGTGGTCAGGTGTCAGGACAAGCGGGCGTGAGCGCGTGGAGGTGCATCTGCCTCTGCCCTGGAGAACGGATGTGCTACAGCTGTGCGCGGCGTGATCAAGCACCTGTTGGGTGGACGGCACACCTCCCAGTGGCCAGCTGGAGACGGAGGGCTGGAAGTACTTGCCCGGCTCCTCTCTCTGTAGGTTTGGTCTTCGGCCTTGCAGCTGCCCTGGTGCTTGCAGATTGCGGTTTGATGGACCAGGCACTTTTCATCTCTTACACAGCCAGGCACGTTTGTGTTTGGGAGGGAAAAAGACAAATATTAAGTGAGGTGAAAGCATTTTGATCAACTGGAGAGTATCATGATATTTTTCCTAGTCAAGAAGCATTTCTCCTTCATTTTATAGGGTTTTCTTCTTCCCTTTTAAAAGTTTAAAGCATCAAGTTTTACTCATGGTTTCTATTTTGTTTCAGTAGAGTAGGAAAACTATAACCAGGTCTAAATTGTAGACAGAGAAAATATGTTTCCAAAAGGTCAAAAACGTGGCCTTGAGTGGTTGGCGACCCTCTGTTCCAGGGGCTGGCACCCCGGGCTGCCTGCTCCCCTGCAGCGCAAATGGCTCTTTGCTAAAGTGGTGGGAACAGCAAGCCGCCATCTTCTAGGTGGGTAACGCTATAAAGTGTTAAACTGAAGTCAAGGTGGTGCCATGTCTAAGCCACAGCTTCCCCATGCGCTGTCTGGGTAGGATGGGGCCACGGCCCACTTAGCCACGAATCTTCCTGCCCAGTATGTTCACCTTTTCCTGGGTGTTGCTGTCACCAGGAGGTGTATTGAGGATACCTTGGGGTCCACCTCCCTGTGGGGTCCCCGGCCTGTGGGGCTGGATACCAAGTGGTGACCAGCGGTACGGGTTTGGGGGACCCGCCTAAGGAGCCAGGGCCTGGCAAGGAAAGCAGTGAAAGGACCAGAGGCACCGGCCACCCACCGGGAGATCCCAGGGTCTGAGTATTTTACTGGAGCACATGGCGGGCTGAGGTGAAGGAGTGTTTGGAGAAGCCAAGAGGAGGATGGGCCCCTCCAAGGCCTGAGATGGGGAGCCGGTGGGGGGCTGAGGTGAGGCTGTGGAGGGGCCAGAGACAGCCCCGTCCTTGGCCCTTCGTGGCTGTTGACACCCTTTCCTGAGCAGTGAGCACTGAAGCAGGAGCCACTTACAGGACACCCTCAAGTAATACCTGGTGGAGCTGCTGGGCTGACAGGACTGAGGAGCCCTTTACAGGACATGCATGTGGGGCCCAGACACACATACGTGCCGACAGGACTGAGGAGCCCTTTACAGGACATGCAGCGGGACCCACACACCCACACACACGTGCTGACAGGACCGAGGGGCCCTTTACAGGACATGCAGCGGGACCCACACACCCAGACACACACACGTGCCGACAGGACTGAGGATCTGGGGGCTGCCTCCGGGCCCTTTCTAACAGAACTTGATCAGAGGTCATGGATGAGGCATGGAAAGTGCCCAAATAATGTAATTTATCATTTTTCAATAATCACAGACTCAGGGAAGTTGCTTTGAGGAAGAGATTTATGTAGTGTGTTGGTGGTTTCAAAACTAGGGGGTACATTAACATACTTCGAGGGGTGGCTCTTATTCCGAGAATTTGCTCAGCAAACCCCGCTGGGCCAGTGTCCCCAGACCAGACAGTCCTCCACACCACAGCAGGGAGAAAAGCTCAGAACTTGTATTTATGTTTATTTGTATCTCACCCTTTTGTGATTTTCTATTCATCGTTTGTATTTTATAATGCATGTGATATAGTAGCACATGCATATATAATTTTTAAATAACTGCAAAGTCTGGGGGGTGCGTTTTTCAGAGCTGTTTTACAGATGACGGTGGCAGACAGTGGCTGAGCAGTTGGGGCTGCAGCTCATGTCCCCTCGGGCACCTCCGTGCCTTCTGGAGACTCAGACCTCTGCCCACCCCAGACCAACCACATCCAGATTTCTGTAGGGGGGGCTCCAGAGTGGCACTTCCAGCACATACTGTAGGTGATTTTTACATACAGTCAAGTTTCAGAAGCATTTCTGGAGAGCTCAAGGTGTGTGTGGGGGGGGACATGGTGGCCCTCACCCATCCTTCTGTTTGCTTCATTTTTCTTCATGAATTTGTCTCTTCCTGACATGTTACATATCTGGTTTCTCCTGCCTCCTTCACTAGAACACAGCCTCCAAGGGGGCAGGTTGGGTTTTCCCGTCTCCAGCGCATCTGGAGAGGCACCTGTCCCAGCACCATAGTGACTGGATGTGTGTGCAGAAGAAGGAACGCGGTGCCCTCTACTCCAAGGGCAAGAGCTACTGGAGTCTTTTTGAAAATAAAAGTGTTGTTACATGTGTGATATGTAAGTGGCATGTGCTAATACACATTTTCTTTCTTATTAACAGTGGTTCAGCACTGAGTCATGCTTGCTTCTGCTACGCACTGATTTGTTCTATTCCAGTTTTCACGTACATCGTTTTGGTGACATCTCTGCGTTATCATTTATTTATATGGAGTGTATTTTCTCCAAAACTTCTCTACGAGGGAATGCACCTGCTCATTACAGCTGCTGTCTGTGTATTCTTCACGGCAATGGATCAAACCAGACTCACACAGTCTTAGACTAAGCTGAACACTGGAAAAATAATACATGCTTAAAGTCTGCTGTTATTCTAAAATGAAAGATATGAATTCAACAAAGTTGATGGATAACTTTCTTTGACTGCTCTACCTGAATTTAGACTAAGCAGTAAATAGTTTAATAAAAGATCACTTTAATATACAGTTTGTATCATATTTTCCCCCATTGACAATCACTCTAGAAGCTTCTGAACTTTTAATTTCCTCTGAATAAGCTATGGTGTGACCCAAATATGTGTGTTTAAATCAATGAATGAAAAGGTTCTGGACTTTGTTAGAGTCCAGGAGCTCTGTGGGAGGAGGCACCCAGATTACCTTAGGGAGCACAGAGCTCTTAGAATCCTACAAACCACTGAGGGCCCCAAGGCGCTTTGGTTTATGAGGGTTACATGTATCAGTGTTTATGGCATTTGAGATGAAAACTAAGATAAAAAAGTATTCATTTATAAGGAATCTATTGCATATTAATGAAACACTTGAAGGAAAAGTAACTATATTTTCCAAAACAAAAAAATTCAGTGAGACCCAGCACTTTGGGAGGCCAGAGTGGGGGTATCACTTGAGCCCAGGTGTTTGAGATCAGCCTGGGAAACATAGTGAGACCCTCATCTCTCCAAAAACTTCAAAAAATTAGCTGGGCGTGATGGCACACACCTGTGGTCCCAGCTACTCAGGTGGCTGAGGAAAGAGTATTGTTTCAGCCGAGTTCAAGGCTGCAGTGAGCCATGATTGTACCACTGTACTCCAGCCAGGACAACAGAGTGAGACTCTTGTCTTTAAAATGAAAAAATAAATGTTTAATGAGAAAAGTGATAATGTTTTACATTTTTACAAACCTCTTTAATGCCTGGCCTAATTGAAGCTAGTTGGATTTTGTGTTTGACCTGTTGTGATATGTGTGTTTGGTTACAATATAAGAAGAAAATCGGCTGGGCAGAGTGGCTCACACCTGTAATCTCAGCACTTTGGGAGGCTGAGGCGGGGGCAGATCACCTGAGGTCAGGAGTTCAAGACCAGCCTGGCCAACATGGTGAAACCCTGTCTCTACAAAAATACAAAAATTAGCCAGGCATGATGACAGGTGCCTGTAATCCCAGCTACTTGGGAGGCTGAGGTGGAAGAATCGCTTGAACCAGGGAGGCAGAGGTTGCAGTGAGACAAGATTGTGCCATTGCACTCCAGCCTGGGTGACAGAGTGAGACTCCATCTCAAAAAATAATAATTATTATATATATATGAAGAAAATCCAGCCTCAGATCAGTAGTTGGAAAGAGGAGGCATATTTTAATGTCCTTTTTCTGATTATTGTGGATGTTCTTTTTTGATACCAACACCAAATCTTTTTTGATGCCAACACCAAAACTCAACAAATGTTAGTTTGCTGAAGGTTAGTTGGACAAAAAGAAAAGAAACGAGTGCATATAAAAACTGGTGAAATGCTACTGAGGGCTGTATTCGAATTAATAGAATTGTGCCCACATCATTTTCCTGGTATTTATCTGGTTGTGTAAGATACCATCATTGGGGGGAGGTGGGTGAAGGATATGTAGAACTCTCTATACTATTTTTGCAACTTCTTGTGAGTCTTCAACTATTTCAAAACAAAAGTTATTTTGAAAAAGAAAAGGTTAGCTGCCATGTGGAATCTGAAATCATATCAATGAACTTTCATGTCCTGATGCATTACGACACATTGACCTGTCTTGCACCCTGAATGGAACTTTTACCCAGATGTGATTCTTAACATCTGCATTGTTGTTTGGAAAATAACAGTTCACTGGATGATAGAAATTTCCAAATGTTGTTCATTATTCCATACCAAAATCACTTATTTATATCACAACCGAGCTCATCAGAAAAGTCTTTAAAGAGTGAATGGTGGCTCACGCTTGTAATCCCAGCACTTTGGGAGGTTGGGGAAGCAGGAGGATCGCTTGAAGCCTGGAGTTTGTGACCAGCCTGGGCAATGTAGTGAGACCCCATCTCTAAAAAAAAAATTTGAAAATTAGCCAGGTGTAGTGGTATGTGCCTGTAGTCCCAACTACTCAGGAGGCTGAGGCAGGAGGACCACTTGAGCCCAAGAGTTCAAGGCTGCAGTGAGTTAGGATTGCACCGTTGCACTCCAGCCTGGGCAACAGAGCCAGGGCCCATCTCTAAAAAAATAAAAATGTGAAGAAAAAAAATCTCACCATCCAGAAGAAACAGTCACTAACAGTTAGTGAATACAGTTCACTAAATGGAAGAAGCAGGGAGGATGCATAGATGCATACATGAAAATCATACTATATATTTATAAATATTTTATATAAATATATATACAAATAATATATAAATATATATACAGATAATATTTATATAAATATATATGCAAATATATAAATATGTTCATGCAAATAATATTTTATATAAATATATGCAAATAATATTTTGTATAAATATGTATGCAAATAATATTTTATATAAATATATATGCAAATATTTTATATAAATATATGCAAATAATATTTTATATAAATATATTTATGCAAATATTTATATAAATGTATATACAAATAATATATAAATATATATTTATGCAAATATTTATATAAATATTTATACAAATAATATTTTATATAAATATATATTTATACAAATTATATATAAATATTATATATAACTTTTTAATCCAAAGTAGTTATATAAGTTTTTAATTTAACAGGAAAAGTGAAACCAAAGAAAAGGCTGAATTTTGAATAAATGTTTCTTCACTACAAGAAATATACAATATTCTTTTAAAATTAATTTCTTATAACATCTATTAAGAGAGCTGGTAGCTAACAGAGAAAGGGCAGCTTCTCAGGCAGAGGATACACAAAGCCTTGTTTCAATTGGAAGGCTGATTGTCCACATCAAAGAGTTTCTGCCTCTTCATATCTGTAACTATGGAATATTGATAGGACAATGCAATGACAAGATTGATACTGTTTTAAAGTATTGTTTATGCTATACTTTAATTCATTTATCCTCAGTGGAGCCCTGTGACCAAGTGGATTTTTTTTGTAACACCAATAACTTGATCAACTTTGACAATACAATCAAAAGATGTTTGGAGGGGAAAACACTAGAGGGATCATTACATGGTAAAGTGATTTTTCATCCATTCGGCCACTCTATGTCTTTTGATTGGAAAGTTCAATCCATTTACATTCATTATTATTTATAAGTAAGGATTTACTCCTGCCATATTACTTGTTTTCTGGTTGTTTTGTGGCCTTCTTTCTTGCCTTCCTGTCTTCCTTTAGTGAAGGTGATTTTCTCTGGTGATATTATTTAGTTTCTCACTTTTTATTTTTTGTGTATCCATTGTATGTTTTCTGGTTTGAGGCTACCATGAGGCTTGCAGATACTATCTTATAACCCATTATTTTAAGCTGGTCACAAGTTAGCACTGTTTGCATAAACACACAAAAAGACAACAATAAAAAACTCTAGTTTTTATTAGTCCCCTTAACGAAATTAGAAAACACCAAGCAGAAATTCTGGAGCTGCCTTTGTCCCCCTTAACTTTGTCCCCCTGCTTTTTAGCTTTTTGTTGTTTCTATTTATATGTTAATTGTACTGTCTATGTCTTGAAAAATTATTTTTTATTGGTTCATTGTTTAGTCTTTCTGCTTAGGATAAGGGTATTACACACCACAGTGGGAGTGTTATGATATTCTGTGTTTTTCTATGTACTTACTATCACCAGTGAGTTTTGTACCTTCAAAGTGATTACTTATTGCTTATTGACACCCTTTTCTTTCTGACTGAAATAGTCCCTTCAGCATTTCTTATAGTACAGGTCTAGTGTTGATGAAATCCCTCAGCTTTTGTCGGGGAAAGTTTATTTTTCCTCCATGTTTGAAGGATATTTTCACCAGATATACTATTCTAGGGTAAAACTTTTTTTCTTTCAGCACTTTAAGTATGTCATGCCACTCTCCTGGTCTGTAAGGTTTCCACTGAAAAGTCTGCTACCAGACATATTGGAGTTCCATTATAGGATATTTGTTTATTTTGTCTTGCTGCTTTTAGGATGCTTTCTTTATCCTTGATCTTTGGGAGTTTGATTATTAAATGCCTTGAGGTAGTCTTCTTTGGATTAAATCTGCTTGGTGTTCTATAGCCTGCTGGTACTTGGATATTGATATATTTCTCCATGTTTGGGAAGTTCTCTGTTATTATCCCTTTGAATAAACTTTCTGCCCCTGTCTGTACCTCCTCTTAAAGGCCAATAACTCTTAGATTTGCCCATTTGAGGCTATTTTCTAGACCCTGTAGACATGCTTCATTTTTTTTTATTCTTTTTTCTTTTGTCTCCCCTGACCGTGTATTTTCAAATAGCATGTCTTCAAGTTTATTAATTCTTCCTTCTTCTTGATCAGGTCTGTTATTAAAGGACTCTGATGCATTCTTCAGTATGCCAGTTGCATTTTTGAGCTCCAGAGTCTCTGCTTGAATCTTTTTAATTATTTCAATCTCTATGTTAAATTGATCTGATAGAATGCTGAATTCCTTCTCTGTGTCATCTTAAATTCATTGAGTTTCCTCAGCTATTTTGAATTCTTTGTCGGGAAGGTGACATATCTCGTTTCTCCATGATTGCTTCCTGGTGCCTTATTTAGGTCGTTTGGTGAGGTCCTGTTTTCCTGGATGGTATTGATGCTAGTAAAGACCACAGTTACTTTTGCACTAACCACAGTTACTTTTGTACTAACCTAGTAAAGACCACAGTTACTTTTGCACTAACCTAGTAGATGTTCTTCAGTGTCTGGCCATTGAAGAGGTAGACATTTATTATAGTCTTCACTGTCTGAGCTTGTTTGTACCCCTCCTTTGGAAGGCTTCCAGGTATCTGAAAGGACTTGGTGTTGTGATCTATGCTCTATCTGCCTTAGGGAGCACCCCAAGCCCAGTAACACTGTGCACCACCTTGATGGTCTTGAATAAGATCCAGGAGAACTCTCTGGATTACCCGGCAGAAGCTCTTGTTTTCTTCCCTTACTTTCTTCCAAACAAATGGAGTCTCTCTGTCCTGAGCCACCTAAAGCTGGGGTGGAGTGACACAAGCACCCCTGTGGCCACATCACTGACGGCACTGGGTCAGACCTGAAGGCAGCACAGCACTGGGTCTGTAACCACTCCCTGGCTGCTGCCTATGTTCACTCAACACCCTGGGGCTCTGCCATCTGCTGTTGGCAAAGCCAGCCAGGCCTGTGTCTTTCTCCTCAGGGTAGCGAGTTCCCCCAGACCCTGGATGGTCCAGAGGTGCTGTCAGGAACTAGGGTCAAAAACCTTGGAAGCCTACCTGGTGTTCTATTGTACTCAAGCTGTGCTGGCACTGAACCACAAGACACAGTTCTCCCCCACTCTTTCCTCCCCTTTCCAAAAGCAGGGGAGCCTCACCCCTTAGCCACCACCACCACGGGCCCTGGGGAGTACCGCCGGACCACCACTCACGTTCCCTTAAGGCCTGAGGGCTCTTCAGTCAGTTTGTGGTGAACGCTGCCTGGCCTGGGACTCACCCTTCAAGGCAGGGGGCTCCATTCTGGCCCAGGGCAGGTCCAGAGATGCCATCCAAGAGTCAAGTTCTGGAACTGGGGACCCCGAGAGCCCACCTGGTGCTCTGCCCCTCTGTGGTGATGCTGGTACCTAAAGGACAAGACAAGGTCCTCTGCTTTTCCCTCCACTTTTCGCAAGCAGAAGGAGCTTCGCCCTGCAGCACAGGTGGGAATGTGCCAAGTCTCACCTGAAGCCAGCAATTCTCAGAGGCTCACCAAGGCCCTCAATGTAGTACCTGGGTGTCGCTGCTGGTTATTCAGGGCCCAAGAGCTCTTCAGTTAGCAGGTGATGAATGCTTCCAGGACTGGGTCTTTCCCTTAAATGAAATGGGTTCCCTTCTCACCCAGGGTGTGTCTAGAAATGTCATCCAGGAGCTAGGTCCTAGAACAGGGCCTCACAAATCTGACCGGTGCCCTGTCCTGCTGTGGCTGAGCTGGTATCCGAGATGCCAGACAACGTCCTCCCCACTCTTCCCTCTTCTCTCATCAAGCAGAAGGAAGGAGGCTCTTTTGGAGCTTCGAGCTCTGCAGCCTGGGATTAGGGGAGGGGTGAGGCCAGCACTTCCTTGGCTACCCCAGCTGGTTTCTCCATAAGTTGCATGCCCCTTCAGTCCACTATCTGTGGGCCCAGTTCAGCACTAAGACTCACCTATGAGTTGCAGTACTTATGGCCTAGACTGCCTTTCAAATTTCTTTACAGACCTAGAGCACCTTAGCTCTTGTTGCTAAAGGTTTGCAGGAACTCAAGTTCCCCACCACTGTGATCAGCGATCCCCTCTGTCTAGGCATGGCTTAAATGCTCCCTCGGTGGGCAGGTGTCAGCTGAGCTTGGTCTGGCACTGAGTTCTATGTCTCTCAACTGCTGTGTTCTCCTCCCCCAGTGCCCACAGACTCTGCACCACGCCACCCCTGCTGGGGGTGGGGACGGGTGGCGTCTGCAATTCAGGACTGTTTTCTCTATCTCTTCAGTGCCTCTTTCAGCAATACAGAGTTAAGACCAGGTACTATGAGGGCTCACCTGATGTTTGGTTCTCATGAAGGTGTTTTTTCTGTGTAGATAGTTGTTAGATTGGTGTCCTCGTGGGGGTGGGGGTGGGGGATCGGCAGAGCCATCTGTTCTGCCATCTTTCTCTGCCTCCCCATGATAAAATTGAGCATAATTAAGTAAACGCAGTTCCCATATTTCCAAGTTTGGGGATTCCCCACCCAAGCATCACCCTCCAACTTTCACAGGACCACAAAGAGACATTCATATAAATAAAAACACGGCAATACACAGAAACAAAATACTGAGTCACTGGGAGCCCCAGCACAGTGGTTGTGGTGCCCGTTTTCAAATGTTCATCGGACCACTCAGTGGTGTCCCATTCAACTATTTCCTCTCCCCTTTGCGAAAATCAGCGTCTTCCGTGGAAAATTACAGATTGAATTGAATAGTTGGTTTTTGATGTGATAAATTTTCTGATACTAACTATAAAGCTCATTATAGGAAAAGTGCTTGGAGAAGACATTCAGATGATATATTTCTTTGGATCAGGCATGTTGATACTTATGTAAACTTAACAATAATCATTGAATAAAGTAGAACTGCAGGTTATTTTTTAGAGAATGAGAAACTTTTTAAATATCTTCGAGCATCAAAGTTACGCAGATAGTGACTGGTAGAGTCCGGATTTCAACCCGGGTATCCTGTTTCACACCCCTCCACACTTTCTCTAGGATGTACTGCTGTTCACTGTTTTTTTTTTTTAGACAGTCTCACTCTGTTGCCCAGGCTAAAGTGCGTGGTGCAGTCTTGGCTCACTGCAGCCTCCGACCTCCTGGGGCTCAAATGATCCTTTCACTTCAGTCTCCTGAGTAGCTGGGATTACAGGCTCACACCACCACACCCAGCTAAATATTTAGGGTTTTTTTTGTAGAGGTAAGGTTTCACCATGTTGCCCAGGCTTGTCTTGAACCCCTGGGCTCAGGCCATCTGCCCGCCTCGGCCTCCAAAAGTGCTGGAATTACAGACGTGAGCCATCGCGCCCGGCCCATTCACTTTTTTCCAATCACAACCAAAAGCCCTTTACATCTAAGGCACCCAGATAGTCTCAAATTTTATCACATTTCCAATTATAGGTATTTGTTTGTTTAGAAAAGGAAGTTGACTATTAAAATTCTAATGATAAAGAAATGATACTTATTCAGTTAGGAAATATTATAAGGTCACTATAAATCGCATTTGGTACATGCTGATATAATGAATTATAATCTTGTTTGGAAAGAATTCAATGCACGAATCCTCATATAATGAAATGGCTATTTCTCTTTGCAACACCAGAATCAAAGACTTGAGAATTTATTTTTCCTCCTATTATTCAAGAAATATTACAAAATGCAGTTTCATTATCATTAGGATATACTTAAACTACTGGGTGTTACAAGATCTAATCTCTGGGACAATATCTGCATTAAAGACTCTGTCAGCTCAACCCCTTCTCTGCAAATGATAACAAAATATATAACTAAATGATCTTTTTTTTTTTTTTTGGAGACGGAGTCTCGCTCTTTCACCCAGGCTGGAGTCCAGTGGTGCGATCTCGGCTCACTGCAAACCTCCACCTCCCAGGTTCAAGTGATTCTTTTGCCTTAGCCTCCTGAGTAGCTGGGACTACAGGCGCACGTCACCATGCCCAGCTAATTTTTGTGTTTTTAATAGAGACAGGGTTTCACCGTATTGGCGAGGCTGGTCTTGAACTCCTGACCTCATGATCTGCCCACCTCAGCCTCCCAAAGTGCTGGGATTACACGTGTGAGCCACCACGCCTGGCCAACTAAATGATCTTTAAGATGCCAATAAGAGCTTTCCCTGCCACACACACACACACACACACACACACACACACAAACACGAATTAAGAAACTGGAGTAATGTTGATTCTGAAAATTACTCTTTCTTTCTTTAATTTCTATCGATTCACTCCCTGCTATAAAAGATGACAGTTATCACACATTCTTCCTTCATTCACCCACTTTCCAAATTTTCTGTAGAGTTATAATTTGTAAAATTGTATATTTTGTCCTGTAATTTACACAATTGGTCAGTTTTGATTCTGTAATAAACGATTCACTGCTCACCCCTAGTCCTTTTCCCCGGCTAAATTCCTATTAACACAATTTGCAGGATGGATTTTATTGTCTAGTAATTCTTTCAGGAAGCATTCAAGGATGTTGGACTCCTACATGTTTGCGTCTCTGTCATGTCAGTCGGCTATCTTCATGGTTTGCTGTAGGATTCTCGTGCAGCAGTTTCTTCCCTCAAGACATGATAGAAATTGCCGTGCCTTGGTGTTACCTGAGGTTGCACCTGATCTAAAACCAAACTGATTTTCTCCCCTTGTGCTTAACTTGCTTTTCCTGGTACTTTCTTTCTTTTTTACTCCTTCCCCTTTCCTTTCTGCTTTCCTTCCTGCCTTCTGTTTTTTTGCCTTTGTCTTTTTTTTGAGTTTACATTTCCTTTTCATTTTTCTCTATATAGTTCATGATTTTCTTTCCATTCCAAAAGTTTTCTAGGAGATTGTTTCTTAATTACAAATATTTAGTGTTTACTTTACAAATATTTAAGATTTTTTTTTTTTTGAGACAGGTTTTGCTGTGTCACCCAGGCTGGAGTGCAGTGGTGTGATGTCGGTTCCCTGAAGCCTCAGCCTCCTGGTCTCAAGCAATCCTCCCACCTCCCAGTCTCCCAAGCAGCTGGGACTACAAGTGCATGCCACCACACCTGGCTAATTTTTGTGTTTTTTTGTTTTTTTTTATAGATGAGGTTTCACCATGTTGCCCAGGCTGGTGTCGAACTGCTGGGCTTAAGTGATCCGCCTGCTTTGGCCTCACAAAGTGCTGTGATTATAGGCATGAACTACCATGCCTGAGCCAAATATTTAAGATTTTTATCACTTTCTAAATCTTTTTCTATTTACAGGACATCTCCCACTTAGCATCAGTAATTCATTCTGAAAATCCACTGTTTCATGCTGAAATGTCAGTGGGAGATCTATTTCCCATTATCTTCAATGGAAAATTATGATAATGCCTTAGCTTATATATCCTACGCAGGCTCCCAGTTTCCTGAAGGGTAACTGAGCAGTGAGATACCCACGTGGAAGGAATACGACATCACATTAGGGTGCAAAGTGTTTAAAACATCACTTCCAGGTCACTAAACGGTTAATATGCCTATGACATCATTGCTCTGTGTCTGCCAGCGGGGGCCGGGCATCCCCACAGCACCAGCACCTCCCACAGCTTCTACAGAGATTCAGATGTGTTGACAATTATATTTGGAACGCAACAAGGGATGTTTCCCACGTATTGTTATGTTGAGGTTGGTATTTATTGAGTTTTAAGGATATAAATTAAATTTTCTATAGAAAGAAGCCTGGGAAATGTTGCATAGAGAGGTGCATATAGCCTAAGAATTTAGCTATTACAAATAAAGAAGCATTATCCTAGGAAAACGTTAACCAGGAGACATTCTTAAAGGGTATACCTGTATTTATCCTTTTTTTAAAAAGTTATATCTTGGAAATGTTTGAAGTATATACAAAGTAAACAGAGTAGTGTGATGAGACCCTGGCACCCACTACTCACCTTCAGCAATCGACACGTGGACATTCTTGTATCACCTTTGACTCCCTCCCTCCCAGTCAATTATTTCTTTTACAGTTTTTAGTTTTTGAGGTAAAATTTATATACATTGAAATGCAAAAAGCAAACCCAGACAATTTCAACAAGTGGATACATCCATGTAATTCATACCTCTCTCCAGATGTAGGATGTTTCACTCTTCCAGAAAATTCCATCATGGTCTTTCCGAGAGACAACCACTGTTTCTTTTCTTTTTTTTTTTTTTAATTGATCATTCTTGGGTGTTTCTCGCAGAGGGGGATTTGGCAGGGTCATAGGACAATAGTAGAGGGAAGGTCAGCAGATAAACAAGTGAACAAAGGTCTCTGGCTTCCCTAGGCAGAGGACCCTGCAGCCTTCCGCAGTGTTTGTGTCCCTGGGTACTTGAGATTAGGGAGTGGTGATGACTCTTAAGGAGCATGCTGCCTTCAAGCATCTGTTTAACAAAGCACATCTTGCACCGCCCTTAATCCATTTAACCCTGAGTGGACACAGCACATGTTTCAGAGAGCACAGGGTTGGGGGCAAGGTCACAGATCAACAGGATCCCAAGGCAGAAGAATTTTTCTTAGTACAGAACAAAATGAAAAGTCTCCCATGTCTACCTCTTTCTACACAGACACGGCAACCATCCGATTTCTCAATCTTTTCCCCACCTTTCCCCCTTTTCTATTCCACAAAACCGCCATTGCCATCATGGCCCGTTCTCAATGAGCTGCTGGGCACACCTCCCAGACGGGGTGGCGGCCGGGCAGAGGGGCTCCTCACTTCCCAGTAGGGGCGCCAGGCAGAGGCGCCCCTCACCTCCCGGACGGGGCGGCTGGCCGGGCGGGGGGCTGACCCCCCCACCTCCCTCCCGGATGGGGTGTCAGCCGGGCAGAGACGCTCCTCACATCCCAGACAGGGCGGCGGGGCAGAGGCGCTCCCCACATCTCAGACGATGGGCGGCCGGGCAGAGACGCTCCTCACTTCCTAGATGGGATGGCGGCCGGGAAGAGACGCTCCTCACTTCCTAGATGGGATGGCGGCAGGGAAGAGACGCTCCTCACTTCCTAGATGGGATGGCGGCCGGGCAGAGATGCTCCTCACTTTCCAGACTGGGCAGCCAGGCAGAGGGGCTCCCCACATCTCAGACGATGGGCGGCGGGGCAGAGACGCTCCTCACTTCCTAGATGGGATGGCGGCCGGGAAGAGACGCTCCTCACTTCCTAGATGGGATGGCGGCCGGGAAGAGACGCTCCTCACTTCCTAGATGGGATGGCGGCCGGGCAGAGACGCTCCTCACTTTCCAGACTGGGCAGCCAGGCAGAGGGGCTCCTCACATCCCAGACGATGGGCGGCCAGGCAGAGACGCTCCTCACTTCCCAGACGGGGTGGCGGCCGGGCAGAGGCTGCAATCTCTGCACTTTGGGAGGCCAAGGCAGGCGGCTGGGAGGTGGAGGCTGCAGCGAGCCGAGATCACGCCACTGCACTCCAGCCTGGGCACCATTGAGCACTGAGTGAACGAGACTCCGTCTGCAATCCCGGCACCTCGGGAGGCCGAGGCTGGCGGATCACTCGCGGTTAGGAGCTGGAGACCAGCCCGGCCAACACAGCGAAAGCCCGTCTCCACCAAAAAAATACGAAAACCAGTCAGGCGTGGCGGCGCGCACCTGCAATCACAGGCACTCGGCAGGCTGAGGCAGGAGAATCAGGCAGGGAGGTTGCAGTGAGCCGAGATGGCGGCAGCACAGTCCAGCCTCGGCTCGGCATGAGAGGGAGACCGTGGAAAGAGGGAGAGGGGAGACCATGGAAAGGGGAGAGGGAGAGGGAGAGGGAGAGGGAGAGGGAGAGGGCAACCACTGTTTCAATTACATTACAGATGCTCCATGACTTACAGTGGGGTTATATTCCAATACACCCATTGTCAGTTGAAAATATCCTAAGTTGAAAATGCATTTAACCTACCTAACCTACCAAATGTAGCTTAGCCTCGCCTACCTTAAACATTCTCAGAACACTTACATTAGCCTACAGTTGGACAAAATTAACACAAAGCCTATTTATAACAAAGTGTTGACACTAGTTGGAAAGAAAAATTTTTAAGTGTCAAATACTGTACTGAAAGTGAAAAAGTATGGTCGCATGGGTACAGTTACTACTGAATGCATGTCACCTTTGCACCATCATAAAGTCGAAAAATTAAGTCGGCCATCATAAGTTGGGGACCGTCTGTACTTTTGCCCATTCTAGAACTTAAGTGAATTCATGCAGACAATGTGTACTCTTCCTCTTCTAGCTTCTTTCACTCAGAATAGTGTCTGTGGGTTCACCATATGTGAGGTGAAGCTAATTCCATTCCTTTCGAGAGCTAAGTGAGACTCCATTGTGTGACACACCACGACTTGTTTATTCATTCTGCTGCTGGTGGGCATTTGGATTCTCTCCAGTTTTTTGGCTGTTAGGAATAAAGCCGCTTTGAATTTTCTTATACACATCTTGTTGTGGACATATGTTTTCCCATTTCTTGGAAGACTCTCTGGGACTGGGATTGCTAGGTCATGTAGTAAATGTATGCCCAGATTCTGAGAGCACTGCCAAGCGCCTTTCCAAAGCAGGTTTGCCAGCCTATATTCACAGCAGGCTGTGGGAGTTCTCAGTGCTGACGTCACAGCCAACATTGCATCTTTTTAATTTTATTCATTCTGATGGGCGCATAATGTTATCCCTTGGTTTTTATTTGCATTTTTCTGATGACTAATGACGTTGAGAACTTTTTTCTGTGTGCTTATTGTCCATTTGCACATCTTTTTCTGTGACGTGTCTGTTCAAGTTTTTTGACCATTTTAAAAGTTGGCTTGTTGATCTTTTCCTTGCTGAGTAATGAAAGTTCTTTATATGTTCAGAATACCAGTTCTTCATCAGAGGTTTTCTTGTGAATGTTTCTCCCCAATCTATTGCTTGTGTATTCCTTTCTAAAATGGTGTCTGTTGATGACAGAGGTTTTCCTTTGAATTAAAGCTAATGTATCTGTTATTTCTCGTGTAGTTATTGCCTTCTGTGTCTTATCTAAGAAATCTTTGTTCAGGTCACAAAGATATTCCCATGATTTTTTTCTAAAATTTTTACAGTTTTAGCTTTTATATTTAGGTTTGCCATGCATCTCAAAATAATTTTTGTGTATAATGTGATACGGATGTTCAGGTTCTTTTTTTTCTTTCTTCCTTTCCTCACCCACCTCTCACTGTAGTGCAGATAGCCATCCATTTCAGCACTACCAGTTGAAAACACTTTTCCTTCCTCATTGAATTATTCTGGCTTCTTTGTCAAAAATCAATTGATGGAAAAAGTGTGGGGTCTATTTCTGGACTCTGTGGTATGTTCCAGGAGTCTTTTTGTGTCTTCTTATGCCAGAACCAGACCATTTGGATTACTGTGGCTTTGGACTGTCTTGAAGTTAGATAGTAAAGTCCTCTAGCTGTAGTCTTCTTTTTCAAGATTGTTTCAACTTTTCTAGGTTCTTTGGGTTTTCATGTAAATTTTACAATCAACTTATCCATTTCTATTTTTAAAAACATGCTGGATTATGAGTGGGGTTGCATTAAATCTACAGATAAACTTGGAGAAAACAATGCACTTAATCTGGAGTCTTTCAATCTGTGAACACAATTTATTTATCTAGTTGTGGGGTTTTTGGTAATTTATCTCAATAATGTTTTATAGTTTTCAGTCCTAAGATTTGCAAGTCTCGTGTTAAATTTGTTACAGATATTGTTTCTGCTATTTTTTGATGGTGTTTTAAATGCAGTTATCTCTTATTTTCCAGTAGTTTGTTGACAGAACATAAAAACGCAATTGATTTTTGTGTATGTTGGCCTTGTATCCTGAGACCTTGCTAAACTCATAGTTTCACTGATGGTTTTGATGATTTTTTAGGATTTTCTACATAAACAATCATGTCATCTATGAATAGGCACAGTTTCACTCCTTCCTTTTCAATCTTTATGCTTTTGTTTATTTTTCACATAAGACTTGTACTTATTTTGTTAGATTTATACCTGTATTCATCTGTCTCTAATTTGCGGGGGAGCAGTTTTCTCCGTTACCTCAATTCTCTGATGGATCTAAGGAGAAACATTGATTTTCAGTCTGCCCAGCCTTTTTATTCTGTGAGGATGGGAGTGACGACTTCCAAGCTCCTTATATGTTGGGAAAGAAATCAGAAGTCTCTCTGCTATTTTCTTCTTAGCTAAACTCTGCATTAATTTCTTGTGTCTGCTGTGGAGATTATATTATACATCTAATGCAATTTACCAGAACCCACTTAATGTTGTGCTATTTCATGTAAAATAAAGGAATCTTGGAATGGTATGTTTCTGTTTAACCTCCTCTCACCCTTTTTCTATTATTATCATATATATTTTATCTACATACATCATAAACCCCACCATACAGTTTTATAATTTTTGCTTTAAACATTATATATATGGGCCCAGCTTCAGTGTCTGCTGCTAACGAATGGGACCTTCCACAACAGGAGCCACGTCAGCACGGGTGAGAGGGGCCCACATCAGGCTTAAGCACGGCCTCTTTGCCGTCGAGGCTGCCATGTTCATGGGCCCACTGGGTGAGCACTGGGGTGGCTAGCTGACACTTACAGAATGACCCATCCCGTCCAGCAGATTCTGTGCCTCCTCCACAGTGGATGTTTACAGCTGGGCATTAATGTGCAGTGCAGGGAGTTGCACAGTTGGGGCACATGACCGCCGGCCCATGCACGTGCTTCATCCTGTTTTCCCCGTCAACAGCAGGGAAACAGCCAACGGCTGTGTGTTGACTACCCATCTGTCTCAGTAGGCGGTGGGAACAAGCCACACAGTTCATTTCATTCCCTACAGAGCACTTCATTCTTGCTACTTTTCATGACAATGTTGTCCACCTGGCCTCTGCTCAGCCAGAATTCTGGAATTAAACTAACCTCAGTGATGCAGGGAGGCCCGTCTTAGGGCAGCATCTCCTATCACCAGTTCTGGCCCATGGAGGACAGCAACCCCTGCAAAATCAGTGCCCTCCAACAACTGGAGCATCCCTCCTGTGTTCATGAAGGGAGTGCCCTCTAGGCCCCACGTGCAGAGTTAGCTGGTGGGTTCCCAGGTCTCATATATTAGACTCATTCTAACATGCCCGCCTCACTGAGCCTTTCAAGGCCTTTCCTGGCACCCTGGAAATTGCCTGGGCAATTCTGGTAGCACTGGGCAGTACAGGTGATCTGCCTATTTCCTAGGGTTCCAGAAGCTGCCCCAGTAATGGCTCCAGTAACCCTTGCCACGGCTGAGAAACCCTGAGTCATGGGTGAATTCCCCCAAAGAGACAAACTTTCCCTTATCTTGCCTCATATTTTGCATGCACACACACATACACACGCATGCATGCACACCATCTCCATCCCATCTACACACATCCACCCACATATCCACCTGCCATCTCCATCCCATCTACACACATCCACCCACATATCCACACACCACCTCCATCCCATCTACACACATCCACACATGTGCATGCACCATCTCCATCCCATCTACACACATCCACCCACATATCCACACACCACCTCCATCCCATCTACACACATCCACCCACATATCCACCTGCCATCTCCATCCCATCTACACACATGCACACACATATCCACACACCACCTCCATCCCATCTACACACATGCACACCCACATATCCACCTGCCATCTCCATCCCATCTACACACATCCACCCACATATCCACCTGCCATCTCCATCCCATCTACACACACCCACCCACATATCCACCTGCCATCTCCATCCTATCTACACACATCCACACACATATCCACACGCCATCTCCATCCCATCTACACACATGCACACATGTGCATGCACCATCTCCATCCCATCTACACACATCCACCCACATATCCACCTGCCATCTCCATCCCATCTACACACACCCACCCACATATCCACCTGCCATCTCCATCCTATCTACACACATCCACACACATATCCACACACCATCTCCATCCCATCTACACACAGGGTCGAGCGCTCTCAAGATCCATCCCCAGGCATAGTCTCCTCATTCCTGCTGGTTTCTGTTCGCCATGTCTCAGCCCCACCGGCAGTAACTTATCCCCTCCATGAGCAGGGCTCTCCCTTCCCAGGTTGCCCAGGCTGAGACTGGACACTAGTTAAGCGCTTGGCAGACAGAAGGGCCGTTCTTAAGAGGGCAAGTGTAGTTTTGCTAGGCATGGGCCCTGAGTGGGGCTCCTCACGGGCTTTGAGTAGGGGCCTGGTGTTTCCAGAAAGGAGGGATGAGTCCCACCCGCCCATGCTTCGGACAAGCTGAGGCCCCTTCTTCCCTCTTGGGGTCTGCCCCTGGGAGCTATGCTAAGGCTGAGATTCAGCCGTCTTCAGTTCTCCAGCCTCACGGCCACATCCTGCTCCTGACCCGCAGCACAGCCGGCCCTGGGAAAGGAAGCAAGAGCCCCTTAGACTCTGTGAGGAGGCCTCTGTGCCCTTTGCCTGGCCCTCATTGTCCTGGAAACTTTTCTGGGTTTCTGGTGAGACAAGATGCTCTGGAGACAGCCATTTCCAAGGCTGAGGTTAATGCAGGTGACGGGGCAGTCCAGGGCAGGAGCCGGAGACAGCCGTTTCCAAGGCTGAGGTTAACGCAGGAGACGGGGAAGGCCAGGGCAGGAGCAGTTGCCCCCAGAGCCCTCCCCACCTCCACACACAACAGCCCTCTCCCCACGCAGCAGGAGGGAAAAGGATCCCACTCCTGAGAGGTTGCGCTGGGCATTCTGGGCTCAAGGACAACAGCAGAGCCAATCATGGGAATTAAATAAAAGGCCTCTTGCTGATCAGGAAAGGGAGCCGAGGCCCCGGGTGCAGGTGGTGAGACGTGGACCCCAGGCGTGGCATTGGAGGCTCCTCCAGGGACAGCATTGATCTGGTTGCCCAGGACAGGCACAGCTCATACTGTGTTCTGGAGCCGTGGACGGAAGCCCCTCCCTCTCAGCAGTGTCTCTGTGTGGATGACAGATTGTCAACACCCTACTTAAGAGACGAGAACTCCAGACGGTGACTATTGCTAGGGCTCCCCCAAAGCAGACAGCCCCCGCCTCCTCTCCCGGCTTCTCTCAGTCAGGAGCTGACACCCAAGGGTCACCAGACAGGCAGAGACGAAAAGAAGAAAGGAACTCCCTAGAAACTGAGACAATGAAGAAAAAGGAACGCCTTTCCAAAAACTATAATAAACATCCTCAGAGAAATCAGAAGAAAGGGCCGGGTGCGGTGGCTCATGCCTGTAATCCCAGCACTTTGGGAGGCTGAGGTGGGTGGATCACCTGAGATGAGGCATTCGAGACCAGCCTGGCCAACATGGTGAAACCCCGTCTCTACTAAAAATACAGAAATTGGTTGGGTGTGGTGGAGCATGCCTGGAATCCCATCTCATCGGGAGGCTGAAGCAGGAGAATCGCTTGAACCTGGGAGGCGGAGGTCACAGTGAGCTGAGATCGCACCACTGCACTCAGCCTGGGCGATAGAGTGAGACTCAGTCTCAAAAAAACAAGCAAGCAAAGTATTGTTCCTGGGTGTGTCTGTGAGGATGTTGCCAAAGGAAATTAACATTTGAGTCGGTGGATGGGGAAAGGCAGTCCCACCCTCAATCTGGGTGGGCACCGTCTAATCAGCTGCCAGCGTGGCCAGAATAAAAGCAGACAGAAGAACATGGAAAGGCTCGACTGGTTTAGTCTTCTGGCCTCCATGTGTCCCGTGCTGGATGCTACCCTCCCTCGAACAGGGACTCCAAGTTCTTCAGCTTTGGGACTCGGACTGGCTTCCTTGGTCCTCAGCTTGCAGATGGCCTATTGTGGAACCTCACGATTGTGTGAGTAAGACTCCTTAATAAACTCCGTTTATATATACATCTATCCTATTAATTCTGTCCCTCTAGAAAACCCCAATACAGTCATACAATAAAGGACAAAGTTATAAAAGACCCATATATGGATATCTATAGATGTAGATACACACACATATAATGAGAATGATAAAATGAGATCTCTGCCTCACAATATAAACAAAAATAAATTCCCAGATGGATTACAGGCCTAAATATGAAAGCAAAACTGTAAAACTTTTACAAGAGAAGGAAACATCAGGATAAGGGAGAATTTTCTAAGCCAGAAACAGGAAGCGTGGCCTTAAAGGGAATAATAAAAAATGTGATCTATTTTTTGCCAAATGAAAAGACAACTACATTGCAGGATAAGGTATTTGCAAACCCAGAGGAGTGGTATCCAAATTATGTGACATGGACTCCTAAAAGTCAATCAAAAATAAAAAGAAAACCAGTTTTTTCTTTGTTTTTTTTTTGTTTTTTTTTTTTTTTTGAGATGGAATCTTGCTCTGGAGTGCAGTGGTGCGATCTCGGCTCAGTCCAAGCTCCGCCTCCCGGGTTCACGCCATTCTCCTGCCTCAGCCTCCCAAGTAGCTGGGACTACAGGTGCCCGCCACCACGCCCGGCTAATTTTTTGTATTTTTAGTAGAGACGGGGTTTCACTGTGTTAGCCAGGATGGTCTCGATCTCCTGACCTCGTGATCCGTCCGCCTCATCCTCCCAAAGTGCTGGGATGACAGGTGTGAGCCACCGCGCCGGGCCGAAAACCAGTTTTTAAAGCTAAGGAACAGGAACACAGAGGAAGACACTGAGCCATCAGTAAAGACGCCTCACTAGTAACTGTGGAAACGCAGATGAGGTCAGCAAGGTTGACCTC
The DNA here is from genome assembly GCF_000001405.40 of Homo sapiens. Classification (NCBI taxonomy): domain Eukaryota; kingdom Metazoa; phylum Chordata; class Mammalia; order Primates; family Hominidae; genus Homo; species Homo sapiens. The sequence continues at coordinate 558,433 of NC_000004.12, forward strand.
ACACCAGCAAATGACAAAATCACACCAAGTGCTCAGCAAGGCAGAGGAGATGGGTTCCCTGTGCTGCTGGTGTGGCTCACAGATGTTGTATGTTGGGACCTTCACGGAGCACAGCAACCCTGCAGTGCCTGGCAGACATGCCCTCGGACACACGCCTGGGTGTGGGACCTGAAGAAAGTCCCATCTCTGGGCCGGGCGCGGTGGCTCACGCCTGTCATCCCAGCACTGTGGGAGGCCGAGACGGACGGATCACGAGGTCAGGAGATCGAGACCATCCTGGCTAACACGGTGAAACCTCGTCTCTACTAAAAATACAAAAAAATTAGCCGGGCGCGGTGGCGGGCGCCTGTAGTCCCAGCTACTCGGGAGGCTGAGGCAGGAGAATGGCGTGAACCCGGGAGGCGGAGCTTGCAGTGAGCCGAGATGGCGCCACTGCACCCCAGGCTGGGGGACAGAGCGAGACTCCATCTCAAAAAAAAGAGAAAAGTCCCGTCTGTGAGCAGAAGGCAGGTCAAAGGATTTCCACTGCAGCGCTGATTAGAATCGTGAAAAAGGAAATAGGCGGAGAGCCTCAGAAGCGGGATCCTAAATAAACTGCAGTTTCTCTGCATGGTGGGATACGATGTATTGATTAGAGTGACTGAACCAGATTCATAGGCATCACCGGGAATGAATCTCAAAAACGTGATGTTGAATGCAAAAAAGCATATTGCATAAAGATTAAATACAATATGACATCATTTATCTGAAGTTTTCAAATATACAAAACAATACAATATCGTGCGTACAGGCACACAGTGATGGCACAAACACAGAAACATGGCCACAGCCAACACCTGGCCAGCCACAGGCGTGAGGTGACCACAGGGTCAGGGGAGGATAAGGGGAAGCTCTAGCTACTCCTGTAAGTTTACGTCTTTAAAAATAAAAGGGAAATGTGGATCAAATATGGGGAAAAATTTTAACTATTATAACTTAAATTTTTTGTATTTTAATTTTGATATCAATGCAAACTGAATCTCAATGATGGGTACATCTGTGTATATTATGTCCGGTACTACATGCTCAACATTTTTCCTAATTCAAAATTAAAGAAGCTTGTGGGGAAAAGAGACTACTCTAAGTTAGACTAGTCAGCAACCACTAGCTTTGAGCTAGCCTGGGTGACAGAGACTCTGTCTCAATCCCCCCCAACCCCCCCAAAAAAGAAAATGATTTGGGGCTGCTTTTCATTACAAAGAAAAGCCTTACCAAGGACTCCCATGCCCTTGCTATCTGCCTAAGCAATTCCTTCTTAACGCCTATATCACTGGCACCTGGCGTCCCAGCACCTGGCGTCCCAGCACCTGGCGTCCCAGCACCTAGAGTCCCAGCACCTGGAGTCCCAGCACCTAGAGTCCCAGCACCTGGCGTCCCAGCACCTAGAGTCCCAGCACCTGGCGTCCCAGCACCTAGAGTCCCAGCACCTGGCGTCCCAGCACCTAGAGTCCCAGCACCTGGAGTCCCAGCACCTAGAGTCCCAGCACCTGGAGTCCCAGCACCTAGAGTCCCAGCACCTGGCGTCCCAGCACCTAGAGTCCCAGCACCTGGAGTCCCAGCACCTAGAGTCCCAGCACCTGGAGTCCCAGCACCTAGAGTCCCAGCACCTCGTGTCCTCGACCTGTTTGATGGGTGTTGAATGAAGAAAATGAAAAAGACTCGTTAGTAGACAGCGCTGAGTTGAAGGTCTTAGGGACAGGTGTGTGTAGTGCATGTGAGACAGATTGAGGATGGATGGGTGGAGGGTGGAGCCACTAGCAGAGAAGGGAAAGCTGTCGGGTTTGGGGGAAAGTCTGAGTCTGGCGTCTTGGGGGACCCCGAAGGGGTGGTGAGCAGGCAGATGTAAGCACCCAGAGGTCTGGAGGTAGGTCGTGGTTTTCACACTGCTCACCCACTACCTGGGCTTATCAAACTCCCACAAATGCCACCTGGGAACAGAACCTGGGTCCTGCCTTGCAGCTGGAATAGGGCCGGGTTCAGATTCCAGGAGAGCGCCTGAATCAACAGCTGCTGTCAGCTCCATCCTTGATCACAGAAGCATGTTCTCCAAGCCTCCATTTTCCCACCTATAAAGCGATTGTTTTCAGGATAAGGGAGGCAGTGAACCCACAGCCTTGGCAAAGAGGGTCTGCCCTGAGATATGCTCACAGGACAATTAGCTTTGATGAGGTGCTGCTGATGCCAATGAAGTCGGTGTGCACTCGGCGTGCGGGCAGCGTTGTCTGGTTCACTGCAGAATCCCAGAGGCTCACACAGAACCTTCCATGAATGCTTGTTAAATGTGGTATCATAACCTTCAGCAGGTGACAGGCACCAAGGGGCGTGGCCGCCTGGAGCATAGAAAGTCCTTGGAGCCTTCTGTTCCCAGCGCAGCCTTGAGAAATGGGTGGGGATGGGCCAGACAGGCGGAGTGGGGTGGGCTCCACAGGAGCTCGGAGCAAATTCCACACGGAGCGGTTCCTTCCAGCAGCAGCATGTGTGGGTGGCACAGTGGCAGATGAGCTTCAATGTGGGAGAACGCAAAGTCACGCACTTAAGGAAAAAATAACCCGAGTTACGCTTAAAAAGGCAGGAGGGGCCCTCCTGGGCAGGCCCCCACAGACTCTCTGGGAGTATCATTCCTGTTCCCACGGGGGCTGGGGGAGGTGCAGGCACCTGGAGGGCCTGAGACAGCTGTGGGAAGCTCTGCAGCAAGGGGGCAGCTCCAGGGAGGCTCCCAGCAATGGTGGCCTCTGGCTGGCCCAGGACAGTAGGGAGGGGACAGACCTTAGGGGTGGTAGGAGCAGGCAGAAAGAAAGCTCCTAAAATGAACAGGATTGAGGCCAGCCCTGAAGCTCCTGCAGCTGCTCTGAGGCAGGGAGACCCCCAGGAAGAGAGGGGCCCCCAGAGGGAGAGGAGCCCCCTGGAAGGTGGCACAGCGGCCACTTTGGAGGGGGAGTGACAGCACCCATCTGGATTTGCAAAATAATTCAGTTATTTGTGGCTGTTACATGAAAATATTTGCAAATAAGCCAAATGTATTTTCAGAAAGTATTTCCCCTTAGGCAATTACTTTTAATGATTCAGCTTTTTTTTTTTTTTTTTCATCTGACAGATCTATTCAGGTTTGTGAATACCCGTGGTCTGCCATGGACTGGGCCTTTGACCAGCCACAGGGCAGCGTCCTTGCCACCAGCCGCCTGAGCTCCACAGCAGCCAGCCTGGCACCCGCATTGCATGAGGGAGATGCCAACCTCGAGCTTCCACTCAGCTCTGCACCAGGTTGAATGGTGTCCCCCCAAATTCTTGATCCAGAACTTCAGAATATGGCCTTATTTGGAAATGGGGTCTTCACAGATCACACTGGATTAGATGGGCAACAAGAGCGTCTTTGTAGGAGACCGAGAAGGGCACACGGACACACGGCAGAGAGCCCCCATGAAGGCAGCAGAGGCTGGCACAATGTGGCTACAAGCCATGGAAGCCCAGGGTGCCAACAGCCATCAGGAGCCAGAGGCCTGGGACAGATTCTCCCTCAGAGCCTCTAGAAGGGGCCAGCCTGGCTGACGCCATGATCTTGGACTTCCAGCTGAGAATCCATAGTTACTGTTCTAAGACACCCAGGGTGTGGTAGTTTGTTACAGCGCCCCAGGAAATTAATACAGGTCCTAAAATGTCTAGGCCTCTGAGGCAGTACAGACCCCTGAGGCAGAACAGATCCCTGAGGCAGTGCCAGGCCCTAAAGCAATACGAACCCCTGAGGTAGTACAGGCCCCTGAAGATACTCCAGGCCCCTGATGGAGTGCAGAGCCCTGAGTGGGTATGGAACCCTGAGTTGTTGGTATGGAACCCTGGGGTGGTATGGAGCCCTGAGTTGTTGGTATGGAACCCTGAGTTGGGATGGAATGCTGAGTTGGTATGGAGTCCTGAGTTGGTACGGAGCCCTGAGTTGGTATGGAACTCTGAGTTGGTATGGAAACTTGAGTTGGTATGGAGCCCTGAGTTGGTATGGAGTCCTGAGTTGCTATGGAGCCCTGAGTTGGTATGGAACCCTGAGTTGGTATGGAATCCTGAGTTGGTATGGAACCTTGAGTTGGTATGGAGCCCTGAGTTGGTATGGAGTCCTGAGTTGGTATGGAGCCCTGAGTTGGTATGGAACCCTGAGTTGGTATGGAACCCTGAGTTGTTGGTATGGAACCCTGAGTTGGTATGGAGCCCTCAGTTGGTGTGGAACCCTGAGTTGTTGGTATGGAACCCTGAGTTGGTATGGAACCTTGAGTTGGTATGGAGTCCTGAGTTGTTACGGAGTCCTGAGTTGGTATGGAACCCTGAGTCGTTGGTATGGAGCCCTGAGTTGGTATGGAACCCTGAGTTGGTATGGAGTCCTGAGTTGGTATGGAGTCCTGAGTTGGTATGGAAACTTGAGTTGTTGGTGTGGAACCCTGAGTTGGTATGGAGCCCTGAGTTGGTATGGAACCCTGAGTTGGTATGGAGCCCTGAGTTGGTATGGAACCCTGAGTTGGTATGGAGTCCTGAGTTGGTATGGAGCCCTGAGTTGGTATGGAGTCCTGAGTTGGTATGGAGTCCTGAGTTGGTATGGAACCTTGAGTTGGTATGGAGTCCTGAGTTGGTATGGAACTCTGAGTTGGTATGGAGCCCTGAGTTGTTGGTATGGAACCCTGAGTTGTTGGTATGGAACTCTGAGTTGGTATGGAGCCCTGAGTTGGTATGGAGCCCTGAGTTGGTATGGAACTCTGAGTTGTTATGGAGCCCTGAGTTGTTGGTGTGGAACCCTGAGTTGTTGGTATGGAACTCTGAGTTGGTATGGAGCCCTGAGTTGGTATGGAGTCCTGAGTTGATATGGAACCCTGAGTTGGTATGGAGTCCTGACTTGGTATGGAGCCCTGAGTTGTTGATATGGAACTCTGAGTTAGTATGGAGCACTGAGTTGGTATGGAACTCTGAGTTGGTATGGAACCTTCAGTTGGTATGGAGCCCTGAGTTGATATGGAACTCTGAGTTGGTATGGAGCCCTGAGTTGGTATGGAATCCTGAGTTGATATGGAACCTTGAGTTGGTATGGAACTCTGAGTTGGTATGGAGCACTGAGTTGGTATGGAACCCTGAGTTGGTATGGAACCCTGAGTTGGTATGGAGCCCTCAGTTGCTATGGAGCCTTTATTTGGTATGGAACTCTGAATTGGTATGGAACCCTGAGTTGGTATGGGACCCTGAGTTTTTGGTATGGAGCCCTGTGTTGGTATGGAACCCTGAGTTGGTATGTAGCCTTGAGTTGGTATGGAACTCTGAGTTGGTATGTAGCCTTGAGTTGGTATGGAACTCTGAGTTGGTATGGAACCCTGAGTTGGTGTGGAACCCTGAGTTGTTGGTATGGAGCCCTGAGTTGGTATGGAACCCTGAGTTGTTGGTATGGAGCCCTGAGTTGATATGGAGCCCTGAGTTGCTATGGAACCCTGAGTTGGTATGGAGCCCTGGGTTGGTATGGAACCCTGAGTTGGTATGGAGCCCTGAGTTGGTATGGAACCCTGAGTTGATATGGAGCACTGAGTTGGTATGGAGTCCTGAGTTGGTATGGAACCCTGAGTTGTTGCTATGGAACCCTGAGTTGGTATGGAACCCTGAGTTGTTGGTATGGAACCCTGAGTTGTTGGTATGGAACCCTGAGTTGGTATGGAACCCTGAGTTGTTGGTATGGAACCCTGAGTTGGTATGGAGTCCTGAGTTGGTATGGAGCCCTGAGTTGGTATGAAACCCTGAGTTGTTGGTATGGAGCCCTGAGTTGGTATGGAACCCTGAGTTGGTATGGAGTCCTGAGTTGGTATGGAGTCCTGAGTTGGTATGGAGCACTGAGTTGGTATGGAACCCTGAGTTGGTATGGAACCCTGAGTTGGTATGGAGCCCTCAGTTGCTATGGAGCCTTTATTTGGTATGGAACTCTGAATTGGTATGGAACCCTGAGTTGGTATGGGACCCTGAGTTTTTGGTATGGAGCCCTGAGTTGGTATGTAGCCTTGAGTTGGTATGGAACTCTGAGTTGGTATGTAGCCTTGAGTTGGTATGGAACTCTGAGTTGGTATGGAACCGTGAGTTGGTGTGGAACCCTGAGTTGTTGGTATGGAGCTGTGAGTTGGTATGGAACCCTGAGTTGTTGGTATGGAGCCCTGAGTTGATATGGAGCCCTGAGTTGCTATGGAGCCCTGAGTTGGTATGGAGCCCTGGGTTGGTATGGAACCCTGAGTTGGTATGGAGCCCTGAGTTGGTATGGAACCCTGAGTTGATATGGAGCACTGAGTTGGTATGGAGTCCTGAGTTGGTATGGAACCCTGAGTTGTTGGTATGGAACCCTGAGTTGGTGTGGAACCGTGAGTTGGTATGGAACCCTGAGTTGGTATGGAACCCTGAGTTGATATGGAGCACTGAGTTGGTATGGAGTCCTGAGTTGGTATGGAACCCTGAGTTGTTGGTATGGAGCCCTAAGTTGGAATGGAACCCTGAGTTGCTATGGAGCCCTGAGTTGGTATGGAACCCTGAGTTGATATGGAGCACTGAGTTGGTATGGAGTCCTGAGTTGGTATGGAACCCTGAGTTGTTGCTATGGAACCCTGAGTTGGTATGGAACCCTGAGTTGGTTTGGAACCCTGAGTTGTTGGTATGGAACCCTGAGTTGGTATGGAACCCTGAGTTGGTATGGAACCCTGAGTTGTTGGTATGGAACCCTGAGTTGGTATGGAACCCTGAGTTGGTATGGAGTCCTGAGTTGGTATGGAGCCCTGAGTTGGTATGGAACCCTGAGTTGTTGGTATGGAGCCCTGAGTTGGTATGGGACCCTGAGTTGGTATGGAGCCCTGAGTTGGTATGGAGTCCTGAGTTGGTATGGAGCCCTGAATTGGTATGGAACCCTGAGTTGTTGGTATGGAGCCCTGAGTTGGTATGGAACCCTGAGTTGATATGGAGCACTGAGTTGGTATGGAGTCCTGAGTTGGTATGGAACCCTGAGTTGTTGGTATGGAACCCTGAGTTGGTATGGAACCCTGAGTTGTTGGTATGGAACCCTGAGTTGGTATGGAACCCTGCGTTGGTATGGAGCTTTGAGTTGGTATGGAACTCTGAGTTGGTATGGAACCCTAAGTTGGTATGGAACCCTGAGTTGTTGGTATGGAACCTTGAGTTGGTATGGAACCCTGAGTTAGTATGGAGCCCTGAGTTGGTATGGAACTCTGAGTTGGTATGGAACCCTGAGTTGTTGGTATGGAGCCCTGAGTTGGTATGGAACCCTGAGTTGTTGGTATGGAGCCCTGAGTTGTTGGTATGGAGCCCTGAGTTGGTATGGAACCCTGAGTTGGTATGGAGCCCTGAGTTGGTATGGAACCCTGAGTTGGTATGGAGTCCTGAGTTGGTATGGAACCCTGAGTTGTTGGTATGGAACCCTGAGTTGGTATGGAACCTTGAGTTGGTATGGAGTCCTGAGTTGGTATGGAGCCCTGAGTTGGTATGGAACCCTGAGTTGTTGTGATTCTTGCTTCTAGTTCCATCACGTCACCCCAGACACCTGACACGTCCTCACTGCCTTGTCCAATCAACATCACAGTCATTTTTGCTCCTACAAATCTCTTGGACCCTCCACCTCCCTCTCCTCCGTGCAGCTTCAGTGACCCTTGGAGGCATCTCATCCCTCAGAGGTTCTCCCCTTCCTCTGCCAGGGCTCTGTCCCCTCACTGCCTTTATACCTGCCGCGGTCTGGTACCCAGGTGTGCACGCACTCCTCCCTAGAATCCCCACCCTCCCTGGATCATCCCCCATTTCCTGCCATCCTATCACCTGGGTGCTGGACTGGGGCATTAAGCACATTTGCAACAACGGCAGGAGCCGAAGTTAGTCTCCTGTGCCAGACCAGGTTGTCATTCGTCACCTAACAAAGCTGGGTCTATACACAGTAGGTGCCTCCTTAGTGCCCTCAGTGAATGAATACGAGAAGGCAGTACCAGTGTTGAAAGTCTCCAAGTTCACGAGGCAATCGAGAGCTCTTAGAAAGCTCTTACCTTGTAAGAGCTGGTCTGTCCATCCCACCCATCCTTACAACAAAAGCTAGCAGCCACCAGCTGCACCCACAACCTGCATAACATCAACTGCACCCCACCAACTACACTCAGCACCTGCACCCACCCCCTGCATCTGACCCCTGTATCTCATCCCCTGCATCCCACCCCTGCATCCCACCCCCTGCATCCCACCCCCTACATCCCACCCCTGCATCCCACCCCTTCATCCCACCCCTGCATCCCACCCCCTTCATCCCACCCCTGCATCCCACCCCTGCATCCCACCCCTGCATCCCACCACCTGCCTCCCACCTCCTGTATCCCACCCCTGCATCCCATCCCCTGCATCTCAGCCCCCGAATCCCACCCACTGTGTCTCACCCACTGCATCCCACCCCCTGCATCCCACCCCTGCATCTAACCACCTGCATCCTACAACATGTATCCACCACCTGCATCTTGCCTTGTACCTCCCACTACCTGCATCTTGCCAGGTACATCTTAGCACCTGTGTCCCACCATGTACATCCTACCCCCTGCATCCTATGACCTGCATCTTATGTGCATGGCTGGTTCTGTTGATAGAAGGTTAAGAGGATTCTAGTCCTGCCTTCAGAAGCTCAGGGGCTGACCAGGGGTTAGGCTGGGAGCTTAGGCACTTCTCCCTCTCAGGGAGTGGCTGGTCTGGTTGCTACAGGCTCCTGTGCAGGGGAATGTGTGCACATGAGGTCCAGACAACTCCATGGGGAGGCTACTCTCAGGCCTTACGTTGAATAAAATGTTGGCATTTTCCAGATAAAAAGGCAGAAAATGATGCTGTGCGTGGAGGGACAGCCTAGGAGGGCTTAGAGGCTGGACATGGTGCCCAGGCAGGTCTTGGAGCTGGAGTGCAGTGTGTGGCTGAGGATGACTACAGCAAGGCCTGGTGAGTGAAGCTGTCTGTGACCTGAGGGGCCTGGGGAGTTCTTGGTGGGCCTGGAGGACAGGGCCTCCTGCCTAGTTTATGTCCTGCCCAACACTGCTGGGTACTTGGCCAGTTGTGGAGAAATACTCACAGGCAACCTGACTGCCCCAAAGGAGCCTCTCCCAGGCTTATGGTGTGAGGCTTTGCCACTCCTGGGGGAGAGACACTGGGGCTGGCAGCAGGCTGAAGATGCAGGCGTGCAGGCACTGCACTGTCTTCTGTCTTTCTGATGTCTCTTTCCCAAGCCCCTGGGGAGGGGATGACGCATGGTCCTGTGTGGCCTCTGGGAGCCCCTTGAGAAAGCATCTAATGCCCCTTTACCAAGCTGCAGAGCCTGCAAGCCCAGACCCAGGAGGAGGAGTCAGGCGCAGCTGTGTGGACCAGACATTTACAGCATCTGGATGCTCCTCTGAGGAAAAGAGTTGAGAGTGTCCTACTATTGTAAAATGCACAGAAATGCACGACCAGGTGGGGATGAGGCTGGGCCTGTGGTCCTGCTTCCCCTGAGGGCCAGCTGTGTCTGGTGCAGGGTGGGGCTGGGAGGCCAGAGGACCTGAACACATGCTTTGGGTAAGTCCCTTTGCAGCTCTGTCTCCTCTTCTGTAAATAAGGCAACACGGGCCTTGCGAGGACAGACCAGGTCAACGGCATGAGCACTGGAGCCACGGACTTGTCGGCTGCCATGTGGCTGCCACTGTTCCATCATTCCCACAAGTCCTGCCTGCACTGGCTGTGTTCCCTTTCCCAGCCTCCCTGCATTCACCTCCAGTCAGTCACCTGCCTCCCCAGTGCATGTCACCTTCCAAGAAAGACACATGATCCCCTCAAAGTGCGTCTGGCCTTGGCCTCAGCCTCAGCACCTTCCTGCTGTCCCCATCCACCTGTCCAGTCCCATCCCTCATCCCCCTTCTCAGTCCCAGAAGGCCAGGCCCATCTCAGGGATCCCCTCTTCCACAGGGCTGTCCCCACCACACCCCTCATGCCCCCAGTGTTTGCCCAGGGACCACCAGCTTCAGTGGTCACACCCATTTTCCCAGGTACCCACGAGGCAGGACCCCCTTACCACTTCCTCCCTGGCTCCCAGGTGCCTGAAGCAAAGGCTGAAAAGTTGGCCTGAGAGCCCGCAAGGTTTTACTTTCCTTCTTCAGAAAAAGCACAGCTCTTGAAGGTTAGGGTAACCTGATCTGATCTGAGTTCTATGAAAATGTTGCATCAAGAATGGAGGTGAAGGCCAGGTGCGGTGGCTCACATCTGTAATCCCAGCACTTTGGGAAGCCGAGGTGGGTGGATCACCTGAGGTCAGAAGTTTGAGACCAGCCTGGCCAACATGGTGAAACCTTGTCTCTACTGAAAATACAAAAATTAGCCGGGCATGGTGGCAGGCGCCTGTAATCCCAGCTACTCGGGAGGCTGAGGCACAAGAATTGCTTGAACCTGGGAGGTGGAGGTTGCAGTCAGCAGAGATCATGCCATTGCACTCCAGCCTGGGCAACAGAGCAAGACTCCATCTCAAAAAAAAATGGAGATGAAGAAAAGAGATCAGGCAATGATGTTCAGACAGTGTAAAAGGGAACTAGCAAAACGTGGTGGGGCCACAGCAGGTGCACAGAGGCTGAACTCAGGCCCTGGAGGATGGGAGGAGGGCAGTGGAGGTGCACAGCCCTCCAGGTGCCATTGGAAGTGTGGGCTGGGGCTGCCCAAAGCCGCTGCCAAGCCCATGGTGGGGGGCAAAGAGCCCCCCTGCTCTCAGCGCACCCCGGGTGGTCTGGCCACTTGCTACCATATAGTCTACCAGAAACAGGACGATGACCACACAGGTGGGGTGAAGGATTGTTTTGTGGAGTATATTGTATTTTAAAACAGCTTTTACTGATCCAAAAGTGATATTCTATTGAGGATCAATAGCAGATAGAAGGCAAAATGTAGTTCGTATCAGCTGAAGCCTCTCCATGTGAAATCCACATGAATAGGTGGATTCTCTGGTAAACGTGGAGGTTTTAAGAAAGCTGCTATGGACCAGGCTCCGTCATGGAGCCCTCTGGCTTTCTGCTGTCACCCCAAGGAGTCCTCAGGAGAATTCAGTTGTGGGGACATAATGATATTTGCACACTAGTTTCCTAAATTATTTTCTTCTTCCATTTTGTTGCTGTCTTTCTATCACATGCTGGAAGGCAGCAAGTTAAGCAAAGGCATAGGGCCACTGAGAAACCGAACCCGCTGCCATCAGGCCGCTGCCTCTGCCTCATTTGAAAAGGCTGGTACATAGGTACACAAACAATGCATACTTATTTGCATGCCAGAATTCACTTTTCTTAAGGTCTCTACCATTTAGAAATTTTCTCTTGTATTTTAGTGAAAAAAATAATGCTTTGGAGTAATGATGACTTTGAGGGGCACTGAAGGACACCATGCTGCTCAGCAGAAGAGCTGGGCCTGAGGGTGACACATGGGGGTGCCGGCCCGGTCAGCACCAGAGTCAAGTGTAGCAGTGCCTGAACACCATGGACCTGCCTTGGGGCCTAGGAACTCCTCCTGGCACATCTGCCTCTCCGCCCCTCCCCTCACTGCTCACCCGAACTCCAGCGCTCTCCCGAAACGGCTCCACCTTGCTGTGCTGGCCCACAGGTGATGGCTGCCCCACTAGCCTGCCCCAACACGGACATGACACAGCATTCAGGGAACCTGCATGCAGCTCAGCACTGACAGGGCGCCCTCCCAGGGACATACTTCCTGAGTGCTTATGCTAAGATGCTGTGGCAAGGGCGGCCAGGACAGCATGACCCAGTCCACAGCCAGGCCACAATGCCCTGCACGGATTCCTCCTGCACCCTGGATGCTCCGTGCAGGGCTGCTGGCCTGGCCCTCAGACACTACCCAGGAGGCCATGTGTGTGCATGTACAAGTGTGCACCCATGTGTGTATGTGTAGGTGTACTGTGTGCGTGTGCACGTGTGTGAGCACGTGTCCATATACACACATATGCATACCTGCACACGCGTGAGCATGCACCCATGTGTGGATGTAGGTGTACTGTGTGTGCAAGCATGTGAGCACAGGTTCACATATACACGTATGTGTATGTGCAGGTGTACTCTGTGTACATGTGTACACATGTGAGCACGTGTTCATATATACATATATGCATACACACATTCAAGGCTTCCTCCTGCAGTGCCTCAGGACACCAAGCAGGAGTAAAAACTTCAATCACCTGCAGTTTGATCTTCACAATAAAAAACCATCTGACTGATTTTTAGAATTAAATTATTGTTTAATTGCGTTTTCAGTCAAAAATCTCAGTTATGTGGTTCAAATTCATGTTGCCAAGGCCACAGCACCCGCTCCGACCAAGGAAAGGTGTGGAACTTCAGATACCTAAGACCCTGGCTTGCTTGGTGACCGTGCTGCCCAGTTCTGCACAGCATCATGTGTCACCTCTGGTAAGTTATCCCTTAAAGTCGATGCCTAGCCAGCCACGTGAGCTGTGAGCTCCTACTGCTGAGCCGAATCACAGCTTTGCGTTTAAAACAGTAACTTACAAACTCAGCATTTTGCCATGTAAAAATGCTAAAATGTGTTTAATTTTTTATCTCATCGTCGTAATAAACTCTTGGCAGGGAAGCAGAATAAGACTCATTTTTAGAAAGGTCCAAGAACTGGCTGGGCGCGGTGGCTCACTCCTGTAATCCCAGCACTTTGGGAGGCCGAGGCGGGCAGATCACCTGAGGTCGGGAGTTCGAGACCAGCCTGACCAATATGGAGAAACCCCATCTCTAGTAAAAATACAAAGTTAGCTGGGCATCGTGGCACATGCCTGTAATCCCAGCTATTCGGAAGGCTGAGGCAGGAGAATCGCTTGAACCCAGGAGGCAGAGGTTGCGGTGAGCCAAGATTGCGCCATTGCACTCCAGCCTGGGCAACAAGAGTGAGACTCCATCTCAACAACAACAACAAAGAAAAAAAAAGAGAAAGAAGGAAAGAAAGAAAGAAAGAAAGAAAGAAAGGGAGAGAAAGACCCAAGAACTGGCATTATTTTGCAAGTAGCACAACAAAGAACCCACTCTCAACCACCAACTTCAGGTTTTAAAAAGGTAGAATGAGCATGAATAAAATTGCTGCCGTGAGTTGGGTAACCTCATTATTCAGCTAGAGCAGTAACTAGCAAGTCAGTGGTAACTAGGAAGGAAGATTGATGTCTTCGTGATGCTCCACTCATTTCCCTGAGAATTGATCTTTGGGGCAATTTGAGTTTAGAGGTATGTGGGATTCTATTTCCTCTGGTAAACTTAAAAAAAACAAACAAACAAACAAAAAAAAAACCACCTTGATATTCCACATTAGTACATGAACACCTATGACAGTGGAGGTAAGAATACTCCCGGAGTTAGGGACACTCAATCTTAAAACTACTCATCTAACTTTCTGGTCACACGGAAGAGGCCAGTTTGCCCCAGCTAGGTCTCTGTGCACCCCTAGATTATCCTGCCACCCCGGCCAGGGAGGTGTACACAGGGACAGGAGGGTGTGCACGCAGGGACAGGACAGGTGTGCTTGCAGGCGACAGGACGAGTGTGCCCGCAGGAATAGGAGGGTGTGCACACAGGGACAGGAAGGGGGTGCAAGCAGGGACACGAGGGGTGTGCAAGTGGGGACAGGACGGGTGTGCAAACGGGCGACAGGATGGGTGCGCACGCAGGTACAGGAGGATGTGCCCATAGGGACAGGAGGATGTGCGAGCAGGGACGGGAGAGTGTGCCCGAAGGTACAGGAGGGTGTGCGTGCAGGGACAAGAGGATGTGTGCTCAGGGACACGAGGGTGTGCACGCAGGGAAGGAGGGTGTGTATGCAGAGGGATAGGACGGTGTGTATGCGGGGACAGGAGGGTGTGCGTGCAGGGACAGGAGGGTGTGCACACACACAGGGACAGGACGGTGTGCCCGCGGGGACAGGACGGTGTGCATGCAGGGATAGGAGGGTGTGTCCACAGTGATAGGACGGTGTGAAGCCTACTCCTGGCCATGGGCCTCTGCCCCTATCTTCTGCCTTCTGTTCTGTCCCAAGAAAAGCCTGACACTCTAAAGAGGTCGCCGATTTTGATCACAAGTTTGAAAGACTCATAAGGCATCTAACATTTTAAGCTGTACAAACAAAATTAAAACTAAACACTTCGGAAAACAAAAAGCACACAAGAAATTTGGCTTTTTGCATCTGCACTGCCCATGCATTTGCTCCAGCCAGGGCAGTGCCAGGCAGCCTTCTGCAGGGAGCCACCAAGTGCCCACCCCCGGGCAGGTCCACCTGGCTGCCCCTGTTGCGTAGTTCTGGGAGGCTGGCCTTGCAGCCACCTGAGAGGCCTCTGCTCGGAAAGCAGGAGGCACCTGACAATGCCACGCTGATTGGATGTGAGCAGACAGAAGGAAGTATCTTAAAAGTCACACTGCTCTGCCAGCGATCACATTTTTGCTTAGGTTGATGACTGCTGGGCTGGTTGTCCTGGGGCAGGAAAGGACTGGGCTGTAAATGGACAGTGGGACCAGTCAGGTCATGCCCTCTGTCTGGCTGGACCCCCTTTCTCACTCCACCATTCAGGGAGGCCTATTATGAGCCACTATCTGAAGAAGCCTGTGGATGAAAACCTAGTAAATTGGCTGTGATTCTTTGTCCTCCAGCAGCATCCACATAGCAAGGAGAGGACACTGGCCCATGGCATCTTTGACCAGATCCCCAAGCTTCGCAGTAACTGAGCAGGCATCAGCAGGGGAAGGTTTGCCAGCTCTGGAGATCAGCCCCCTGAATGGTGACAGGTTTCACTTCCCATCATGGAAATGGGGCTGGAGCCTCCTGCCTCTTGTGGCCTCTGCAGTAGCAGGGAAGCCCAGCCAGAAGCCAGCAGGGATGGGGGCCTTGGTCACCAGGGGTATAGGGAGCTCCAGCTTTGGGCAACTAGGAGCTGAGGAGAGGCCTCACTCCAGAGCCTGCACCTGAAAACTATGCTCCATCCTTAAATTTGGCTACTTTTTCACAGCTATAAGTAGACTTCCATACACAATACAGATATTACACGTGGTTTCTGTAGCTTCTCTCTCCTAACTGCTCTGTGCTGGCACTCACCCCGCAGAGCACTGGCTGCCTCCCCAGTCCCACGGCAGGAGGTACTCATCTTTCCCACCAGGCTGTGGCTCTGCTCCCAGCTGCTCAGGGTCAGCAGCTACCAGCCTGATGCCACAATTCCAGCATGTGGGAGTCCGATCACCTTTTCCCAAGACTTGGAGCCGGACTGGCTCCCAGCCAGCCCAGCAGACAGATGGAAACACACTCCACGAGCATATGGAACTCATTTCATATCATGTGTGAAAACACACACACACATAGCCTCATCATTTAAAAGTATGACCTTCACATCAATTAAGGCGATTACGGGGTATATTTGAAATGAAATGCTATCATACTCAAAATTACCAGATTAATGAAATAATCAACAGGAAAATTATCTATGCCAGAAAAACTATGACTGATTTTCCGAAATAGGATTAAATTGTTCATATGTATTAATCAAAAATAAGATCTGCTTTGCAGTCGAAACCACACAACCAGTTTCCAAAAAAAAAAAAAGAAAAGAAAAAAGAAATGTATGGGATGTGGCATCAGGGTCTCTACACACACAGAAAGTTAGCTTTAGAAAGAGGCTGGATTCAGTCAACTAGCTAGCAGAATACAACTGTTCAAACTCAACATTTGTCCGACCAAATGAAACCATTTCCCCCCACACTGACTTGTGCGTAGACATCCTCTAATTCCAATTTGATGAATATTCTCCAATAACATAGCAATTAATTTAATAAAGGAACTCACCAATTTTAAATTGCAATAAATTTACCAAACATTTTCACTATTTATGGAGAGCTTTACAGTAAGAAAGTATCAACAAAAGCAGGCACATCCGTGTACAAAGTGTTGCTGTTGGGTGTTCTCACTTCTTCTTTCTGAATTACCAGCTGCTCTGCGTCTCTGTCTGCTCTTCCTCCGTGGGAAGTCGCCGTCCTGGGGCGCTCGCTCTGTCCCCCTCGCCTCGGACCACCAGGCAGAGCAGCCCCAGGGTTTGGACTTGCCAAGAAAAGTGCAGTCGGGCTAGCCAAGCCCAAACATTTATTGTAAACTTGAAAATGGAATCCAGATATGAACGACACAAATAAGAAGAGAAACCTCCCAGATACAGAAATGGTCACATCAGGGGCCCCCTCCTGTGGTCACGGAGCCCGCAGAGGGGGCCAGGCCGGAGGCTGCAAAGCCACGTGGAAGAGGCGGCGCCCCTGAGGCCTGGCCCTGGACCCCGCCCCGCTGCCCGTCCTCCCTTGCCGCGGGGGTCCTGAGCGGGGCGGGGTGGGTGGAACGCAAGCGCGGTCCGCGGGATGGGGGTCCGGCCCGCGGGATCAGCAGGCCCGATGGGTCTCCCAGGGCCGCGGCGTCTCGCAGGGCGGCCGGCAGCAGTAGGGGTAGGAGGCGTTGAGGTCGGGGTCCGAGGGCGCGTACCCCGGCAGCTCCACCGACGGGTGCCCCCCGCAGCGCACCTCCGCGCCCGCCTCGTCCAGCGCGTGGAGGACGCCTACGTTGATGTAGGAGACCGCGTGGTGCGCCGCGAAGCCCGCGCAGTCCCCGGGGGCGGCCAGGTCCGACTCCTCCGGGGACAGGATGGAGGCCTCGCTCGGCCGCTGCTGCAGCCGCCGCCCCCGCCGGCCCCGCCGGCCCCGGCGCGCCCGAGAGGCGGGCGGCTGCGCGCGGAGCCCGGAGCCGCCGCGGGGCCGCGCCAGGGCCCGGCCTCCCCTCCGCCTGCCGCGCCGACCGCGCCGGGCCTGCGACGACTTGTAGTTCTTGACGAGCAGGAGGCTGAGCAGGCCCAGCAGGCACTCAAGCGAGTTGAAGACGGTGGAGAGCACCAGGCCGCGCTGGTAGTCCTTCAGCTGGCGGCACTTGGCGGACGTGGCGCTGTCCAGGGTGCTGCGAGCGCGCGGGGCGCCGGGGGCCGAGCCCGGCGCCGAGCCGGGGGCCGAGCCCGGGGCCGAGCCGGGGGTTGAGCCCGGGGCCGAGCCGGGGCTCGAACCTGGCGCCCGCGGGGGCAGGCAGTAGTGCGAGTACTTGCGCTCCACCAGGGACACGGTGTCGCCGTCGATCACGGCGCCCGCGAATGCGCTGAGGACCCCGAGCATGAAGACCAGGACGCCGAGCAGAAGCAGGTTCTGGCTGCTCACCGGCCCCGGGGCCCCGGCCGCGGCCCCCGACTCGCCCGGCGTGGCCTCGGGAGCGCCTGCCGGCGCCGCGGGGACCCCCAAACCCGGGCCCGGTTCCGACCCCGCGAGGGGCGCGTCCCGGGGTCCGCAGCAGAGCAGGGCGGCGCCGAGCAGTGAGAGGCCGGCGGCCAGCAGCAGCCCGGAGTAGAAGGCGCCGGCGGCGGCCCCCAGGCGGAACGGCTCCCCGCGCAGCTCCGAGCCCAACGAGAAGCACTTGAGGCCGACGGCGGCGGCGCTGAGCGCGCAGGCGAGCAGGAGGCAGGAGGAGAGCGCGGCGCAGGCCCCGCGGACGCTCCACTTCATCCTCCGCGCCCGAGCCGGCCCGCACCCCGCGCGCCCGCCGCCGCCCGCCGCCGCCCCCGCCGCCTGCGCCTCCTCCCGGCGCCGCGCGGCCGGACCGCCGGCCTCCTCCTCATCCTCCCGCGTCCTCCCGGGCCCGCGCCGCCGCCGCCGGAGCCCGCATCCTCCGCCTCCCGCCGCCGCCGCCGCCGCCGCCGCCGCCGCGACCCCGCGCCGGGAACCGATGCGGCGCAGAGACCGCAGGGCGCGCGCCCCCTCCCCAGCCCGCGGGGCCCCTCCCAGGAGGCTCGTTCCCCCCCAACCCCCCACCCCGCCCGCGGCCCCGCGCGCCTCGCCCTGGCGCCGCCCTTCCCCGCCCCCGGCAGCCCCCGCCACCCCCGGGACGCCCCTCCGCTTCCTCCTCCCGGAGCGGGGGCCCCTGGCCGCGTCTCTCCGCCTTCCCTCCCTATCCGCGCCCCTATCCGGCGCGGGCCGCTGCGGAAACGCAGCTCTCCACCCCCAGCTGGCTCTCCCGGACCCCCTGGGCCCCACCCTCAGCGCTCCCCACCGCTCGGCGCCCCTGCGTCTGCGCTCCCCTCTCTCCCCTCTCTATCCACTGGGTCTGGGCCGCACTTCCCGCCCACCCGCCTGCCAGCGGCCGGGAAGCCTGTGGAAGTTATGGGGATGCAGGGAGAGGGGGAGAGGGGAGCTTGTGTGCTAGGGGTGAGTGGGTATGGGGGAGAGCCTGGGTAAGGAGAAGGGGAAAGGGGGAGCCTGGGAAAGGAGGGAGGAAAGGAGGAGAGCCCGGGTGCTGGGGTGGGGGGGAAAGGAGCCCGGGGAGGGAGGGGGAGGGGCCGGGAGCTGGGGGGGGTGGGAAGGAGCCCGGGGAGGGAGGGGGAGGGGCCGGGAGCTGGGGGGGGGTGGGAAGGAGCCCGGGGAGGGAGGGGGAGGGGCCGGGAGCTGGGGGTAAGGGAGGAGTGAGCCTGGGTGCTGTGGGGGGAGGGGGTTGTTCAAGGGATGGGGACGATCAGGGTCTCTGGGAAGTGCTGACGTGTGCGCGTGTGCGGTGTGTTGCTTGTGGGTGCGTGTGTGGTGTGTGCATGTGTGTGCGCGCGCGTGTGTGCGGGGTGTGCCGTGAGCGTGTGCCCGCGGTTCGGGGGATGAGTAGGGGCGCTGACTTTTAGGACCAGCCATTTGAGTCAAGCTGGAGACGACGTCTTAGAACCTAGGATGAGTCTCGTTTGGTTTTAGTCTGCAAAGCTCGTCTGCATCAGACAGGAATTTTCCCCAGACGCGGGTGCACGTGAATTAATTCATCAGAAGGCGGTTCACGGCCTGAGTGAGGGGGACGAGGGCGGCGAATTCCTCCGCCTCATTCCTACCCTGACGATTCGAGGTGGGTGAGAGGAAGGCGTGGGGCGGCTGGGTGCGTGGGGTGGGGGAAGGTCACCTCTTCGGCCTCTCTGGGCCCTCCAGCCTCTTCCTGAGAGGAGCTCGCCTCGGCCCCTTGGTTGGGGGGATGGGAGCGTCTCCGGAAGGCCCTCGGCCGAGCAGCTGGGCCTGCACCCCTGGTCCCTTCCAGTTCGTTTCTGCTGCGGCGGCAAGAGGCTGGGGAGCCGATGACTCACCCTGCCGGCTAATTGCAGCGTTAAATAACTTTGCGCCGGATTCGGTGGCTGCAGCAGGGAACGCGCTCCGGGCGCCGGGGGAGGTGGAGGGACGCCCTGAGAACGCACCTCCGTCCCTGTCACCAGCCTTAGCAAGTTCTGGCCTGTGGAGCCGTCATCCAGAGCGCACAGCTTCATGCCCTTGAAGGGCGCAGTGTGTCCCGTGGTGCCCGGTGGGCCCGGACAGAGACCCCAGAGGCTCTGTCTGAAGGAAGCTGCACCCACAGACTCCATCCAGGCAGCGCGGGCGCGGTCCTGTCGCCTACCTTTCTCGGAAGCCATCTGCCCATGTGAATCTATGTGAAGGCCCTTCATGCGCTCCTGGACATCTGCGTGGGATTTACTTCAACTGCTATCGCTGCGAGGAGGACGAGCATGTTTCACTGTATTTTTAGCAGAGAGTGCAGATTTTAGAACCTCGCGAACGGTCCTGTATCTCCTGCACGATGACTCTCCAGAACAGGAATAGTGACCCTTCCTTTGCATTTATGGTGCATAGGTTTTCAAAGGACAGTGTGTAAATCAGCTTGTGTAATAATTGTGGCACCCACGCGCGCAAGCAGACTTACCATGAGCTGACTTCCACTGATTATTTCAGTTTCCAGGGAAACGAGGTTTGCAGCCCCCTCCAGTGAGGGCGGAGCGGCCTCTCCATTCCCAATGCAGCAAGGCTGCTGCAGCCACGATGATTAGGCTTTGGAGGAGGAAGTGAACGGATGGGGCCTCATCCTCCTGCCTCCCTAAAGGGTGAGGGTGGAAGGATGGGGCTGTGCCCTCTTAGGGCAGGGAAAAACAGCTTGGAGGGGTTTCTGCCATCAGAGATCCCATAGGAGGCAGGTCAGTCCTGCAGAATTTCTCCCCAGTCTGGCCTCCAGCCTCCCTGGCCCCTTTCTAGAGGCCTCCATCCCACTGGCGGCTTGCTCCTGCCACCGGGCCTCTGCACAGTCACCTCCTGCAGCCTGGGGTGTGTCGCCTCTCCACGTCCTCACCGGCGTCTGCCTTTGCATTTCCCAGATGCTCGCTTCACCCCACTGAGATGTAACTCAGTTTTGTGGGATCCCACTGCCCTCCAGGTGCCGCTCCGAGTGCTCTACACAGATTTTCATTCAGTCCTTGCGGCACACGAAGGTAGGCGGCCCCACTGCCCTCACAGAGGCTTCCCATGCAGGAGCCAGTGACTGGCGGAGCGCCGCTCACACTCAGGCTCCGCGAACTGCCTCCCTGCCCTCCCCTGCCCCGGACAGACGGTCCTCCATAAGAGGCAGGATTTCCCTGTGGTCCAAAGGTGTGTGTCCCTGCCACATTGGGAGTTCAGCTCACTGCGGTCCTGTCCAGCTTGCCCCCGTCTCCCATCCACATCAGGATCTGGCTTTGCCCCAGCTATGTGGAATGAGTGCATGAACAAATGAATGGGTGGGTTGCTCCATCTTGTGACAGGACAGCAAAGTCAGCTGGTTCTGCTCCTACGGCGCTCAGGGTCAGGTGAGACAGGCCGGCCCGCAGGCAGACAGGCCCTCATCTCTGTATTGGGGGTGGGGAAGGGGCTCTGGCAGGGCGCATGCCCCAGCAGCAGGAACGTCAAGAGCAGAGGCCCTGGAGGAGACAGCCCGGAGCTGGCGCACAGTAAAGTCTTCAGATAGGAGGGGCAGAGTGAGGGTGCCACCGTCGGGCAGCAGGTGCCCACCCAGAAGGGTCTTTGAGCCTTGCGGGGAAGTTCAGACTTTACCCTGAGGATAAAGGAGGTCCTGGACCCGCAGGAGGATGCCCTGGTGGGTCTAGAAGGAGCCCTGCCACTGGGGAGCTGGTGGGGTTTCCGCCCTCACGGTGCAATCACAGGGTTGCCTGCTTATCTCCCCCGCCCTTTTCCCATCACTTCCTGAGACTCTGCAGATGGTCAGCAGTGTTCCTGAGTGGATGACATTGGGTGGGCAGAGAGAGGGGAGGGCAGTCTGTGGTCCCAGTCATGTAGAGCTTCCTTGTACAGTCTGTGGTCCCAGTCATGTAGAGCTTCCTTGTACAGTCTGTTGAGCTCACATACCCTCAATGGCCCTTCACTCACAGGGATGGCCTCTGCACTTCAGCTGGTTTCTGACACCTAAAAACAGAAGTGGAAAAGGGAGCAGACGCAGCCACATTTTGAAAGCTGATTCGGTTGCTTTCTGGCAGAATCCCTGCCCCCAAGCACCTGCCAGGCCCACCCATGAAGCCTCTTCCCACGCCTTAACTCTGCCCCATGAGGGGACCTCAAGCAGTTGCAGTCTAGTCAGGTGATTTGCAGAGCTCAGGGCTCAGGGAGGGGCACCCACCTCAGAAAAAAGCGCCGTGCTCATGAGAAATGACTTCTACAGGTTGTTGGGGAAAGAGGAGTTATTTTAAAGATCACAGAGCCCGTGATGTGCCAGGCGCACCCACACAGGGCATATAGTCCCCGCAGCTGCCTCTGTGCTGGGGCCACGTCACCGTCCTGTCCTAAAGACAAGCAATGTGAAGCCCAGAGATGGTATCTTAAAACAATCGTGTGGTTTTTTTCTGATTACAACAGCAATTGTGTTAATCCAACAATATTTTTCCTATCAACTGTAAACCTTATTTTAATATTTACATATTTATTAGCATTTAAAATTCAATCTCCTAGAATATTGACTTCAATTAGTTTGGCTGATTCTAATTTTTTTTTTCTAATTTGTTTATCACTTAACTTTTTAAGTACTTTTTTTTTTTAGACAGAGTCTTGCTCTGTCACCCAGGCTGGAGTGCAGTGGTGCAATCTCGGCTCACTGCAACCTCTGCCTCCTGGGCTCAAGCGATTCTCCTGCCTCAACCTCCCGAGTAGCTGGGACTACAGGCTCACACCACCATGCCCAGCTAATTTTTATATTTTTAGTAGAGATGGGGTTTCACCATGTTGTCCAGGCTGGTCTCGAACTCCTGACCTCAAGTGATCCCCCACCTCAGCCTCCCAAAGTGCTGGGATTACAGGTGTGAGCCACCGTGCCTGGCCTGTTTTTAGTACTTTTATCCTTTATCTTTTTAACTACGTAAGTACTCAACATTTTAAATTATTAATCTTCACCATGTTATTTCCAAGAACAATCACGATTGATCTTTCAGTTACACAGCCACGGTGTGTGCCTCTCTGTGTAACTCTGCACAGCTGGTGATTTACTGAAAGAACTTACTCTCATAAAACCACAGCCAGCGAGTTCTCAGAGACACAATAATGCACCTTAATTATGAGTTTAAAAGCTCTTGTCTTGTGAAATGTAATCGATCCACAGAAAAATCATAAAGTATACATGTAATAGCTTAATGACTTATAAATGAAGATCTGTATACTTCCCACTCGAAAAACGGAATATTGCAGGATTTGAGTACACAACCCGTACCTTTCCAACGACAGCCTCCCTCCCACCAGAGCTTCTGCTGAGTTCACTTGAAATCACTTCCTTGCATTTATTTATACTTTTATTACCTTGAGGTGCATCCCTAACCATTCTAGTTCGATTTTGCCTGGTGTTTGAACTTTATATTAATGGAATCATAGGACATAATTCTTATATCTCTGGTTTCTTTCATTCAACTTTGTGTCTGCGAAATGTATCCATGTTGCATGCAACGGGGGCTCATTCATCGCTGGTTACTGATTCACTGCATGAGTATGACACAGTTTATTAACCATTTCACTGCTGATGAACATTTGATCATTTCTAGTTTGGGAATATTATTAATAATTTTTGAACCTTCTTATTTGTGTGCCCTGATGTACATGGACATGCATTTTAGGGGTGTATACTTAGGGAAATTGCCGGTTCATGAGTAACACCTATCTTCAGGTATTACTTTTTGTGCCCTTTTATGCTGAACTACAATTTACGTGCAATACCAATCATTCATATTAAGTGTACAACTCAGTGAGTTTAGACAACTGGACACCTTGTTGTGAGTCACCACCACCGAGATGATCCAGCACTGTCCCAACTCCCCCCAAGTTCTCCTTTGCAGGCACCCTCTCCCTCCATTCTGGGCACAGGCAACCATGAACCACTATCTGTCACCGTAGCTTTAGTATAAAATTTCACATACATGGACTCAGGGAGCATAGAGTCTTTCCTGTCTGGCTTCTTTCCGCTGGCAAAATGCTTGGAGACTTTTCCACGTTGCTGCATGAATCAATGGATCATTTGTTTTCGTGGCTGAGCAGAATTCCACCAACATTTGTTTACTCATCCATGAAATGATGGACATTTGGTGTTTTTCCATTGAGATTGTTATGAATAATGCTGCTATTGTCATTCAAGGACAAGTCTTCTGTGAACATCTGTTTTCACTTCTCTTGGGTACATCCTTAGAAGTGGTATTGCTGGACTGTATCAAAAGTTAATATTTAACTTTCAGGAAACTTACAAACTGTTTTCCAGAGTGGCTGTACCATTTTGCATTCCCAGACCGAAGTGTGAAAGCTCCAGATGCCCCACGCCCTCACCAGCCCACGGTGTTGTCAGCCTTAATAGTGCTGACCATTCTGGTGGGTTTGCAGTGTATCTCATTGTGTTTTAATTTGCATTACCTTGACAACTAATGGCGTTGAGACTTTCATATATCTTTAGTAAAGAGTCCTTCCAAATCCTCTGCCGATTTTTTAAAAATTGGGTTGTCTTCTTGTAATTGAGTTGTAAGAATTCTTTATACGTTCTGAACATGTTATTTATTGGATAAATGTTTCGCAAGTATTTTCTCCCAGTCTTTGACCTACTTTTTCATCTTCTTATCAAGAGCTTTTAAAAAGCAAAACTTTACATTTTGATGACATCCAATTATTACTTTTTTCTTTTATGTTTTTTGTGTATTATTTAGGAAATAATTGTCTGAACCAAGATTACAAATATTTTCTTGTCTTTCAGAAGTTTTGTGGTTTTAGCTCCTAAGTGTACATCTGTGATCCATTTTGAATTAATTTTTGTATATGGTATGATGTAATGGTCAAGGTTTTTATTTTTGCATATGGATATACAGTTGTTCCAGTACCATTTCTTGAAAATAATTACCAGTACCATTAAGTTACCTTGGTACTTTTATTGAAAATCAATTGACTCTCAGTTCTGACCCATCGACTTATATGTCTGTTTTTTTTTGTTTTTTTTTTTTTTTTGAGATGGAGTCTCACTCTGTTGCCCAGGCTGGAGTGCAGTGGTGCTGTCTGGGCTCACTGCAACCTCTGCTCCCAGGTTCAAGCGATTCTCCTACCCCAGCCTCCTGAGTAGCTGGAATTACAGGCATGTGCCACCACACCCAGCTAATTTTTGTATTTTTAGTAGAGACGGAGTTTCACCATGTTGGTTAGGCTGGTCTTGAACTCCTGACCTCGTGATTCACCTGCCTCGGCCTCCCAAAGTGCTGGGATTACAGGCGTGAGCCACCGTGCCTGGCCATGTCTGTTCTTATGCTAACATCACAGTATCTGGATTATTGTAGCTCCATAATGAATGCTGGAATCAGGTAATGTGAGTCCTCCAACATTTTTACTCTTTTTCAAAATAATTTGACTATTTTAGGTCCTTTGCATGTCCATACAGATTTTAGACTCAGCTTGTCAATTTCTACCCAAAAATGTCTGATTGAGATTGTATTGAACCTATATCTTAATTTGGGGATAATTAGTATGTTAGCAATATTGAATCTTCTAACCTACATTTACTTAGTCTTCATTAATTTATCTCATCAATATTTTGTAGTTTTCAGTGCACAGGCTTTGCACACATTTTGTTAAATTTCCCTATAAGGATTTCATATTTTTATATTTTTCATTTTGTAAATGTTAATTTAAAGGAATAAGACACCCTCTTTTTTTTCTTTCTTTTTTTCTGGTTTTTTTGTTTGTTTGTTTGTTTTGTTTTTATAGAGACAAGGTCCCACTATTTTGCCCAGGCTGGTCT
Source organism: Homo sapiens (assembly GCF_000001405.40). Taxonomy (NCBI): domain Eukaryota; kingdom Metazoa; phylum Chordata; class Mammalia; order Primates; family Hominidae; genus Homo; species Homo sapiens. The sequence goes on from NC_000004.12 coordinate 583,639, forward strand.
CGAACTCCTGGGCTCAAGCAGTCCTCCCACCTCAGCCTCTCAAAGTGCTGGGATTACAGGCAGGAGCCACCACACCTGGCCAGATACCCTCATTAGATTTTTGTGTCTATTCTGATTTCTTTAAAGTAACATTTACTTTAATAAATGTTACTATATAAACATATAGCATTAATATAAAATTGTTTGTTACTGGTACATATAAATACAATTAACTTTTTAGATTGCCCTCTTACCCTGTGACCTTGTTAAATTCACTAATTCTAGCAGCCGCTTTTGTGTATTTGGTAAGATTTTCTACATAGACAATCATGCCACAGGTAAATAGAACCCATTTTACTGCTTCCTTTCCAAGCTGCATGCTTTTTTTTTTTCTTGCTTTATTGCATTGGCTAGGTCCTCATGCATAATAGTGAATAGAAGTAATGAGAGTAAACACCCTTGCCTTGTTTCTTGTCTTAGTGGGAAACCATTTGGTCTTTCACCCTTAAGTATAATGTAAGCTGTAGTTTTTTTGTAGATGCCTTTTATCAGGTTGAAATCTATTTCTGTTTTGAGTGTTTTTATCATGAACCGTTGATGAATCTTGTCAAATGCTTTTTTCCTCGTCTTTTGAGATTATCATATGGTTTTTCTTTTTCAGCCTGTTAATATGATGAATTACACTGATTCAGTTTCAAATGTCCAACCAAGCTTGCACTCCAGAGATGAAGCCCACTTGATCACATGGATTATTCTTTTAATATATGATGGATACGACTTGGCTGTTCTTTTGTTGAGGATTTTTGTGTTTATGTTAATGAGGATATTATTTGTAGTTTTCTTTTCTTGTAATGTTTTTGTCTTTGTTCAGTGTCAGAGTAATGCCAACTTCATAAAGTGAGCTGGGAAGTACTCCCTCATTTTCTGTTTTCTGTGAAAGAATTGTATAGAATTGATGTTATTTCTTCCTTAAGTGTTGAGTAGAATTCACTTGCAAAGCCATCTGAGGTTGACATCTTCTTTGGGAATGACTTTAGCTATAAATTCAATTTATTTAACAGATATAGGGCTATTAAGGTTATTTAATTTTTTTCTTGAATGAGCTTTAGTGTCCTGTGTTTTTCAAGGAATTTTTCCATTTTATTTAAGTTTTTAGATTTGTTGGCATAAAGTTATCCCAATATTTCCTTAGAAGTTGTGACTTTTACTGCATATAAAACATACCTCAATAAAGCTAATACATACATATATATATATGAATCATTTCTGGCCAGGTACAGTGGCTCATGCCTGTAATCCCAGCACTTTGGGAGGCAGAGGCAGGTGGATCACCTGAGATCAGGTGTTCCAGACCAGCCTGGCCAACATGGGAAACCTGTCTCTACTAAAAATACAAAAATTAGCCAGGTGTGGTGGCATGCCCCTGTAATCCCAGCTACTTAGGAGGCTGAGACAGAAGAATCGCTTGAATCCGGGAGGTGGAGTTTGCAGTGAGCTGAGATTGCACCACTGCACTCCAGCCTGGGCAACAGACTGAGACTCCATCTCAAAAAAAAAAAAAAAAATCCCTTTTTATCTAAAGGATCTGTAGTGAAGTCCCCTCTTTCATTTCTGATATTGGTAATTTGTGGGGTTTTTTTGTTTTTGTTTTTGTTTTTGAGATGGAATCTCGCTCTGTCACCCAGGCTGGAGTGCAATGGTGCAATCTCAGCTCACTGCAACCTCCGCCTCCCGGGTTCAAGTGATTCTCCTGCCTCAGCCTCCCAAGTAGCTGGGACTACAGGTGCCCACCACCATGCCTGGCTAATTTTTGTATTTTTAGTAGAGACGGGGTTTCACCATGTTGGCCAGGATGATCTTGATCTCTTGACCTTGTGATCTGCCCGCCTCAACCTCCCAAAGTGTTGGGATTACAGGCGTGAGCCACAGGGCCCGGCCTCGTGTGTTCTCTTTTTTCTTAATTTGGTTAGAGATTTATCAGTGTTATTGATCATCTCAAAAAACTAGTTTTTGGTTTCATCATTATCTTCATATTTTGTTTTCTATTCATTGATTTCTGTACTCTTGCTTATTATTTCCTTTTTCTGCTTACTTTGGCTTTCGTTGCCTTTCTTTCTCTAGTTCTCATTTGAGACCTTTCTTTTTTTCTTATATAATTTTTAATGCTATAAATTTTGCTTTAAACATTTCCTTAATTATATTCCACAATTTTCCTTATGTTATGTTTTTATTATTATTCTGGTAAAAATATTTCCTAGTGATATTTGTGATTTCTTCTTTGACTCATTGGTGTTTAGAAGTGAGTTAACTTCTAGAGACATTTGGGGTCCTTTCTAGATTAGTTGTTGCAGATTCCTAATTTATGACTGTTGTGGTCTGGAAACACTCTGCAAGATATTGATCTTTTGAAATCTGTTGAGACAAGCACGTGGCCTGTCCTGACGAATGTTTCACATACAGTTGGAGAGAGTGTGCGTTCTGAAGTTGTTGCTGATTATTTTCTCTAAGTGTCAATTCAGTTTAGTTCGTAGTGTCATTTGAATCTCCTGTATACCTTTTTCTTTTTGTCTACTTGTTGTATTACTGAGAACAGCATGTTAAAATCTCCAGCTATTATTGTAGATTTTCTATTTTTCCCTTTGGTTTTACTAGTTTTTGTTCATATATTTTGGCATTCTGTTATCAGATGTGTATATGTTTGTAATTGTTGTCTCTTCCTATTGTATTGAGCAGGAACTATCCTTTTTGTCTTATAATACTCATTCTATTGAAGAATATTTTGTGTGCTATTAATACAGCTACTACAGGCCATGTGCAGTGTGGCTCGTGCCTGTAATCCCAGCCCTTTGAGAAGCCAAGGCAGGAGGATTGCTTGAGGCCAGGAGTTTGAGACCAGCCTGGGCAACACAGTGAGACTCCCATCTCTAAAAAAAAAAAACATGTTTAGGACATCAGCCAAGCATAATGACATATGCCTGTGGGTCCTACAGAGGAAGCCCAAGCAGGAGGCAGCTGAAGCAGGAGGATCTACATAGGAGGCTGAAGTGGATAGCTTGAATCTAAGAGTCGGAGGTTACAGTGAACTCTGATCACACCACTGCACTCCAGACTGAACAACAACAGAACAACGCCCTGTCTTAAAACACACATGCAGAGCCAGGCACAGTGGCTCATGCCTGTAATCCCAGCACTTTGGGAGGCTGAGGTGGGCAGATCACAAGGTCAGGAGTTTGAGACCATCCTGGCTAACACGGTGAAACCCCGTCTCTACTAAAAATAGAAAAATTAGCCGGACGTGGTGGCGGGTGTCTGTAATCTGAGCTACTCAGGAGGCTGAGGCAAGAGAATGGCGTGAACCCGGGAGGTGGAGCTTGCAGTGAGCTGAGATCATGCCATTGCACTCCAGCTGGGCGACAGAGCAAGACTCTGTCTAAAAAAAAAAAAAAAAGCACATGCACACTCACACGCACATTCAGCTATGATGGCTTTCTTATGCTAGCTGTTTGCGTGGTATATTATTTTCCATCCTTAAATTTTAATTTCCACCTCTTTCTGTCTCTTGAAGACAACATAAGGTTGGTTCTTGCTTTCTTAAGTCAGTCTGACCATTTGTGCCTTTTGCTTGGGATACTTCATTTATGTTTGATGCAATTATTTAAATGGTTATAGTTACATGATATTCTCTATCTGTCTCATCTGTGTTTTGTTCCTCAGTTTATTCTTTCTTGCCTTCTTATTCATTCATTAATGTTATATTTTCTTTGGACATATTTTTCTTCATTCATTGGTGGAAGTAAATTTCCATATCATTATTTTATCCATTAAGGCCAAGCTGCACTGTGTTTGTTCAAATTTACATTCCCACCTAGGTCCCTTTCTCAGTTACCTTTTTCAATCTTTTAACTTTTGTTTTTTTTTTTTAATTTTATGTTTCTCTATAGTTTTCTGGTTATATCCATTCTATCTCCTTCTATATATTCTTATTTTATAAGTGGTGGGCAACAAGCATGCCCACAGACATGACGCGAAGCAGAAAGCTGACCGTGAGAGTGACGAGAGGAGGCCTATCCCTGCTGCCTTGCCCTGGAGCTGCTCCTCTGGTAGCTTGAATCCATTTCTTTCACATCCAGTCTTCATCCCTCAGCAACCCAACTGGAGCCACTCAAGACCCATGAGCCAGATGGACGACCATCGTTATTCTGGGGCAGGCAGCAGCTTCCAAGAAGATGGCCTTGCAATTCCAGGTCACGACTGCGTGCTGCCTTCGGAGGAACGACTCACCACAAATCCAGATTCTGCTGTGCGTGGCCGTCAAATGTGAGGCCATCTGGGGACGTGTCACGGGGACTGGGGTGGACATAAGTCACCTTTCTAGCTACCTGTTGGATAACCTTTCTATATTTGATGACAAGTAGTACCTGACTTCCGGACCTGGAGTTTGAAGCTCAGTTTCCAGCTGCCCTGAAACATGCTTGGGAGACTGACTTGGAAGACAGAACGGCAAGGAAGCGGCGTCTCAGCGTCACTTCCCGCGGGGAGGGGCAGCGTTTGGCGTCTTCTGAGGCTGACTTCTCAGCAGAGGATCCCTGTGCCTGAGGCCGCGGTGCCCAGAGGTGCCAGGTGGGGCGGGGGATATGGTAACTGGGAAACATAGCCCCGAGCCCAGCTACTGCCCCTCTTAGCTAGGTGGCGAGGATTCAGTAGTTTGCAGGACTATGCCTGACACTGTGCCTGGGCGTGGTCTGGGCAGTCTCTTCACATCATCCGCGAAGGCATCTGGGCTTTTTCCTGTCTGTCAGCGGATGACTCCTTCCTCCGTCGTCCCTCCACGCGTGCGGCCATCTTTTCAGCAAAGGCATCTGGGCTTTTTCCCGTCGGTCAGCGGGTGAGTCCTTCCTCCGTTGTCCCTCCACGCGTGCGGCCATCTTTTCAGCAAAGGCATCTGGGCTTTTTCCCGTCGGTCAGCGGGTGACTCCTTCCTCCGTTGTCCCTCCATGCTGCGGCCATCTTTTCAGCAAAGGCATCTGGGCTTTTTCCTGTCGGTCAGCGGGTGACTCCTTCCTCCGTCGTCCCTCCATGCGTGCGGCCATCTTTTCAGGAAAGGCATCTGTGCTTTTTCCTGTTGGTCAGCGGGTGACTCCTTCCTCCGTCGTCCCACCATGCGTGCGGCCATCTTTTGTTGCGTGCCTACACTGTCGATGTCAGGCTGGGGACACACAGGACCGACCGAGCATGGTGAGATCTAGAATTTATGCCTCATTCAGTTAATGTTCTTTAGATATTTGTTCAACATTTATTTGGTAAGAAGTGGGTAAAAGTTTCCACTGATAAAGACCTTACACTTTCTCAGTAACCTATGTACCAGCTGTCCTTTCGCTCACATCTTTGAGCTTTTCTCCCTGTATTAGTCAGGGTTCTCTAGAGGGACAGAGCTCATAGGATAAATGTATATGAAGGGGAGTTTATTAGGAGACTTGACTCACACGATCACAGGTGAAGTCCCACAGTAGGCCGAATGCAAGCTGAGGAGCCAGGAAGCCAGTCCAAGTCCCCAAACCTCAAATGTAGGGAAGCTGACAACACAGCCGTGTCTGTGGCCAAAGGCCCAGGAGCCCCGGGCAAACCACTGGTGTTAAGTCCAAGAGTCCCAGAGCTGAAGAGCTTGGAGTCTGATGTTTGAGGGCAGGAAGCATCCAGCACGGGAGAAAGATGGAGGCTGAGGCCGTAAGACTCAGCCGGTCCAGTCCTTCCACGTTCCCCTGCCTGCTTTTATTCTGGCCGTGCTGGCAGCTGATTAGACGGTGCCCACCAGGATTGAGGGTGAGTCTGCCTTTCCCAGCCCACTGACTCAAATGTTAATCTCCGTTGGCAACGTCCTCACAGACACACCCAGGATCAATATTTTGCATCCTTCAATCCAATCAAGTTGACACTCAATATTAACCATCACACTCCCCAGCTCAAAAAAGCAGAGAAAGAACACAACTCGACTTTCTCAGGAGTGTTTGTGAGCAGAACTTGCTTAGGATTGCAGGGGTACGGTGGTTTCTAGGTCCACAGCACCTCCGGAGAAATTTCCATTATCTTTCCTCCTGCCACGCCTCCCTTCCAGCCTCAGGAAGACGGGCCTCCCACCTCTCAACCCCACTGTTCAGTCTTCCCAGCTCCTCCTTTCTGGATTTCCCTCAGGTCTCCTCCCGTCCCCTCCGTAATGCAGGGCAGCTCAGCTCTGTCCTCCCAGCTCCTGTCTTCAAGCTTGAGCAGCTCCCTCCAGCATCTCCAGGTCATCAGACACCACCTTAGAAAGTTGTGGGGATATTTTTAAAATGGATTTTTCTTTTGTAAGTTCAAGTTTAAGGGAGTCGGATTACTCGCTAGTTTTTCTATTTCTGCGTAACAAATTATCACCATTTTAGTAACTTAAAACAACACAAAGGCATTTTCTCCACTTTCTTCTTTTTCTTTTTTCTTTTTTTTTTGTTTTTGTTTGAGACGGCGTCTCACTCTGTCACCAGGCTGGAGTGCAGTGGCACCATCTCGGCTCACTGCAACCTCCACCTCCCAGGTTCAAGTGATTCTCCTGCCTCAGCCTCCCGAGTAGCTGGGATTACAGGCACCCACCACCATGCCCAGCTAATTTTTGTATTTCTGGTGGAGACAGGGTTTCACCATGTTGGCTAGGCTGGTGTCAAACTCCTGACCTCAGGTGATCCACCTGTCTCGGCCTCCCAGAGTGCTGGGATTCCAGGCATGAGCCACCATGCCCGGCCCTCTCTCCACTTTCTATGGGGTCAGTTGGGTCCTCTGCCCCTTGCACCTCCAGGCCAAAATTAAGGCGTCGCCCAGAGCTGTGATCTCATCTGAGGCACAAGGGTCTCTTCCAGGGTTGTTCTGGTTGTTGATTTGTCAACGATCAGTTGTAGGGCCGAGGCCCTCACCCCTTCCAGAAGTCACCACCCTTCCCAGGTGGCCCACATGGGCCAGTCTGCATCCTTCCACTCCTGCTTCTGCTCGCTCCTCTCAGGGCTCACCTGATGAGGTCAGGCCCACCAGAGGAGCCCAGGAGCCAGTGTGTGCTGGAGTCGACGTGCATTGGCTCCCGGAGTGGAAAGCTGCACTGCCAGGAGCTTTGCTGTTAGATACAGACATTGCTGAAAAGTAAATGATACGCACTTACAATGAAATAAAGCTTACTTAAAACATAGGTAATAAATACTCGAAGCCATTACTTTCTAATTATTTTACTACATTTTACATCGCCTGCATTCCTGAGATCACTGACATCAGCTGTATCTGTAGGGGTAAAAGCTGTAATGGGCTACCACGGTCTCTTCCTAGCACCATGCTCAGTGACTTTTTGTGTGTGGCTCCAAGTTGGCCATGAGGGGGGCATTTACACCACAGAAATTGGCAAATGCTACAAATGCGGCTGGGTTGTTGCTTTATTGACTGTCTAGATTTAATGAAGTTATGGGAAAATATGAGTAATGTAGATTAAATTTAAACGTGTGTTGTGGCTGTAACCATTACATTGTGAATACTACCAAAAATCAGGGAAATGTTCTTCCAGTATTAGAAAGTGACTCAGGAGAGGCACTCATGTCATTGATGAAGTGACGTTCCAATGTCTTTGTGATTTCAATTACCTTTTACTTATTAACATAAATGAAAGTATGAACCACGTTCAACTCAGAACTGCACTGTTCATTAATAATGTGAGGAAGCTCTCAGCTGGGTCAGATGATAATCAGGCATTTATACAAAGCCTGTTTTTGTGACACCATTATTGGTGATACAATTATAAAAATGGAGAGTGGCCCAGGTGCAGTGGCTCACGGCTGTAATCCCGGCACTTTGGGAGACTGAGGTGGGCAGATCACTGGAGGTCAGGAGTTTGAGAGCAGCCTGGCCAACATGGCGAAACCCCGTCTCTACTAAAACTACAAAAATTAGTCAGGTGTGGTGGTGTGCACCTGTAATCCCAGCTACTTGGGAGGCTGAGGCAGGAGAATTGCTTGAACCCCGGGGCCAGAGGTTGCAGTGAGCCAAGATCGTGCCACTGCACTCCAGCCTGGGTGACAGAGTGGGGCTCCGTCTCAAAACCAAACAAAAAACTGAGAGTGGATTTTGTAAGAAATAGCAAGTCACACTGGAGTGATAGGTACAAAACAAAAAACAGATAAGAATTTTAGCTTAAAATATATGTTTTTTGTTTTTTTTTTTTTTGAGACGGAGTCTCAGTTTGTCGCCCAGGCTGGAGTGCAGTGGCGCGATCTTGGCTCACTGCAACCTCTGGCCCGGGGTTCAAGCAATTCTCCTACCTCAGCCTCCCGAGTCGCTGGGACTACAGGCGCCTGCCACCATGCCCGGCTAATTTTTTGTATTTTTAGTAGAGACGGGGTTTCACTGTGTTAGCCAGGATGGTCTTGATCCTCTGACCTCGTGATCCGCCCGCCTCTGCCTCCCAAAGTGCTGGGATTACAGGCGTGAGCCACCATGCCCGCCCTGTTATTTCTAAAATTATATGAAGAAATTACTGATGGAAATTTTTATGTTAAACTCTCAAATAGTAGCATGTATTTTAATAACATAAAATTATTTTTCAAATTTTTATCCCTAACCCACCAAGAAAACAGAATAACTTATGTTTTTTAAGTGTGACGATGGTAAAAACAGACAGAGAAAAGAATCCTGGAGGTGGGGGGGTCAGCCCCCCGCCCAGCCAGCCGCCCCGTCCGGGAGGTGAGGGGTGCCTCTGCCCGGCCGCCCCTGCTGGGAAGTGAGGAGCCCCTCTACCCGGCCACCACCCTGTCTGGGAAGTGTGCCCAGCGGCTCATTGAGAACGGGCCATGATGACAGTGGCGGTTTTGTGGAATAGAAAAGGGGGAAAGGTGGGGAAAAGATTGAGAAATCGGATGGTTGCCGTGTCTGTGTAGAAAGAGGTAGACATGGGAGACTTTTCATTTTGTTCTGTACTAAGAAAAATTCTTCTGCCTTGGGATCCTGTTGATCTGTGACCTTGCCCCCAACCCTGTGCTCTCTGAAACAAGTGCTGTGTCCACTCAGGGTTAAATGGATTAAGGGCAGTGCAAGATGTGCTTTGTTAAACAGATGCTTGAAGGCAGCATGCTCGTTAAGAGTCATCACCACTCCCTAATCTCAAGTACCCAGGGACACAAACACTGCAGAAGGCCGCAGGGTCCTCTGCCTAGGGAAGCCAGAGACCTTTGTTCACTTGTTTATCTGCTGACCTTCCCCCCACTATTGTCCTATGACCCTGCCAAATCCCCCTCTGCGAGAAACACCCAAGAATGATCAATAAAAAAAAAGAAAAAAGAAAAGAATCCTGGTGCCCTTCACTCATGCACTTGCTTATTGACTTGTTACTGTCAGGCAGCCAGGGGTTGCTCTAGGCCTTGGGGTACAGCAGTTTGCAAAATGACAGGGCTCCTGCTCACTGGAGGAGCGTGGCGGGAGAGATGGAGATGAATCACATCTTCACAAAAATACACAGTTGCAGACTGTTAAGTCCAGCTGCTGAAACATACAGGAGCACATGGCAGGGGATGCTGTTGCATGGGGGCTGGGTGGCGTCCCCTTCGCACATGTGTCCCTAAGCCTCAGCCCTTGATTCTGTCCCTTCTGTCTACACTCACTCCCTTGGTGACCTCATCTAGTTTCTTTCTTTCTTTCCTTCTTTCTTTCTTCCTTCCTTTCTTTCTTTTTCTTTCCTTCCTTCCTTCTTTCTTCCTTCCTTCCTTCCTTCCTTCCTTCCTTCCTTTCCTCTTTCTTTCTTTCATTCTTTCAACATTTGAAGGTTATTTTTTTTTCTTTAGCTTTTAAGTTCAAGGGTACCTGTGCAGGATGTGCAGGTTTGTTTCATGGGTAAATGTGTGCCATGGTGGCTTGCTACACAAACCATCCCATCCCCTAGGTAAGAAGCCCGGCATCCATTAGCTATTCCTCCTGATGCTCTCCCTCGCCCTACCTGCCACCACCCTCCAACAGGCCCCAGTGTGTATTGTTGCCCCCCACCCCGTGTCCATGCATTTTCATCATTCAGCTCCCACTTGTAAGTGAGAATACGTGGTATTTGGTTTTCTGTTCCTACATTAGTTTGCTGAGGATAATGGCTTCCAACTCCATCCAGGTCCCTGCAAAAGGACATGATCTCATTCCTTTTGATGGCTGCATAATATTCCATAGTATAAATGTACCACATTTTCTTTATCCAGTCTATCGTCAGTGGTCATTTAGGTTGATTTCATGTCTTTGCTATTGTGAATAGTGCTGCAATGAACATATGTGTGTATGTATCTTTATAATAGAATGATTTATATTCTTTCTTTTTTTTTTTTGAGACGGAGTCTCACTCTGTCACCAGGCTGGAGTGCAGTGGCACGATCTCTGCTCACTGCAACCTCCACCTCCTGGGTTGAAGCAATTCTCCTGGCTTAGCCTCCTGAGTAGCAGGGACTACAGGTGCTTGCCACCGTGCCCAGCTAATTTTTGTATTTTTAGGAGAGACAGGGTTTCACCATGTTGTCCAGGATGGTCTTGATCTCTTGACCTTGTGATCCACCCACTTCAGCCTCTCGAAGTGCTGGGATTACAGGCGCGAGCCACCGCGCCCGGCCAGAGTGATTTATATTCTTTTGAGTATACACCCATTAATGGGGTTGCTGGGTCGAATGGTATTTCTGCCTCTACGTCTTTGTGGAATTGCCACACTGTCTTCCACAATGGTTAAACTAATTTACACTCCCACCAACAGTGTAAAAGCATTCCTTTTTCTCCTCAATCTTGCCAGCATCTCTTGTTTTTTGACTTTTTAATAACAGTCAGACTGGTGTGAGATGGTATCTCACTGTGGTTTTGATTTGCATTTCTCTAGTGATCAGTCATGTTCAGCTTTTTTTCATAGGTTTATTGGCCACATGTGTGTCTTCTTTTGAAAAGTGTCTGTTCATGTTATTTGCCCACTTTTTAATGGAGTTGTTTTTTTCTCATAAATTTAAGTTCCTTGTAGACTCTGGATATTAGATCTTTGTCAGTTGGATAGATTGCAAAAATTGTCTCCCATTCTGTAAGTTGTCTGTTCACTCTGATGCTAGTTTCTTTTGCTGTGCAGAAGCTCTTTAGTTTAATTTGATCCCATTTGTCAATTTTTCCTTTTGCTGCTATTGCTGTTGGCATTTTGGTCATAAAATCTTTGCCCGTGACTATGTCCTGAATGGTATTGCCTGAATTTTCTTCTAGGGTTTTTATAGTTTTGGGTTTTATAATACATTTAAGTCTTTAATCCATCTTGAGTTAATTTTTGTATAAGGTATAAAGAAGGGGTCCAGTTTCAATTTTCTGCATATGGCTAGCCAACTCTCCTAGTACAATTTATTAAATAGGGAATCCTCTCCCCATCGCTTGTTTTTGTCAGGTTTGTCAAAGATCAAATGGTTGTAGATGTGTGGTCTTATTTCTGAGTTTTCTATTCTGTTCCATTGGTCTGTGTGTCTGTTCTTCTACCAGTATCATGCTGTTTTGGTTACTGTAGCCTTGTAGTATAGTTTGAAGTTGGGTAGCATGATGCCTCCAGCTTTGTTCTTTTTGCTTAGGATTGTCTTGGCTATTTGGGTTCTTTTTTGGTTCCATGTGAACTTTAAAATAGTTTTTTTTTTTTTTCTAATTTTGTGAAGAATGTCCATGGTGGTTAGATGGGAATAGCATTGGATCTATAAATTACTTTGGGCAGTATGGCCATTTTCATGATATTGATTCTTCCTATCCATGAGCATGGAATGTTTTTCCATTTATTTGTGTCATCTCTGATTTCTTTGAGCAGTGGCTTGTAGCTCTCCTTGAAGAGGTCCTTCACTTCCCTTGTTAGCTGTATTTTTTTTGTGGCAGTTGTGAATGGGAGTTCATTCATGATTTGGTTCTCTGCTTGCCTGTTGTTGGTATATAGGAATGCTAGAGATTTTTGCACATTGATTTTGTATCCTGAGACTTTGCTGAAGTTGTTTATCAGTTTAAGAGGGTTTGGGGCTGAGACAATAGGTTTTTCTAGATATAGAATTATGTCATATGCAAACAAAGATAATTTGACTTCCTTTCTTCCTGTTTGAATACGCTTTATTTCTTTTTCTTGCCTGATTGCCCTGGTCAGAACTTCCAGTACTATGTTGATATTGAACAGGAGCGGTGAGAGAGGACATACTTGTCTTGTGCTGTTTTTCAAGGGGAATGCTTCCTGCTTTTGCGCATTCAGTGTGATATTGGCTGTGAGTTTGTCATATATGGCTTTTATTATTCTGAAGTATGTTCCTTCAATACCTAGTTTATTGAGAGTTTTTAACATGAAGGGATGTTGAATTTTATCATGGCCTTTTCTGCATCTATTGAGATAAATACGTGGTTTTTGTCTTTGGTTCTGTTTATGTGATGAATCAGTTATTGATTTGTGTATGTTGACCCAGCCTTGCATCTCTGAGGTGAAGCCAACTTGATTTTGGTGGATAAGCCTTTTGATGTGCTGCTGGATTTGTTTGCCAGTATTTTATTGAGGATTTTTGCATCAATGTTTGTGAAGGATATTGGCCTCAAGTTTTCTTTTTTTCTTGTATCTCTGCCAGGTTTGGGTATCAGGATGATGCTGGCCTCACATAATGAGTTAGGAAGGAGTCCCTCCTTTTCAATTTTTTTTGAATAGATTCAGTAGAATAGTACCAGCTCTTCTTTGAACCTCTGGTAGAATTCAGTTGTGAATCTGGTCCTGGGCCTTTTTTGCTTGGTAGGCTGTTTATTATTGCCTCAATTTTAGAACTCGTTATTGGTCTATGTAGGGATTCAATTTCTTCCTGGTTCAGTCTTGGGAGGGTATACGTGTCCAGGAATGTATCCATTTCTTCTAGATTTTCTAGTTTATGTGCATAGAGGTATTTCTAGTATTATTTGATAGGTGTTTGTATTTCTGTGGGGTCAGTGGTGATATCCTCATTATTTCTGATTGTGTTTATTTGATTCTTCTCTCTTCTCTTCTTTATTAGTCTAGCTAGTGGTCTATCTATTATATTAATTTTTTCAAAAAACCAGCTCCTGGATTCGTTGATTTTCTTGAAGGGTTTTGGGCATCTCTATCTTCTTCAGTTCAGCTCTGATCTTGGTTATTTCTTGTCTTCTGCTAGCTTTGGGTGGGGCTTGTTTGCTCTTGGTTCTCTAGTTCTTTTAGTTGAGATGTTAGGTTGTTAACTTGAGATTTTTCTAGCTTTTCAGTGTGGGCATTTAGTGCTATAAATTTCCCTAACACTATTTTAGCTGTGTCTCAGAGATTCTGGTACATTGTCTCTTGTTCTCACTAGTTTCAAAGAACTTCTTGATTTCTGCCTTAATTTCATTATTAAGAGTCATTCAGGAGCAGGTTGTTCAGTTTCCATGTAGTTCAGTGGTTTTGAGTGAATTTCTTAATCTTGAGTTCTAATTTGATTGCACTGTGGTCTGAGAGACTATTATGATTTCAGTTCTTTTCCATCTGATGAGTTGTGTTTTGCTTCCAATTATGTGATCAATTTTAAAGTAAGTGCCATGTGGCAATGAGACGAATGTGTATTCTGTTATTTTGGGGTGGATAATTCTGTAGGTATCTATCAGATCCACTTGATCCAGAGCTGAGTTTAGGTCCTGAATATCTTTGTTAATTTTCTGTCAATGATCTGTCTAATATTGTCAGTGGGGTGTTAAAGTCTTCCACTATTATTGTGTGAGAATCTAAGGCTCTTTGTAGATCTCTAAGAACTTCCTTTATGAATCTAGGTGCTCCTGTATTTGATGCATATATATTTAGGATAGTTAGTTCTTGTTGAAATGAACCCTTTACCATTGTGTAATGCCCTTCTTTGTCTTTTTTGCTTTTTGTTGGTTTAAAGTCTGTTTTGTCGAAAACTAGGACTGCAACCTCTGTTTTTTTCTGTTTTCCATTTGCTTGGTAAATTTTTATCCATCCTTTTATTTTGAGCCTACATGTATCTTTGCATGTGAGGTGGGTCTCTTTATTTTATTATTATTATTTATTTTTTTTTTTTAGATGGAGTCTCACTCCGTCACCCAGGCTGGAGTGCAGTGGCATGATCTCAGCTCACTGCAAGCTCTGCTTCCCGGTTCATGCCATTCTCCTGCCTTAGCCTCCTGAGTAGCTGGGACTACAGGCACCTGCCACCACGCCCGGCTAATTTTTTGTATTTTTTTCTGATGGGTCTTGGCTCTTTGTCCAGCTTGCTACTCTGTGTCTTTTAATTGGGGCATTTAGCCCATTTACATTTAAGGTTAATATTGTTTTGTGTGGATTTGATCCTGTCATCATGATGCTAGATGGTTATTTTGCAGACTTGCTTATGTGGTTGCCTCATAGTGTCACTGGTCTGTGTATTTCAGTGTGTCTTTATAGTGGCTGGTAACAGTTTTTCCTTTCCACATTTAGTGCTTCCTTCAGGAGCTCTTGCAAGGTAGGCCTGGTGGTGACGAATTCTCTCAGCATTTGCTCGTCTGAAAAAGATCTTATTTCTCCTTTGCTTATGACACTGGGTTTGGCTGGATATGAAATTCTGGGTTGGAAATTCTTTTCTTTAAGAATGTTGAATATTGGCCCCCAATCTCTTCTGGCTTGTAGGGTTTCCAGTGAGAGGCCCACTGTTAGTCTGATGAGTTTCCCTCTGTAGGTGGCCTGGCCTTTCTCTCTGGCTGCTCTTAACACTTTTTCTTTCATTTCAACCTCGGAGAATCTGATGATTATTTGTCTTGGGGTTGATCTTCTCATACAGTATCTTACTGGGGTTCTCTGCATTTCCTGAATTTGAATGTTGGCCTGTCTTGCCAGGTTGGGGAAGTTCTCCTGGATGATATCCTAAAGTATGTTTTCCAATTTGGTTCCATTCTCTCCATTTCTTTCAGGTACCCCACTCAGCTGTAGGTTTGGTCTCTTTACATAATCCCGCATTTCCCAGAGGTTTTTTTCATTGCTTTTCATTCTTGTTTTTTTCTGTTCTTGTCTGCCTATCTTACTTCAGAAATATAGTCTTCAGGCTCTAAGATTCTTTCTTCTACCTGGCCTATTCTGCTATGGGTACCCGTGGTTGCATTGAGAAGTTCTCAGGTTGTTTTCAGCTCCATCAGGTCAGTTGTGTTTCTCTCTAAACCGGGTATTCTGGCTGTCAGCTCCTGTACTGTCTTATCGTGATTCTTAGCTTCTTTGCGTTGGGTTACAAACGCTCCTTTAGCTCAGCGAAGTTTGTTATTACCCACCTTCTGAAGCCTGCTTCTGTCAGTTCAGCCATCTCAGCCTTAGCCCAGTTCTGTACCCTTGCTGTAGAGGTGTTGCAGTCATTTGGAGGAGAAGAGGCACGCTGAGTTTTCAGCATTTTTGCATTGATTTTTCCTCATCTTTGTGGGCTTATCTACCTTCAATCTTTGAGGTTGCTAACCTTTGAATGGGGTTTTTGTGGGGACTTTTTTGCTGACGTTGTTGTTATTTTGTTTGTTTTCTTGTAACAGTCAGGCCACTCTACCATAAGATGGCTGCAGTTTGCTGGGGTCCACTCCAGACCCTAGTTGCCTTGGTTTTTCCCATACCTGGAGGTATCTGAGAAACAGCAAAGATGACAGCCACCTCCTTCCTCTGGAAGCTCTGTCCTCGGGGGGTACTGACCTGTTGCCAGCCTGAACACACGTGCAGGAGGTGGCTGTAGACACCTGTTGGGGGATCTCAGCTAGTCAGGAGAAATGGGATCAGGGACCTGCTTAAAGAAGCAGTCCTGGCTGGGCGCAGTGGCTCACGCCTGTAATCCCAGCAGTTTGGGAGGCCGAGGCTGGCGGATCACGAGGTCAGGAGATCGAGACCATCCTGGCTAACACAGTGAAACCTCGCCTCTACTAAAAATACAAAAATTTAGCCAGGTGTGGTGGCGGGTGCCTGTAGTCCCAGCTACTCGGGAGGCTGAGGCAGGAGAATGGTGTGAACCCGGGAGGCGGAGCTTGCAGTGAGCCGAGATCGCGCCACGTCACCTCCAGCCTGGGCGACAGAACAAGACTCCATCTCAAAAAAAAAGAAGCAGTCCTGCTGCTTTTTCATAGAGCAGGTGCGCTGCGTTTTGTTGCGGGGGGGAGGGGGTGGTCCTTCCTCATCCAGACCATTTGTATTCTCCAAAGCTGGCAGGCTGGAATGACTAAGTCAACCAAACTGCAGAGATGGTGGCTGCCCCTCCCCACAGGAGCTCCATCCCAAGGAGAGATCAGAGCTCTATCCATAGAACCCTGGCTGGAGTGGCTGAAGCCCCTGCAGGGAGGACCCACGCAGTGAGGGGAAGCGGATGGGATCACAATTAAAGAAGCACTTTGGCCACGATCTGGCAAGGCAGCTGTGCTGCCTGTGGGGGACCCCTTCTCATCTGGACCATTCGTATTCTCCAAAGTCTGCAGGCTGGAACGGCTGAGTCTACCCAATTGCAGAGATGGCAGCCACCCCTGCCCTGGGAACTCGGACCCTTCTCAGGCAGAGTCCAGCCTGTTGCTGTTGGCTGGCTGGGATTCCAAGCCAGTGGGTCTTAACTTGTGATGTGCCATGGAAGTGAGGACTGCGGAATGATTCTGCTTGGCTCCGTGGAGTCAGCCCTCTTCCCAGGAATCTGGAAGGATGGATTTCCCACCTTGCCAGGGATCCTGGGGCCGGAGTATGTAAAACGCCTGGGTCTCTGTGTGTGGCTGAGTGGCTGCTCTGCTGAAAGTTCCACAAAGCTCTGTGTATCGGGCCCAAGGCACTGGTGGTGGGGCCTCATCAAGGGATCTCCTGATCCACAGTTGCAAAGATCCATGGGAGAAGCATGATTTCCCAGCAGGGTCCACAATCACTCACCACTTCCTTGGCTGGCAGTGGAGGTTCCTTTGGCTCCGTGCCACTGCTGAGTGGGCCATTGACCCTCCTACCACTTCTTTTCATTCTCCATGGGTCGAGTTGTTTGCCTAGTTAGTCCCAATATGAGAACCTGGATATTTCAGTCGAAGGTGCTGAATTCACTCACCCCTTTTCATTCTTCTCTGTAAGCGCCTCAGACCGCAGCTGTTTCTAATCAGCCGTCTTGGATTCACCTGAAGGTTATTTTAAAGTCATCTAGTTTCATGGCTTTAAGAAACACCTGTATTTTGGCTACTCCCAAATTCATATTTCAGCTCAGATCTTTCCCTGGGCCTCCAGATAAGACAGAGCTGCGTGTCCAACATCTCCCTCAGGGTATCCAACAGGCACCCACCCATAACATGGAAACTCAAGTGTCTGTTCTGCTCACACAGATCAGACCCACCCTGTTGTCCCCTGTTTGGGGACTGGAAACCCCAACTTTGCTCTGGCCAGAAATCTCGGGGACATCCTCTATGCCCCTCACCCACAGCCAGGCAGCAAATTCTGTGGCCTCCAACCTCGACGTGCATTGGAGCCTGACGGACCCCTGCATTTCTGACCTGGGTGCTGAAGGAGCCACCCCTCATCTTCAGTCTATTCCAAAGGAGCAGCCACAATTAGCCTTCAAAATTTTAAGTCAAGTACATCATCCTGTGCTCAAAATGGCTTTGGGCTCATTCGGAGTAAAAGCTGAAGTCACTAAAAGAGACTGAGTCACTGTGTGAGCTTGTCTCTTTCCACCCCCAGTCCTGCGTCAGCCTCCGCCTCTGACAGCCACAGGGCTGCCCCTCCCCCTCTTCATGTCTTTACCCAAACATCGCGCAGGGAGGCCTTCTCTGACTCAAAGTGCACCCCCAGGGCCCCCAGTCTCTTTTCTCAGCTCTATTTTTCCCATAAAGGAATCACTCTTGTGTTGTAGAAGTCACTTGTGTGCGATGTTTATCCTTCCCATAAGCTCTGGAAGACAGTTTTGTCTCTTTTGTTCACTGATGATTCCAGGAGGAAGAACAGTGTCTAGCACAAGGCAGGTGCTCCATGAGTATTTGTGGAATGAACTAAACAGTTTAAGTAATTAGAATCCATGAATGGAACCCTTAAGCTATTTGCTAGGATGGGCTGTGGTGAAACACCCTTCATTACCCAAATCCTCAGCACACCTGCTACTCACCAGTGTCGCTGACGGGAGTGAGGGGCAGGGCCTGGTGTCCAGGCCGGGGGTGCTGGATTTTGTTCTGCTCACACAGATCAGACCCACCCTGTTTCCCCCTGTTTGGGGACTGGAAACCCCAACCTTGCCCTGGCCAGAAACCTCAGGGACATCTTCTGTGTACTGGGAGACTCCCAGAAAGTACTGGGAGACTGCTAGGATGTCTTGATCAGGAAAATGACGGGACCAGGTCGGTCGTTTCAGAAAAATCTCACTGGCCACAGCATGGAAGAAGGATGGGGTGGACAAGGCTGAGGCTTGGGCCATTCTTGCCCCTTGGTCTCCACACGCGCCTCTGCCTTGCTTCTGCTGAGACCTGGGCACTGGCAGCCGCCCTGCTGGGCGGATCAAGGCAGCGAAAGCATTTGTTCTCCAAAATGCTGATGGGAGATGGCTTGCCCCAGCCACCTTGGTTGTGAAAGAGGAATTTCAAAAGCAGTTGCCGAGGATCCCACTAGGCTTCAAGAACACGTGGCCTCTCTCAAATTCAAGGCGCCAAAGTGGGGGCAGACTGAAGGGACGTGAGGGAGCCCCACAGGACAGACGGGGGCAAGCGGCCCGGCCACTGGGGCTGCCTCTGCCCAGTCACCTCCCTCCTCCGGCCTTCGTTCTGCTCCTTTCTACCCAAGGTCGGCCACTCCCCTGCCCTATAAAAACCCACCCATGTCCCCGTCAAGGGCAGCAGGCACCCCAGGCTGCTAAGACGTGCACTCTGAGCGCCTTCCCAGCCCAGGGACTGTCCCCAAGGTCCAGCTGCCCAGGGGCCCTGAGCAGCCACTCCCACTTCTTGTCATCACAACCGCTTAAGGACCTGCAGATGAGGGCATCCTATCCCACCCCAGCCCTGGGGGCCATGTTCAGGCCAGGAGAAGCCACCAAACACTGCCACCATCTTCCTGGCTCCAGAGGCTCTGTGCCAACACCAGGCCCCCTTGGGCCCACCTAGCCCACAGACCTTGGAGGCAGGTGCACGAGCAGGTGCATCCATCCCATGGACTCTGATGGGCTGTCAGGAAGGACGCAGGTAGAGCCCAGGTCCTGCCCAGCAGGTGCAGTTCCAAGGCTGCCTCTGGGTGGCGTGCTTGGACCAGTCAGGTGCCCTGTGTTCACCTAACACCGCAGAACCGGCTTCCAGCTGCCAGGGCGATGCAAGCCTGTAGAAGCACAGATGCGGTCATTCCTCAGCCCTACCCAGGCCTTGAGAGTGGAGGGTCAGGGGCCTCTGCACAAAGGCTTTGATCCCCCAAATACACACAGACCCCCACTTTCCTTGTTAGTTTTCTAACACTTCCATAGCAAGCTACCACAGACTAGGTAGCTTCAGCAGCAGAAATGTGTCCTCTGACCATTCTGAAGGCTGAGAGTCTGGGATGAAGACGTTGACGGGTGTGGTCTCCGCAGAAGTCTCTCTCCTTGGTCTGCAGACAGCTGCTCTCTTGCTGCCTCTTCACATGGTCTTCCCTCCACGCGGGCTCACCCAGGGGACTCTGTGTGACCTGGTCTCCTCGTCTTATAGGAATGCCAGCCATGTTGAATTAGAGCCCCACATTCATGCCTCATTTCTACTTAATCACCTCTTTATTTTTAAAATTTATTTATTTATTTATTTTATTTTTTTTGAGACTGAGTCTCATTCTGTTGCCCAGGCTGCAGTGCAGTGGCATGATCTCAGCTCACTGCAACCTCCACCTTCCGGGTTCAAGCGATTCTTCTGCCTCAGCCTCCCGAGTAGCTGGGATTACAGGTGCACGCTATCACGCCCAACTGATTTTTTGTATTTTAGTAGAGACAGGGTTTCACCATGTTGGCTGGTCTTGAACTCCTGAGCTCAGGCAATCCGCCTGCCTCGGCCTCCCAAAGTGCTGGGATTACAGGCGCGAGCCACCGTACCCGGCCTCCCAAAGTGCTGCGATTACAGGTGCGGGCCACCGTACCCGGCCTAAATTACCTCTTTAAAGGTCTTACCTTCAAATAACGATCACGTCATGAGGTACTGGGGGCTGGGATTTCAACATATGAATTTTGTGGGACACAATTTCAATCCATAACACTGACGTAAGGTTCTTGCACTGTATGTGAAGTGGTATAATATGTAAATGTGACAATTCGTAGAGAAAGAAATGTCTTTTCAACCAGTGATGCTGGAACTATTGAATATGCATGTGCAAAAAGAAAAAGAGAGCCTCGATCTATACCCGGACCACATATAAAAATAACTCAAAATGTACTGCAGACGTAAATGTCACACCTAAGACTACACAGTTGCTAGAAGTAAACCTAAGCGAACATTTCTGTGATCTTGAGTGGACAAAGATTTTTTAGCTGTGATTTCAAAAGCATCATCTATAAAAACAATAAACCAGCCTTCATCAGCATTAAAAGCATCTGCTCTTGGGAAGACACTGTTAACAGAATAAAAAGGCAATTCATAGACTGGAAGAAAGTATTTTAAAATCACATATCTGATAAAGGATTTATGTCTGGAATATATAAAGAACAAAATGCATTACAGCACCCCCCACCACACGCTTGTCTGTGGTTCCACTTTGTGTGGTTTCAGTTACCAGCAGTAAACTGTGGTCGGAAAATATTACATGCAACAAGATATTTTGAGAGAGAGAGACAGAGCCCACATTCACGTAACTTTTATTACAGTTTACTGTTATAATTGTTCTATTTTATTATTATTTTTAGTCTCTTATTTTGCCTAGTTTGTACATTAAACTTTATCATAGGTATATATTTATAGGAAAAAATGTAGTATGTATAAAGTTCAGAGTTCAGTACTATCCATGGTTTCAAGCATTCATTGGGGGGTCTTGGAATGTATACCCAGCAGATAAGGAGAAACTGCTGTCATAAGTAAACAAACAATCCAATTTGTTTTGAGGTTTGGGTTTTTTTGTTTAGAGACAGGGTATCATTCTCTTGCCAAGGCTGGAGTGCAGTGACACCACCATAGCCCAGTGAAGCCGTAACATTCCAGGCTCAAGCAATTCACCCACTTCTGCTTCCCAAGTAGCTGGAACTACAGGTGTACACCATCGCACCCAGCTAATTTTTTTTTTTTTTTGCAGAGATGGGGTCTCACTATGTTGCCCAAGCTGGTCTCAAACTCCTGGGTTCAAATGATCCACCCTCCTTGGCCTCCCAAAGTGCTGGGATTACAGGCATGAACCACCATGTGCAGCCACAACCCAATTTTAAATAAGGACATAGATTTTAAAGGATGTGGGCCACTTTGTTTTATTGTGTTCACCTTTTTTTTTTTTTTTTTTTTTTTTTGAGACGGAGTCTCGCTCTGTCGCCCAGGCTGGAGTGCAGTGGCGCTATCTCAGCTCACTGCAAGCTCCGCCTCCCGGGTTCACGCCATTCTTCTGCCTCAGCCTCCCGAGTAGCTGGGACTACAGGCACCCGCCACCACGCCCGCCTAATTTTTTGTACTTTTAGTAGAGACGGGGTTTCACCGTGTTAGCCAGGGTGGTCTCAATCTCCTGACCTCGTGAGCTGCCCGTCTCGGCCTCCCAAAGTGCTGGGATTACAGGTGTGAGCCACCGCACCCGGCCTATTGTGTTCACTTTCCTGCACTTTGCAGATACCGCATGTTTGACTGTTGAAGGTCTGTGGCCGCCCCGCGTTGAGCAAGCCCACCTGTGCCGTGTTTCCAACGGCGTGTGCTCGCTCACATCTCTCAGTCACACGTTAGTAATTTTGCAATGTGTTGAACTTTATTATGATTGTATCTTTTGTGGTGGTCTGTGGTTGGTGATCTTTGGAGTTACTTGGTCATCGTTTTAGGGCTCCATGAACCACGCATATAAGAAAGTGAACTTAATTGATAAGTGCTGTGTGTGTTCTGACTGCTCCATGGACCAGCCATTCCTCCCTCTCTCCCTTTCCTTGGGCCTCGCTATTCCCTGAGAAACAGCAATTTGAAATTAGGCCAACCAATAACCCTACAGTGACCTCTAAGTCCTCAAGTGAATGGTCAATCACAAGCTAGACATGATTAGACTCAGTGAGAAAGGCATGTTGAAAGCCGAGACAGGTGGAAATCTAGGCTCGTGCACCAAGCACTGAGTCAACCTGTGAATGCAAAAAAGAAGTTCTTGAAGGAGATTAAAAGTGCTACCCCGTGGAACACGTGAATAAGGAAGCGAAACAGCCAAATCACTGAGAGGGAGAAAGTTTTAATGGCCTAGATGGAATGATCAAACCACCCACAACATTCCCTTAAGCCAGGGGTCCCCAACCCCCAGGCCACACAGCAGGAGGTGAGTGGCAGGAGAGTCAGATCAGCAGCAGCATTAGATTCTCAGAACCGTGCAAACCCTACTGTGAACTGCGCGTGCGAGGGATCGAGGTTGCGCACTCCTTGTGAGGATCTAACTATCGCCTGATGATCTGAGGTGGAACAGCTTCATCCCAAACCTTCCCCCCGACGCCTAGTCTGTGGAAAAATTGTCTTCCACAAAACCGGCCCTTGGTGCCAAGAAGGCTGGAGCCAAAGCCTTAAGCCAAAGCCTAATCCAGAGCAAGGCCCCGACTCTTAAATCCTGTGGAGGCTGAGAGAGGTGAGGAAGCTGCAGAAGAAAAAGTCTGAAGCAAACAGAGATGGGTTTGTGAGGTTTAAGGAAAGAAATCATCTCCATAACGTGAAAGTTCAAGGGAGGCAGCAGGTACTGATGGAGAAGCTGCAGTAAGTTACCCGGAACATCCAGCTGAGATCATGGATGAAGGTGGCCACGCTACACAGACCTTTTATGTAGACAACATAGTTTTCTGTTGGAAGAAGATGCCATCTGAGACTTTTATAGCTGGAGAGAAGCCAGTGCCTGGCGTCGAAGCTTCATAGGACAGGCTGAGCCTCTTGTGAGGGGCTAATGCAGCTGGTGGCCTCAGATTGAAGCCAGTGTTCATTCACCATTCAGAAAATCCTAGAGCCCTTAAGAATTATACCACATGCACTCTGCCTGCTCTAGAAATGGAGCAACAAGGCCTGGATGGCAGCACATGTGCTCCCGATGGTTTACGGAATCCATTAAGCCCACTATTGAGAGCTACTGCTCGGGAAAAACAAGATTCTTTTCATAATATTACTATGAGTCTGGGCATGATGGTTCACGCTTGTAATCCCAGAACTTTGGGAAACTGAGGCAGGAGGATCACTTGAGCCTAGGAATTTGAGACCAGCCTGAGCAACATAAGGAGACCCTATCTTTATAAAAAATTTTAAAATTAGCCAGGTATGGTAGCTTATGCCTGTGGGCTCAGCTACTCAGGAGGCTGAGGTGGGAGGATCACTTGAGCCAGGGAGGTCAAAGCTGCAGTCAGCCAGGATCACACCACTGCACTCCAGCCTTGGTGACAGTGACACCCTGTCTGAAAATACATACGTATATTCGTTGACAATGCACCTAGTTCCCAGAGCTCTAACAGAGACATACACAGAGTCATGCTGCTTTCGTGGCTGCTAAAACAACATCCATTCTGCAGCCCTTGGATCAAGGAGTTGTGTCGACTTCCAAGTCTTACTATTTAAGAAACACATTTCTGGCCGGGCATGATGGCTTACGCCTGTAATCCTAGCACTTTGGAAGTCCAAGGCGGGTGGATCACCTGAGGTCAGGAGTTCAAGACCAGCCTGACCAACATGGTGTGAAACCCTGTCTCTACTAAAAATACAAAAATTAGCCAAGCATGGTGGCAGGTGCCTGTGATCCCAGCTACTCAAGAGGCTGAGGCAGGAGAATCACTTGAACCCGGAAGGCAGAGGTTTCAGTGAGCACCACTGCACTCCAACCTGGGCGACAGAGCAAGACTTTGTCAAAAAAAAAAAAAAACATTTCTAAGGCTATAGCAACCATAGACAGTGATTCCTATGATGGATCTGGCTAAAGTTCACTGAAAACCTTCTGGAAAGGATTCACCATTCTAGATGACATTAAGAACACTGACAATTCATGGGAGGACATAAAAATATCAACGTGAACAGGATTTGGGAGAAGCTGATCTCAAGCCTCAAGGATGACTTTGAGAACCTGAAGACTTCAGTGGAGGAAGTCACTGCAGATGTGGTGGAAACAGCAAGAGAACTAGAATTAGAAGTGGACCCTGAGGATGGGACTGAATTGCTGCAATCTCATGATAAATTTTTTTTTTTTTTTGAGATCAAGTCTTGCTCTGTCGCCCAGGCTAGAGTGCAGTGGCGCAACCATGGTTCACTGCAACCTCTACCCATAGGTTCAAGTGAGTCTTGTGACTCAGCCACACAAGTAGCTTGGATTACGGGCGCCCACCACTACACCTGGCTAATTTTTGTATTTTTAGTAGAGACGGGGTTTCGCCATGTTTTCCAGGCTGGTCTCAAACTCCTGACCTCAGGTGATCCGCCTGCCTCAGCCTCCCAAAGTGCTGGGATTACAGGCGTGGGCCACTGCACCAGGCCCATTGCTTATTTTTTACTTTAGAACATGTGTTGTCATTTAAACGTAGCCAACAGTAAACCCATGCAGACATCAGAAAGGCTGTTGATCCCCTTGGGTTTGCAGAACAGGGCTCTGAGAGTGGGGGCCACAGGCAGAGTCTTCTAAACCCTCCACAGTCTGGAGTCTGCAAGCGAGTGCTGAGGTCTGGCTTGTTTCTCTGTGAGGCAGACGCTGCTCGGGAGATCCTGCAGGAAGGGTCTTCCCCTCCTGAGGCAGACGCTGCTGAGGGGGGTGAGGCTCCTGCAGGAAGGGCCTTTCCCTCCCGAGTCATGCACAGCTTTTCTTCAGGGTTAAGCATCGCCTCTTTTTTTCCAAAAGAAGAAAAATAAAGCATTGTGGTAAAATACATAAACATAAAATGTACCATCTTAACCATTTTAAGTATTTGGTTAAGAGGTATTAAATATGTTCATGATGGCTGCACATCATGAATATATTTAATATGTAAAAGGTTTAATATGTAAAAGGATGTAAAAGGTTTCATCTCCAGAACCTTTTAGTCTTCCCAAACTGAAACTCGCCACCATTAAACATTCACTTCCCCCTCTCCCGTCCCCACCCCGGCACCCACCATTCCACCTTCTGTCTCTGGGAATGTGACTTGTGACTGCTCCAGGGACCTCTTACGTGGAATTACACAGTACTTGCCCTTTTGTGTAGGCTTATTTTACTCAGCACAGTGTCCTCAAGGTTCATCCGTGCTGTGGTGAGTCTCGGAATCTCCCTCCTTTTTAAGGCTGAATAACATCCCATCGTATGAATGGGCCACATTTTCTCACCCACTCATCCCTTGACAGAGGCTTGGGTCGCTTTCATGTTTTAGCTGTTGTGAATAGTGCTGCTATGAACACGGTGTACAAATGTGTCTTTGAGACCTGTAGGGCGGTTTATGGTACAGAATTGCGTCTGCTTTTCTGCAGCTGTAAACAAAGAGGGAATTTTTTTCACTTCTTACTTTGTCAAGATTTATTTCACCAGAAATTGGGAGAGCTGGCAGGTTTTTTTTCAAAGGGATAGTGTCTTGCTCTGTAGCCCAGGCTGGACATGAACTCCTGGGCTGCAGTGATCCTCCTACCTCAGCTCCTGAGCAGCTGGGACCACAGGCACACACCACACACCCAGCTAACTGGCAGGTTTTAAGGCCAGGTGTAGGAATTCCATTAATTAATTCTAAGAGGGAAAAAAGACCAGAGTGGGAAGTTCAAAACTGACAGAGCATAAAAAAGCCAGAAATATGTTATTGACCCATGGAAGATTGACACATGGAAGATTGACCCATGGAAGATTGACACGTGGTAGATGATTGACACATGGAAGATGATTGACACATGGAAGATTGACACAAGGAAGATGATTGACACATGGAAGACTGACACAAGGAAGATGATTGACACATGGAAGACTGACATGGTAGATGATTGACACATGGAAGATGATTGACACATGGAAGATGATTGACACATGGAAGATGGGATGTGCCCTGTTTTGCAGGTACAGCACACAGGTCCTGGTGAGACCGCTGAGGAGGGAGTGTGGCGCGGAGGAGCCCTGCCCCTTCAGGCTCAGGTGGGGGCGTGAGGGTGGAGCCTGAGGTAGAGTCAGTGAAGAGCAAGAGGAAGGTGCGGAAGGGGGTCAGGGGAACACAGAGCCCCTGAGCTTAGCAGTGAGGGTTGTGGGAGGGCGTCTGAGCACCTTTGTGTCAGGGGGAGGCGACCTACCCAGAGAGAGCTGTTGATGCTGCAAAACCCTCAAAGTGGTGACAGGGTAGTAGTGTAAGCCAGGAGGGATGGGAGACAGGGAGACACGGGATGAAGGTCTCATTGCAAGTGCTGTGCATCAATGTCATCCGTGCAGCTGAAAACCCGGCTCCCTCGCTGATGGAAAAAATTAAAATTAAAGCTTCACTGATCATCCTAATGCCATCTCAATGGACTCCTTCGCCTTCCCCAGATTTTCAGTTACATCATCTAAATAACAACAACTTCATCTCTCCCTCCCTGGAATTTAGGCTCCAGATTCCTGTTTCCTGTCTTCCAAAGTAACATTAGGGACAGTGTTATGGCGGTTGTCTCAGACTGGCATCGCAGGACATCTGTGAAGATGGCACAATCCCTCCCTTCTTTGCCTCGTGCCTCTGCAATGAGACTCTGCTGCTCTGTTATCAAGAGGTGAAGACTTTTCTCTGTCCCTTGAATCCAGGCTGGGCTGTGACTTACCTTGACCCACAGAGAGTGGCAGAGGAGCCAGGAGGGACCACCCCAGGAAAGGCCTCCAGGCTGCTCAGCTTCTGCTCCTGCCTTGCAGAACCTTCCCTGAAGGCTGTGAGGCAGCCAGGTCTAGCCCTCTGGAGTAGCAGCAGCTGCGTGGAGCAGCTGAGGCCTCCTGGACCAACCAGTCAGGGGCGGGCGCCAGCTGCCAGCCTCATGAGAGGCATTGCCACATCCAGCCCAGGACAGCTGCCAGATGGCCAAGCTGCACAGTAACCATAGAGAACTGCCCAGCTGAGCCCAGCCCAAAAGCCTGACCCACAGAATCATGAGCAAAGAAAATTGTTTAACCCACTAAATTTGGGAGCAGTTTGCTATGCAGCAAAAGATAGCTGATACTCCAGGACTGCCTAGAAAACAGCCTGGGGCAAGGGTTAAGCGTGAGTCATTTACTAAGAAAATACAATTCCAGGCAGTAGTGATTCAGGGAAGAATTGGCAGCAAAGCCAGGAACAGCGTTAGTGTCTGACACCTGGCTGTGACAAGCTGCAAAGAGATGCAGCAGGTTGCTCAGCACGAGTGCTCTTGGCCACTTGCAGGGCGGCATTTCACCCCCGTCTGGAAGTGGCAGAAAAGAACAGCCAAGAGGGAGACGGTGCCCTCCCAGCCCCTGTGACAGGTCAGCACCAGGTGGCACCACATGGACCCAGGTGGGCCAGGCAGAGGCGGCTGAGGCAGAGACCAGGAACCTGGGGGACAGTGGCCCTAGGACCATCTAAGGGGAGAGACTACACAAGCAAAACCTGTGCACCGTTGGAAAGTGAGGAAAGCATCACGCCTTCACCTGCACACAGAGGCTGGGTGTGAAGTGTCAGGGGAGCAGGTGCTGGTCTTTCTCAGTCACGCCTTCACCTGCACACAGAGGCTGGGTGTGAAGTGTCGGGGGAGCAGGTGCTGGTCTTTCTCGGTCACGCCTTCACCTGCACACAGAGGCTGGGTGTGAAGTGTTGGGGGAGCAGGTGCTGGTCTTTCTCGGTCACGCCTTCACCTGCACACAGAGGCTGGGTGTGAAGTGTCAGGGGAGCAGGTGCTGGTCTTTCTCAGTCACGCCTTCACCTGCACAGAGGCTGGGTGTGAAGTGTCGGGGGAGCAGGTGCTGGTCTTTCTCTGGAATGCTATTTCCATTCAAGAGCTTTATGCTGGGCTGGGCACAGTGGCTCATGCCTGTAATCCCAGCACTTTGGGAGGCCAAGGCGGGCAGAGCACTTGAGGACAGGAGTTCAAGACCAGCCTGGGCAATATGGTGAAACGAAACCTTGTTTCTACTAAAAATACAAAAATTATCTGAGTGTGATGGCCCACACCTGTAGTCCCAGCTAACACTAATGCATAGTATTAGTTTCTTTATTCCCAAGTGCATCCGTGTTAGATAAGCTGCCGATTTTTTTCTCCAAGAGCCCCTCCCAGGCTGTGTCTTTGCCCTCTGTGGCTGGGGGAAGGCTCCTTCCTGGGTTCTGGGCTCTGTCTTAATCATGCCGGTGCCTCCCTCCAGGGTTAACTCTCTGGGGAAGCCACCTGGGTCCTGCCTCACTCTGATGAGGTGGCATTAAAATGCCAGAGCATAGGAAGCCTGGCTCCGTTGTGGTCTAGCAGCGAGCACTGCAGCTAGAATGAGGCAGATGTAGCTCCTGGGACAAGGTGGCACCGGCAGCCGCCTGGAGAGCAACCGGTTGAGGGAAGGTCCTGGCAGGGGCTGTGGCTCAGGCATTGGGGAGGCGTGGGGTGGAGGGTGGCTGGGCATTGCCAGGTGGTGGATGCCAGTGGAAGAGCAACAGGAAACTGAGGGCATATGCCAACCGTGAGAGCCCAAGGGGCCCCTGAAGAGAGGCACTCGTCTCCTCTGAGGAAGGGCGGCCAGGCCGAGTGGCCAGCGCCAGCCCCAGTTGTGAGTGACAACGCCCCAGAGCGTTTAACTGCTCAGCGAAGGCAGGGCCGGGGTGAAGGGACTCCTGGCTGCATCAGCCACCCTGCCATGGAGAAGCTTCTGGACTGAGAGGTACCGGATGGTCGGTTGCTGGAGGCACAGCTGAAGCCCCCCTTGGAGTCAGCCCTGTGTGATGGGGGCCAGGAACCCGGGGGACAGTGCACCACCTTCCAGGTACACGAAACCCAGGGCACCGTGTGACATCTGACGCCACCAGGAAGACCAGCAGGAGCCTGGAACCAAGAGGCAGAAGTGGGGGTGCTCTCTACTCCCCTTCCCGCCAGTGACCCTTGGGGCCTGGTGCTTCCTGACCCTGAAATACTGGCTGGCAAGGCTGGGGGTCCTCATCTCCTAAGGGGGCACGCTGTTAACAGGGGCCACAACTCAGGTCCTTGCTGCCGGGAACTGGGACTCTGGTGTCCAGGGTTGAGGCGGGAGAGGAGTGGCTGTCTTGGTGGAGAAGCTGGCTCCGAGCAGCGGAGGATGTGGGGCAGCTGCACACAGGCAGGAAGGGACCTCGTGGGGCCAGGCCAACCTCAGGGTGCCCTTGCCCTGCATCACTGTGCTTGGGCAGGTGCAGCCACCCCCAACCCAGTAAGAGTGTGATCATTAGGGGTTCAGTCTCCTCACATAGCCAGGGAAGCCCGCAAGACCTACAGAAGTGATAGTCAAGGGAGAGGAGGTGAAAAGCGAGGATGGAGGAAGAAGGGAGCCCCTGTCACAGCCCAGTGAGAAGCGATGATGGAGGCCAGCTGCAGGGCTGGAGGCTGTGGTGTGCCCCACTAACTGTGCAAAGTCTTCTCTCGGGGACAGGCCCCAGAAACCATGAGGAGCTCCTCCCCCAACATGGGTGGAGAAGTCGGACTGTGTGGCCCGAGGCATGGACTGGCCACCATGGTGCCTGCTCAGACCTCCCCTCTAGAGACCCACACTGAGGAGTGGGGCCACGGCCTCCAGGCATCCCCACCACTCGCTCAGCAGAATTGGAGTTGTCTCGTTCTGCTCAGGCTGCCCTAACAAAATACCACACCAACCCGGTCTCTGAAACAGCAGACACTTCTCATAGTTCTGGAGGCTGGGAGTCCAAAATCAGGGTGCCAGCACAGTCAGGTTCTGGTGAGGGCTCTCTTCCTGGCTTGCAGACAGCCACCTTCTCGCTGTATCCTCACGTGGCCTTTCTGTGATACATGTGTGGTGGAGAATCTCATCCTCTTTTTAGAAAGCCACCAGTGGTGTTGAATTAGGACCCCACCCTTGTGATCTCATTGCACCTCAATTACCTCCTAAAAGCCTTTTCTGCAAACAGTCACATTTGAGGTCAAGGCACAATAAATAAACTTTTGGGGAGACAATTCAGTCATATCTGACTGAGCGTGTTAAAGTCTCCAACCATGATCATGGATTCATAGCTTTCTCCTTGCAGTTTTTGCCTCACACGGTTTGATTCATATCCCTTAAGGATTGTTATGTCTTCTTGAACAACTCGACCCCTTTATCATTATGAAATGCTTTCTCTTCATCCCTGGTAGCTTTCTTTGCTCTGAAGTCTGCCTTGTCTGAAATTAAAATAGCTACTCCTGCTTTCTTTCCATCAGTGTAAACACAGTGTCTCTTTTTCTACTCATTTACTTTTAGTCTATATGTATCTAACTGTAAAGTGTGTTTCTTGTAGACAATATATAGTTGGGTATCATTTTTTATCCACTCTGATTTTAAAATCTCTGTTTTTTTTGTTTTGTTTTGTTTTGTTTTTCAGAGTCTCACTCTGTTGCCAGGCCGAAGTGCAGTGGTGCCATCTCGGCTCACTGCAACCTCCGCCTCCTGGGTTCAAACGATTCTCCTCCTGGGTTCAAAATGTCTTCTGCCTCAGCCCCCCGAGTAGCTGGGACTACATGTGCATGCCACCATGTTTTTTTTTTTAAGTAGAGACGAGGTTTCACCATGTTGTCCAGGATGGTCTTGATCTCTTGACCTTGTGGTCTGCCTGCCTCAGCCTCCCAAAGTGCTGGGATTACAGGTGTGAGCCACCTCGCCCTGCCAAAAATCCCTGTTTTTTTAATTGTTGTATTTAGACCATTGATGTTCAAAGTAATTATTCATATAATGGGATTAACATCTGCCATTTTGTTACCACTTTCTATTTTTTTGCCCTTGTTCTTTTTTCCTGTTTTTTTTTCCCACTCTTTTTCTGCCTTTTATGATTCTAATTGAGCATCTTATATGCTCAGTTCCATTTCTCTCCTTTCTTAGAATATGTTAGTGATTGCACTAGAATTTGCAATATCATCCCCAATTAATCCAAGTCTACTTTCAAACACTCCACTGCTTCACAGGTAACATGAGTTCCTTACAGCAACAACATAATCTTAGCTCCTTCTTCGTGTCCTTTGCATGATTTATGCCATTTGTTTCCATCATGTCTAAGCATATGTAAGCATATATGTACATAAGACACACACAAGATACATAAGGAGCCATATATAATTAAATACATTGTTGTTATTATTTAGAGCTGTTATCTGTTAGATCAGCTAAGAATAAGAATATTAAAAATTTTATTTTACCTCACTGTTCCTTCTTTGGTGTTCCTCCTTTCTTTACGTGGATTTGAGTTTCTGATCTATATTGCTTTCCTCTCTTTAAAAAGCTTCAAGATTTTTGCAAGGCAAGTCTACTGACGACAAATTCCCTCAATTTTTGTTTTCCTGAAAAAGTCTTTATTTCTCCTTCACTTTTGAAGGATAATTTCATGGGGTGCACAATTTTAGCTTGGTGGGTTTTTTTCTCTCAACACTTTAAATATCTCACTCCGCTCTCTTCCTGCTGTGTGGTGCTGTGGTTCAGATGTCCCCTCCAAAAGTCCTGTTGAAATTTAATTGCCATTGAGACAATACTGAGAGATGGGACCCTTGAGAGGCGATTAGCTCCTGAGGGCTTCACCCTCGTGAGCAGATTAGTGCCATTAACTCAGGAGTGTGTGCGTTGTCTTGGGAGTGGGCTCCTGATAAAAGGATGAGTTCAGGCTGATTTTTTCTCTGTCTCCCCTGCTTGCGTCCCTGCTCTGCCCCTCACCATAGACTGACCCTGGCCAGATGCCAGCACCAAGCTCCTGGACTTCCCATCTCCCAGAACTGTGAGCCAAATAAACTTCCTGATAATTTACCCCATCTGTGGCATTCTGTTACAGTGGTAGAAAATGGACTCAGACACATGGTTCCTGAGAGAAGGTGGATGTCATTCTTATCTTGGTTCCGCTACAGGCAAGGTGTTGGTGTTGGGAGGTTTTTTCTGGCTTCTTTCAAAATTTGTTCATGTTTGATTTTACATAGTTTAAATATGAGATGCCTAGGTGTCATTTTGTTTACTTGTTTGTTTTCTTTGGGGGCAGTGTTTTTTGTTTTGTTTTGTTTTGTTTTGGCATTTATCCTGCTTGGTGTTCTCTGAGCTTCCTGGATCTGTGGTTTGGTGTCTGACATTAATTTGGAGGATCCCTCAGTCATTATTGTTTCAGTTTTTTTGTTGTCCCTTTCTTCCTTCCTTCCTTCCTTTCTTCTGCTTCTGGTATTATTTGTGTTACACCTTTTATGGGTGTCCTACAGCTTTTGTATATTCTGTTCTTTTATTTTTTTTTTTTTTTTTAGTGATTGTTCTCTTTGCCTTTCACTTTTGGAAATTTCTATTGAGCTATCCTCAAGCTCAGAGGCTTTTTCCTCAGCTGTGTCCAGTCTCCTAATGAGCCTATCAAAGGCAGTCTTCATTTCTGTTGCCGTGTTTTCTATCTTTATGTTTCTTTTTGGTTCCTTCCTAGACTTTCCATCTGTCTGCTTACATTGTCCATCTGTTCCTGTGTGCTGTCTACTTTACCCACTAGAGCTCTTGGCATCTTAATCATTGCTGTTTTAAATTCCTGGTCTGATAATTCCAACATAACTGCCTTGTCTGGTTTTAATGGTTGTTTTGGCTCCTCAAATTCTGGTATGGGTTTTTTTTTTTTTTTTTTTTTTTTTTTTTTTTTGCCTTTTAGTATGTCTTGTAATATTTTCTTGATAGCCAGACATGATGTACAGAGTATAAAGACCTGCCGTAAAGATGCCTTTAGTGATGTGGTTGTAAGATGTGGGGGGAGGGGAAGCATTCTAGAACCTTCTAACCAGGCCTCAGTCTTTAGTGAAACTGTGCATTGGGCTGTGAGCTTCACAAGGGTTTCTCAGCCGCCCACCCCTCACTTTCTTAGATGAGACAGGATGGCTCGAGGGGGCGGAAGTTGGATATTTCTCTTCCCCTGGCAGGTTATAGTCTAGCTGAACAGTTTCTCCTGAGGGCAGCTCTTGTTAAGGACAGAATGTTCTGGTGTGTTTCAAAATGATTCCATTTTCCATCCTCCTACCTGCAGAATGAGATTTTTCTGATATTCACTGTGAGAATGTGGTAGAACTCCTGGGGTAAAACTCACATACGTGCGGTGTCCACCATGACTGGGTCCCCCTGCCGTGGTGTCCCCCATGACTGGGTCCCCCCGCCATGATGTCCGCCACGACTGGGTCCCCCCGTGGTGTCCCCCATGACTGGGTGCCCCCGTGGTGTCCCCATGACTGGGTCCCCCCGTGGTGTCCCCCAGGACTGGGTCCCCCCATGGTGTCCCCCATGACTGGATCCCCCCGTGGTGTCTGCCATGACTGGGTCCCCGGAGGAGTTTGGAGTTGCCCACACTGAGCCTCCAGGGATCTATCAGCTACAGTTCGGGTTTCCCCGCCCTGGAACAGGCTCCTGAGGTGGTTTCCACGGATGCGTCTCTGCTCCGGCAAACCATGGCCCCGTCATTGACAGGCCAGCGCCCGTCAGCCCCTCAAGTCTTGGGTGTACCAGGTACCTACGTCTTCACCGCTGTTTTGGGTGTGGGAAGAATTGTTGATTTTCAGTCTGCTCAGCTGACTTGTTGTTAGGGTGGAGCAGCGGCTCCTGAGCTCCTCACATGAGGTACCAGAGGCTGGAAGTCCAGTTTGGGCAATGGCAGGTGTAGACTCAGAATGTTCCACGCGCAGGGGCTCCCCCGAAAGGCGTTCTTTCCCCAGGGCTCCTCCGAGCCTGGCTAGTACGGTCTCGAACTGCAGTCTGAGGCTGGTCCTGCCCAGCCACCTACCTTCCCTCTCCTTCCACAGGTGCCACAACCACACCCCCACCTGGGGTTCCCCACCTGCCCCTCCTTCATCTCCCTTCTACCCCTCGCAGGGAGCCCCCATCCCATAAATCCACTTCCTATTCTGCCTTGGCATCTGCAGGACAAGTCCCAGGTGGCCTTGGAATGAACAAGCCCCTCCCTTCTCACGCGTACTTCTCGAGAATACCTGAAGAATGTGCCAGGAATGCAACCACCTGGTCTAGGGAAGGACCGGCCGGACAGCCCTGGCTCTGCTCCTGTGCCTCCTAGGGCAGGATGTCCCACACACTGTAGCCCTATGAGTCACCCCTGGCTATGGAACCCAGAGCAGAGTGCACCTTTGGGATCTCTCAGCTGTGGTGTGAAGCGGGACACACATAGACAAGGCTCCATTCGTTCTGGGCAGCTTTCCCGAGCCTCGGGGACCCGCTCACCATGGATCCTAAGCTTCTGCTGTTCCCTGCTGCCTGCCTGTGAGTAATAAAGTTGCTTTCATAACTGGTTGTGTGTGTGTTCTGTCTCCCTGGACTCTTGCACGTGGGTTGATGCTGGTTCATGGTATTGGGAGTTCTCTAGAGTCCTCCCCTGAGGCTGAGTCCAGGGCATGCTGGAGTCCAGGGCGTCAGTCAGGTGTCCAGGTTGAGTCCAGGGCATGCTGTCTTAGTCCAGCTGTGTTGCTGTAAAGCATCACCTGGGGCTGGCTCATTTGTAAAGAAAGAGGTTTCTCTGGCTTACGGTTCTGAAGGCTGTACAGGAAGTCTGGCACCAGGGTCTGCTTCTGGTGACAGCTTCAGGAGCTTCCACTCGTGGGGGAGGTGAAGGGGACCCATCATGCCAGGGTGGGAGAAGAGGGGGGTGGGGGCCAGGCTCTAACAACCTGAGCTCACAGGAGGTGAGAGGGAGAACTCAGCCCCACAAGAGGGGTACCAGCTGTTCGTGAGGGATCCACCTCAATGACCCAATCACCTGCCACCAGGCCCCACGTCCAACATCAGGGATCACATTTCAACATGAGGCTTGGAGGGGACCAACGTCCAAACAAATCAACAGTGAACCTGCTTCCCAGTGTCTGCTTCCTGGGGAGTGCCAACTGACACCAGCCCCAGGGTCTGAATCTCTTGGTCCTCTGGAGCTGTGGGGTGAATCAGTGCTTCTCACGGGGGAGCTTCCTGTGGCTTTTTTTTTTTTTTTTTTTGAGACAGAGTCTCACTCTGTTGCCCAGGCTGGAGTGCAGTGGTGTGATCTCAGCTCACTGCAACCTCCGCTTCCCGGTTCAAGCAACTCTTGTGCCTGAGCCATCGAAGTAGCTGGGATTACAGGCACCCACCACCACACCCAACCAATTGTTGTATTTTTAATAGAGACGGGATTTCACCACATTGGCCAGGATGGTCTCGAACTCCTGTCCTCAGGTGATCCACCCACCTCGGCCTCCCAAAGTGCTGGGATTACAGGTACCCACCACCACACCCAACCAGTTTTTGTATTTTTAGTAGAGACAGGATTTCACCATGTTGGCCAGGATGATCTCGAACTCTTGACCTCAGGTGATCCACCCACCTTGGCTTCCCAAAGTGCTGGGATTACAGGCACGCACCACCACACCCAACCAATTTCTGTGTTTTTAGTAGAGACGGGGTTTTACCATGTTGGCCAGGCTGGTCTCGATCTCCTGACCTCAGGTGATCCGCCCGCCTCAGCCTCCCAAAGTGCTGGGATTACAGGCGCGCACCACCACACCCAACCAATTTCTGTATTTTTAGTAGAGATGGGGTTTCACCATGTTGGCCAGGCTGGCCTGTGGCCTTTTTGGTGGGCCTCCCCTGGCCTTTTAAATCAGGCAGCCATAGCTCTCATCTGCTGGTAATCCTCTTCTGTTCAACTGTTTCTTTATAATTTCATTCCTTTCTACCAGTTCAGTGATTGTTTCTCCAGAGAGTTGCCATTCTTTTTTTTTTTTTTTTTTTCTTTGGGGGGACGGAGTCTTGCTCTGTTGCCCAGGCTGGAGTGCAGTGGCACGATCCCAGCTCACTGCAAGCTCTGCCTCCTGGGTTCACACCATTCTCCTGCCCCAGCCTCCCGAGCAGCCAGGACTACAGGCACCTGCCACCATGCCCGGCTAATTTTTTCTATTTTTTAGTAGAGACGGGGTTTCACTGTGTTAACCAGGATGGTCTCAATCTCCGAACCTCAGGATCCGCCCGCCTTGGCCTCCCAAAGCGCTGGGATTACAGGCGTGAGCCACCGCACCCAGCCCAGAGAGTTGCCATTCTAACATTCATACCCATGACATCTACATTTTAAATATTTTATTGATGATCACTATGGGATAATAAAGGAGAAAATAATTTTTAAAAAGACTCTGCAAAATTACATTAGTTCTCCTAATCATGAGATGCTTGCTTCAGAGTTTCAGGATCCACCCAACATGGGAAGTCAAAGCCTCTCTGGGATACTACGGGGCTAAGGTGCACAGTCGCTCAGGTTGTGCACAACACAAGGGCACCCCATTCACATGAAAACATCTTCATTATTTTGAAAATCTGCAGAGCACTGTGTAGACACATTAGGGATTACCTTACATGAGGCTATACTAATTTATGATAGCAATTATTTATGTGTTGTTATGGAAAACTGGGAGACAAAAATGAATTACTGTTTTGAGATCTTACGAAGCTTGGAAGACAGATTGGCCCTGGGGAGGCAGCGGTGGCCGCAGTTTGCAGGGAAGATTGCTGCCGAGGAGGAATCTGTGCACACGACAGGCTCCAACGATCTGCACAGGGCCACATGGGGCTTTGGCTGAGGACTAAGCTTCGCACGCACTGCACAAAACCCCAAGAGCTGAGCAAAAGTGGCCACCTGGGAGCCCCCTGAAAGCTGCACCAGGACAAGGCCCGTCTGACCAGGTCAAGTGCAGAGCCCCGAGGAACCTGGGTTGGTGATGGAGACCTCAGAAAGTCCCGGCCACTAGAAAAGAAGCATTTACATGATTGAAAAAAACGTTTGCAGAAAAGAGGTGAAATGACAGAACGAGGGAAAGACTCAGCAGAATGTAGCCCAGAGACATCGCGATGGAGACATGAGCTCACTTTCTGTCTCCTCATCAACCAAGAACCCCATAAACAAGGGCAGAATGCTCCCTGCGTCCAGCACTGAGACCGAGACCCAAGATGCACCAAGAGATTGAGAAACTGAGATCCACAGATGCACAAAGACCCACAGACGCACAAAGACCCTCAGACACACAAAGCAAAACGCGTTCTGATGCCCCGTGTCAGACGCGTCCTGAAGGATGAGCGATGGTTTCTGCCCGCTGAGAAGTATCCATCTGGAGCTGAGATTTAAGCCCCTCCACTCAACGGCAGCAGGAGTCTCTCCCCACGCTGGTGTGACCCACATGCAGGGCACCCACACATGTGAGGGGCGCCCGCTGCGAGGAGGTGGTGCCTGCGCCCCCTCCAAGCTGCACCTCAACCTGTCCCACCCTAAAGTGAGACGGACTGGATCCCCCACCGGCCAGGGCTGCTTCGCATCACACCGGTTCCCCCTGCTCTCTGTGCCATCGTCCCCTCCATGTGGCTTCCCAAACCACGGACACCTGGCATCTCCATCAGCCTTGGCCCTGGGCACAGTGAGTGTTTTCCATGCATTTGTGGGATTTTTAAAATAAACTTCTGTTGCCCTCGTTAGATTATAGGCCTTGTGAGAACAGGGACCAAGTCTTTTATGGATGAGGGGCGGGTGTCCGGAGTTTCAACATGGCACTTCCAGGGCTACAAGGAGGTGAATGGATGAAGAGCTCCTGTTGAGTGGAGACAGAGGAGCCCTGAGGCCTCTTTATGAAAAAGCAAAAATAAGCACCATGGAGCAGGTGGTGGTCGTGCCACTGGTGGGAGTGGGATCATCCTGCTAGGCACCAACCATCCCCAACCAACAGAGGAACACAGGCTCTGCCTCCTGCTCCGCATCTCCTCATTACACACAGAAACGTCCTCGGCTCGAGGACAAAAGCCCATCTGTATTCTGATCTGAGCAGGACTGGGTGCCGCCCTCACATCTGGAGGGAGCCTGAGACTACCCGACAGGAGCCACAGGTACCACACGGTGAGGACCCCCTTCCAGACACCCCCCTGCCCAGCTCCTGTGGACCCTCCCCCAACCTTTGCCAGGGGGGACCGTGGTCCTCTGTGGCGTGTCGTCTGCACCCGTCTTCATCGGGGGCACTAGCACCTGCCACACACTCAACAGCATCACTTCCCACTGGAAAAACAATGCCACAAGATTCTTCTTGGCGAGAACAAACCAGAAAATGGGACCTGAAGAAGCCGAGAGCCTCGCCTGTGGTCAGACAGCAGCTGAGCATGGGCAGAGGACAGAGCCCAGGCCGAGGGCCGCGGCCGCCCCCACCCACAAAGACCCCTGTCCTGTCCTGGGTGGAATTCCCACACCAGCTCAGGAGGAGCCCCACCTCCTCACCCTTCCTTGTCCTCATTCCAGGGAAATGGTCTGGAAGAGCACCAGCTCCCCACGGAGCTGACTGTTTCTCTGCTTGCAAATTTCATGAGATTTCTGATTCTGAGCTCGAATCTTCTCTCCACTTTCACCTCTTGCCATTCCTCATGACCGGTCCATTTCAACATCAGGGCCAATTGTTCCTTGTACAATTGCATCTTTTCCACAGTTTAGTACAAGAAACTAGGATTCTCTTCATGTAAAAGCTATTTGATGACAAACACCTTGTTCTAAGTGACTGCCAGGAAGTGCTTGCTAATTTTAAATTCTACATTATGATGAGGCAAAGTTAGTAGGAGCCAAGGGACAGAGCACTCCCATATCTCCTCAGACACTCGCCAGGTGCATCTGTGGAGAAGCCGCCCAGTGAGTCCTTGCATCTCACAGGTGCTTCTCACAGGTGCGTCTCACAGGTGCACCTCACAGGTGCATCTCACATGTGCATCTCACAGGTGCATCTCACAGGTGCGTCTCACAGCTATGTCTCACAGGTGTGCCTCATAGGTGCGTCTCACGTGTGTCTCACGTGTGTCTCACAGGTGCGTCTCAGGTGCGTCTCACGTGTGTCTCACAGGTGCATCTCACAGGTGCATGTCACAGGTGTGTCTCACAGGTGCATGTCACAGGTGCGTCTCACATGTGTGTCTCACAGGTGCATCTCACGTGTTTCTCACAGGTGCGTCTCAGGTGCATGTCACAGGTGTGTCTCACAGGTGCATGTCACAGGTGCGTCTCACATGTGTGTCTCACAGGTGCGTCTCACGTGTGTCTCACAGGTGCGTCTCACAGGTGTGTCTCAGGTGCATGTCACAGGTGAGCCTCACAGGTGCGTCTCACAGGTGCGTCTCACAGGTGTGTCTCACAGGTGTGTCTCACAGGTGCATCTCACAGGTGCATGTCACAGGTGCATCTCACAGGTAAGCCTTACAGGTGCGTCTCACAGCTGTGTCTCACAGGTGTGTCTCACAGGTGTGCCTCACAGGTGTGTCTTTTTGACTGTGTCAAGTCCAACCCAATCAGGGTCCCCCAGCATCATCAGTAGGTATGTAGGGAAGTGAGATGGGGAAAAGATAGAACCAATAGTGTGCCATGGAGCAGTTACCTCTGGGCCCCTGCAGGTAAGGGAGCTGCGGTGTTCACACACAACTCCCATGGTCATGGCTCAGGGTTCCCCAGAGGCTGTGGACTCCTTGCCGCCCTGAACCTACTCACCTACAATCACGACGGGCTCCTGGGGCAGGACAAAGCCACAGGTGAGGAACGCGGTGCTGCGGGTGGAAGCTGCTGTCACAGTCGTGTTAGGGTGAGTGGACTATGGCCGCAGACTGTGGGCTCCTCCCAGCCAACCCTCACTCCCGCTAGCGCCCCAAATCTTCAGTCCAGCACCCCTTCCCCGTCCCACCCACTCTCCACACTGAGCCCTCCCAGCCAACCCTCACTCCCGCTAGCACCACAAATCCTCAGCCCAGCACCCCTTCCCTGTCCCACCTGCTCTCCACACTGAGCCCAGCCACTCCACGCTCCCTTGGGCAGGTGGCAAGGCAGAGCCTGAGGTCAGCTGCCACCCCCAGCCCCACCCCAGGGCCCTCATGCCCCCAGCAAGGCCTCTCCAGCTCTGCGGTCCCACTCAAGATGCGCTTAGCTCATTTCACACGCAGGTGAGTGTCTCAGTTCTGCGGGCACGGAGGCCCCTGTGGGAGGGAGGTTGGCAGGCCCCTCGCTGACGGAGGGGAGCAAGGGGCAAAGTGGGGGTGTCCAGAAGGGGGTTGTGAGGAACTGGGGGACGGGAAAGAGCCCGGAGAGGAAAAAGGAGGTGGGGAGGGGCTGCGTGTGCATAGACCTCAGGGTGGGGCAACCGAGGACCTGAAGGCTGGTTTCCGGCCGCCATCCTCACATCCAGGCGCAATGTGAGCTCATCCCTGGGAGTTGGGAAATGCAACCGGCAGGCTCTGGAGGCTGTTCTGGGACTGAATGCAAAGCAGGCGACCCTCCCCCCGGCCCCAAACCCAAGCACTGCAGCGGCCCCACAACCCCTCCCCCCACCCACATCCCCACTCCCCCGTCCCCAGTGAGAATTCACTATTTTTAGGAAAAAGGGGAAGCCTCTCAGCAGATCCTTGAAAGGAAGTGACTTTGTGACTAAGTGGAGGCAGGAACATCATGGCACAAGGGCACACGTCGCACACCCAGCTGGGCCCACTGTGGACGGCGCAGATGCTGCCTCAGAGCAGCCTCCGAGACAGGCAGCTGCAGCGGTGCAGCCCAGGGCCCTCGCAGAAGCTTCCCCGGGGCCTGGCCTCGTGCTGAGAGAACTCTGCGCTCCTGAGGGCACCTGGCTGTCATGCACACGTGCTCACACGAACACACACACCTACACGTGCGCACACTCACACTCCGTGCACACACGTATGTGCACACTCATGCACGCGTGCACACACGTCTACCAGCTGAGTGCAGTAAAAGAACCACATGAAAACCTTGCATCCTGGTTAAAAGTATGGTGACAACATGGACAGATAAACTGGAAAAGATGGGAAGAAACCTTAAGCCCAGGATCTGGCAGCACAAAGGTGCCTGGAAAGCGACAATCAGCGTTTTTATATTCAGGGAAATCAGGAACACTGCCACCCGCCCGCCAGGCCGGCGCCCATGCCAGACCCAGCCAAGGTGCTTCTGGCCACATCACCCCTGCTGGCCTGCAGGGAGCTGGCCCAGGAGCCGAGAGGCCTATGGGAGCAGGCAAGGCTTGCTGAGGTGACAGCGGAGAGGAGAGGTCGGGCTTTGTTGCCAGGCAGCCCCCCAACATTCAGGTCCTTTTTCCACTGAAAGCCATGTGGCCTCAGAGCGGCGTCACCCCGAAGCTTGTCCCAGCCGGGGCCTGACAGCAGGTAAAGGCTGACTAGCAACTCTGCATCCCTCAGAGTGTGGGGGAAGGTGGATGTGGTCCCACCTCCACATCCAGGGTCCCCTTGCTGGCCTCTGGGCATTTGGGTCCTGGTGTGATTACCCAGCCCCCTCTCCCTGCACAGGGGTGAACTGCATCTCCTGGAGGCAGGGCCAGTGCCCCACCACCTCCCCAGCACACCCGAGCCCAGGTCTGGGCTCCCAGGAGGGCCTGGGGCCACCTGTGGGACCAACCCAAACCCTCAGGCAGCTCCACCAGCAGAAAGCGTCATGCTGTGTGTGGGATAACCTCCTCAGGGGATTAGTTCTCAGGGCCTGGTCCGCTAGAAGCCAAATGCCTGTGCCCAGCCACCCGTGACGCCTGCAACAGGCAGGAGATCCCCCAACAGTTACTCCCAGCCTTCATTCCACAGGGTCTGGTTTTCCTGGAAGGTGGGAAGTCCCAGGGTCTGAGGAGAGGGAGCGCAGGCCCCCATTTGTAGGAGTGAGTCAGCTGACCCGCCCCCGGGGTTCCTAATCTCACTAAGAAAGACTTTGCTGATGACAGGGTTTCCTGGGAGTCCATGCGTGCCTGGAGCAGCAGCGTCTCCAGGGACAGGCAGCCACCATGAGCCTCAGTGAGGAGCAGGCCCGGAGCTTTCTGGACCAGAACCCCGATTTTGCCCGCCAGTACTTTGGGAAGAAACTGAGCCCTGAGAATGTGGCCGCGGCCTGCGAGGACGGGTGCCCGCCGGACTGCGACAGCCTCCGGGACCTCTGCCAGGTGGAGGAGAGCACGGCGCTGCTGGAGCTGGTGCAGGATATGCAGGAGAGCATCAACATGGAGCGCGTGGTCTTCAAGGTCCTGCGGCGCCTCTGCACCCTCCTGCAGGCCGACCGCTGCAGCCTCTTCATGTACCGCCAGCGCAACGGCGTGGCCGAGCTGGCCACCAGGCTTTTCAGCGTGCAGCCGGACAGCGTCCTGGAGGACTGCCTGGTGCCCCCCGACTCCGAGATCGTCTTCCCACTGGACATCGGGGTCGTGGGCCACGTGGCTCAGACCAAAAAGATGGTGAACGTCGAGGACGTGGCCGAGGTGGGTCTGTGCGGAGCCTCAGGGAGGCGGCTGTGTGCATCTCTTGCACCTGTCCCAGGTGTCTAAGGGTCAGCTCGGATCCTCAGGCCTCCAGGGAGGCCTCTTGTCAGGGCACAGGCTAGTTCTGTGCTGAGGAGCAAGTACCTAGAGCCCCCTCCCGGCACTGTGCCCTGGCCGCCTGCCTCTCCGACTCGGCTTCTGGCTCAAGCTGACATCGCATGGCCACTGAGTTGGTTAGACCTGAGTCTAGGAGCCTCGGCTGAAGCAGACTCAGGCTCAAACCGGGGTGCCCCTGATTCTGCATCCACATCCCATGGTGGGGACCATGTAGTCCCTGTGAGGACCCCTGGCTTCCAGGAAGACTGACCAGATGGGGGCTTCAGGGCTCTCTGGGCTGGGAGGGAGGCCCTGCCTTGGGATTTGGGAAGAAGAGGTCACAGTCGAAGGTGGTGCAGACGCCCACAGGGAGGGAGAGCCAGGGGAACCCCAAACTTCCACTGTGGCAGAAGCAGCTTTATCCCATGGGAGCCCACGCCAGCCGCCAGGGGAGAACAAACCTGGTAGCCACTGAGCACAGGGGTCCAGGGTGGGACTGGGGAGGGACAAGAGACAGAATCGAGACAGGCTCACTGGAGTCACTGAAGGAGGGAAGGGCAGGGCCTGTTCATGCAAAGCCTGGGCTAGGGCAGACGCTTCCCGAGGACAGAGGCGGTCCTGGCGGGACTGGAGAACAAGAGGGGTGTGAGGTGCCTGCCAGACTGGGTGAGGGCAGCGGCCAGCAGAGACCTGGAAAGGCCCTGAGGAGCTGCCCGGCAAGGGGGCTCTGAGGAAGAAGGGGAGGGGGGAAGCCCCTTCTCCCTGTCCTGCACCCGTCCCAGCTTCCTCTCCCCTTTTCTGTCCCCACAGCTAAGGAGGCTGCAAGAGGCCCAGGCAGCCTCCGCTCTTGCTGGATGAGCCTTGGGAATTACCCACCAGGCTGCCAGCCCAGGGGCAGGTGTGGTCCCTCCTTCCCAGGCAGCTGGGGAGTGGCAATCCTGGTTTGTTT
Organism: Homo sapiens; assembly: GCF_000001405.40. Classification (NCBI taxonomy): domain Eukaryota; kingdom Metazoa; phylum Chordata; class Mammalia; order Primates; family Hominidae; genus Homo; species Homo sapiens. The sequence continues at coordinate 627,140 of NC_000004.12, forward strand.
TCGTTTGTGGGTTTTTTTTTTTTTTGAGACAGAGTCTTGCTCTGTCACCAGGCTGGAGTACAGTGGCATGATGTCAGCTCACTGCAACCTCCGTCTCCCACGTTCAAGCGATTCTCCTGCCTTGGCCTCCTGAGTAGCTAGGACTAGAGGTGCCCGCCACCACACCCGGCTAATTTTTGTATTTTTAATAGAGACAGAGTTTCGTCATGTTGGTCAGGCTGTTCTCGAACTCCTGACCTCAGGTGATCAACCTGCCTCAGATTTCCAAAGTGCTGGGATAACAGGCGTGAGCCACCGCACCAGGCCGGAAGTGGCAATCCTCTTATCCCAATGGCAGTAAGCAAGCAGCAAGGCAGTGACCTAGATTCAGTAATCCCCGGGTTACCTTCATCTCCACCTCCCTCCTAAGAAGTGGGGCACCCACAAATCAATCGTGCATCAGGAGCATGAGTTACCAGGAAGCCAGGAAACTTCACAGCAGTGGGGCCTGGGGTGGACACCAGCTGCTCCTCCCTCCCCCCGTTCCCTCCTCCCTCCTCCCCTCACTCTCCTGCCACCCTCCTCCCTCCTTTTCTGCCATCCTCCCCGTCTCCCTTCCTTCCTCCTGCACACAATCCCCAAGACAACTTCTCATCCCCACCCTGTCCCAAATCTGGGCTGTGTCTTTCTTGCCCCCAGGAGTTTGTCCCCCGCTGCCACCACCCCTTCACCCCTTTGTCCCCACCCGGCTGATGGTGTCTCTTCCCTGCTCTGCGGGTCCCCCTCAAACTGCTGGGCTGTCCTAGGTCCGTCCCTCGGCCTGGCCTGTTCCCCAGGGCTGTTCTAGGTCCTGCCACCCCCACCCCCAGTGCCATGGCCGCACCTGCCCCAGGACTGACCTCCGAGGCCTCTCCCCTGCCCAGTGTAGCTGGTGCCATTCCAAGGGGCTGGGCATGGTGTCTGTCCCTCCATTCTGTGGAGTCTTAGTTATCTCAGACTAAGGGAACAGAAACTTGAGTCTGAATTGCCACCAAAAAAAGCAAATCTTCATGAAGTGCAAATCCTCATGAAGTGCAAAGCCTCATGAAGTGCATCTCAGCACCCTAAGCACTGCCAAGTGGCTTCTGGGTTCATGTCTCAGTTTACAGAAGGGGGGACTGAGGCAGAGCACACCTCAGTCTGGCCCACTGCACCCTCTTTGGAGGGCGTGAGCCGCACCGGCCAGTTCAGGAGAGCAGCTCGTGGCTGTGGTGGAAGAGTCCCTCAGACGGGGCGTGGGTGGCCAGCACGCAACACCCGGGCCACCCGGAGTCTCACCCTCCTGCCCGGGCCACCCGGAGTCTCGCCCTCCTGAGCCTTGTCTCCCTGTTTACATTGGGGAACTAATGTCTGCCTCTCAAGGGTGCTGCAGCGGCTAAACCAGCCTGCTCCTGAGCACAGCGGGCCCTGAGTCTGCAGGGCAGGCAGGCCCCGGGTAACCCGCTCCTCCCTGAGCTGCAAGCGTCCATCCTCCTGGAGCTGAGGGTGCCAGCCCAGGGTGAAGGCTGCAGTAGCCTGGCCTGTGGGCCCTCCTGTCCCCAGGGGTCTGTCCCAGGAGCCACCATGGAGGGAGGGGCTGCCCAGGGCTCACACTCTCGGGCCTACAGGGAGCCCAGGCGGTGCCAGGCCACGTGGGACCAGCTTCTGGGAGGTGCAGGGCTTCAGCTGATGGCTCCAAGTCCCTGTCTGCTCCCAGAACCCCACGACTACACATGTTGTGTGTCACGGCAGCCCCTTGGGGAGACACAGCGAATCCCAGGGCCTGCACAAGGGGGGCCCTGCCGGGACTCAGGACTGAGCACAACCTTCCTGGAGCCTGGCCCAGGCCTGGGCATGGATTGTGAACCCTAAAACCTTGGGCTCAGGAACCACAGGTCCCAGAAGGCGGACACCAGGCCCCCCTCCATCCCTCCCAACATGTCAGAAGCCAATGGGCCAGCCGGGTGAGAGGCCCTGCCCAGCTACCCAGTGTTCATGGCTCCTAGACAAGCCTCTTGGCAGGAAGGAAGCACAGGTCGGGTGCAGAGAGGGAGGAGCGAGTGGGCCTGTGAGGTGGCATGGCCTTCCCCATCCCCCGCTGTGCACCCCGGGCAGGGACGCCGCCCACACCTGATGAGGGGGAAGCCACCAGCCCCCCCATCACCCCTTTGTGGCTCCTCAGACCTGCAAGAGTTCACAGCGAGGGCAGCTGGGATGGACGATCCTGGTGGGCTGGTGGGGCTCGGCCACGGCCACCAAGTGGCGGGGCAGGACTCACACCCCAGCTCTGACTGTGCAGCGGTTTCTGAGCCCAGCCCCAGCCGAACAGCCACGGACCCCGCAGTGCTGTGCATGCAGCCTCAGCCTCCACCACCTTCCAGCTCCTCTCCCTGGGACCGTCATGGGAACCCATCCCAAAGGCCCGTCCCGGGACCCTGGTGGGTCCCCTGCCCCCTGCCCCAAAACACCTCATCACGGGGTCCTGCACGTCGCCAGCAGTCAAGACCCTTCGACTCAGTCCTATGGTGGTCTCTACAAGGCTGGACAGAGCAGGGGCGTTGAGAACACGGGCTGGGTGGGAATCCGGAGATAGAGGGAGGAGGGTGGCAGGACCGGCCGTCAGCCATGCTGAGCACAGACGGCAGAGGAGGTGTGGGGCTTGGGCAGTTGGAGGTGCTTTGGAGAAGCCACAGTGGGTGTGAAGGCCCCAGAGCGAGGCCCAGCTGCTCGGCTATGTGAGCACACACAGCCCCCAGGCCTGCTAGAGGCAGAGCAAATGCAGGGGGTTCCCAGGAGCCTGAGAGTCCACAGCTGCCACCTGCTCCCAGACAAGGCTCCTGGCATGTCTGACCAGGAGCCTCTGGGGAAGTAGGGAAGCCCAGACTGGACAGTGGAGAGGAAGAGACCAGCAGGCAAGGACCCCCCGGCCAGGCATCACTACAGGGGACACAGAACCCAGAGGGCACCAGAGAGGAGAGACGGGGGGCCAGCAGGGGCCACGTGTTAATCTTCACCGACAGACACACGATGGTGTGGCTGCATTTCACAATGGGTGGGGCAGCTGGCAGTCGGACAGGGAGGCCGAGGGATCCATCCCTGTGGCCGAGGGGAGTTTGCAGGGCTGTCATCTCAGGAAGTGAAGGCTGGGCTGGGGTCGGGCTGCTGGGCCACGAGGGGCAGCGGGAGGGAGCCGCTGAGGCTGGAAGCTGCACCAGCCAGGCTGGGACCAGGGTGGCTGTGGCCCGGCTGGTACCGAGTGCCCATCCATGCAAGGGCAGCAGAGTGACCAGACGCTGGGGAAAGGAGAGCAGGTGTCAGTGAGAGAGTGGCCGGATGTTTCCGCGTGGGACTCTTTGCAGTCTCGATGGCAGACTTACAAAAAAGTAAACATTCCCTGTGGTGTTAGGGAAGCTGAGGAGGGCAGAGGGCAGAGTGCAAGCCAGGGTTTGGAGCAGATGTTCCTGGGGAGCCCCTGGGCTGGGCCAGCTGCTCGCAGAAGCCTGACAAGGTACAGGGAAGGAGGAACGAGGGGCAACCTCACTCAAAACCAGCTGCTCAGAGGAGCATAGCTTCTGGCAGAACCTCCGCGGTGGCCAAGCCCCAATTCCGGCTGCCTGCTCTGGACCTCTAAGGAGCTGTTCCTCTCGGTCCTAAGGGTGTGGGGGCTGGTGAGACACAAAGAGGCTGCAGTCACAAAGCCTCAGCGTGAAGGTCTCAGTGCTGGGACCAAGGGTGTATCTGGCACAGGCCTGGAAGGACCAGGGAGTGAATGGGGCCAGTGGTGAAGGAGAGAAGCTGTCGGCATAAGGATGGTAACGGCAGCCCACCTCAGCTGGGACAGCTGAAATGGAGCCAGGTGCCTGCTGAGACCAGTGACGCAGCCAGGAAGGCAGGGGACCCAGGAGCAGCTGTGAAGGAGAAAAGACGGCAGACGAACGGGCTGAGAGAGCATTTTACAGAGTCCTGAGTGCGCTTAAATCCCAGGATGGGGAGAGACTATGAAGAAGAGAAGGTGACAAATAGGGTGAGGTTCTTGGGTGGAGGGTAGGCCACAAGAGAGAGGCAGGAAGGCTCTGTGGCTGTTCCCATACTTTCTTTGTGAAACAAGAGCTGTGAAAACGTGTGGGGCAGAGAGAAGTGACAGAGTCAGGTCTGAGATCCAGGAAGAAACTGGTAGAGACAAAGCTGGCAAGAGAAGTGAGGCTGAACATTGATCAACCATAGCCTGTGTGACTATGGGGCACCATCTGAGGGTCACTTTGTGTGGATCTGTGTGGCTCCATCTAAGAGTCACATTGTGTGGATCCTGTGGCACTGTCTGAGGGTTACATTGTGTGGATCCCTGTGGCGCTGTCTGAAGGTCATGTTATGTGGATCTGTGTGACACCGTCTGAGGGTTACATTGTGTGGATCCTTGTGGCACTGTCTGAGGGTTATGTTGCGTGGATCTGTGTGGCACCATCTGAGGGTCACATTGTATGGATTTGTGTTTGGGACCATCTAAGGGTCATGAGGATCACGTTGCGTGGATCCATGTGGCTCCATCTGAGGGTCACGTTGTGTGGATTTATGTGTGGGACCATCAAAGGGTCATGAGGGTCACATTGTGTGGGTCCATGTGGCACCATCTGAGGGTCACATTGTGGGGATTTGTGTGTGGGACCATCAAAGGGTCATGAGGGTCACGTTGTGTGGGTCCATGTGGCACCATCTGAGGGTCACGTTGTGTGGATCTGTGTGACACCATCTGCTATCTCAGGGTCACATTGCATGGATTCATGTGTCACCATCTGAGGGTCATCCTGTGTGGAACTGTGTGGCACCATCTGCTATCTCAGGGTCACATTGCATGGATTCATGTGGCACCATCTGAGGGTCATGTTGTGTGGATCTGCATGGCACCATCTGAGGTCATCCTGTGTGGATCTATGTGACACCATCTGCTATCTCAGGGTCACATTGCATGGATTCATGTGGCACCATCTGAGGGTCATGTTGTGCTCTTTCCAGAATCTCTGGTATATGTCCAGGTGTCACGCTGTGATCTGTGTGGCACCATCTGAGTGTCACGTTATGTGAATCCATGTGGTATCAGCTGAGAGTCATGCTGTGTGGATCCGTGTGGCACTGTCTGGGGGTCACGTTGTGTGGATTTGTGTGTGGCACCATCTAAGGGTCATCTTGTGTGATGCCATCTGAGGATCACATGTGGATCCATGAGGCACCGTCTGAGGATCATGTTGTGTGGATCCATGTGGTGCCGTCTGAGGGTTATGAGGGTCACATTGTGGGGATCTGTGTGGTGCCATCTCAGGGTCACGTTGTGTGGATCTGCGTGGCAGCATCTCTGGATCACGTTTTGTGGATCCATGTGGCACCATCTCTGGATCATGTTGTGTGGATCTGCATGGTGCCGTCTGGGGGTCACATGGTGGGGATCTGTGTGGTGCTGTCTCAGGGTCACGTTGTGTGGATCCGTGTGGCACCATCTCTGGATCACCTGTGGATCTGCGTGGTGCTGTCTGGGGGTCACATTGTGGGGATCTGTGTGGTGCTGTCTCAGGGTCACGTTGTGTGGGTCCGTGTGGCACCATCTCTGGATCACGTTGTGTGGATCCATGTGGCACCATCTCTGGATCACGTTGTGTGGATCTGCATGGTGCCGAGGGTCACATTGTGTGGATCTGTGTGGTGCCGTCTGAGGGTCATGTTGTGCTCTTTCCATAATCACTGGTATATGTCCAGGTGTCATGCTGTGAAGATCAGCAACCAGGGAAGGACCCCAGGTGAGGGTGTCAGTGAGGTTGGCAAGGGATGGGTAAAAGGATGGGCTCCAGGTAGAAAGGGAGGGAAACAGTAACAGAGACTCTGAATTCATCAGGGAGCACACATGGTGGCCACTGTAGCACTGACGGCTGGTGGAGGAGACACTGTCCAAACTGCCACAGGCACAACAGGCACCACGACAAGCAGGCAGGAGTGTGCTGTGCTTGGCCTCAGGGGACACAGGTGCAGAGATGAGCCCTCGGGGGACGCAGGTGCAGAGATGAGCCCTCAGGGGTTGCAGGTGGTGAGATGAGCCCTCCCTCAGGGCCCATCCCTGTTTCAGATCCAATAAAGGGATGCTGGCTCCACTGCCCACGCTGCCACCCCTGCCAGGGCTCACTCACCCGTCTTCCTGCTCCACCATCTTTTAAATGCTGGTTTTCCTTCAATGCCAGCCCACATGGCTATGGGCAGCAGCTGTATCTCCAAGAATCAGGAAATGAGGAGCAGGAAGGGTGGGTGCCATTTAGGAGCACGCTAGCACCTCGGCCAGCCCCCAGCAGGCTTCCTCTGACCTCTCAACCTTGCTGCAGGGGAAGGGGGTGGAGGGGAGTTGCGAGGAGTCTGCCCTCTGCTGCTGCAGGGCCACCGTCCCTAGAAACAGCAGGAGATGTGAGGCGCATCCCAGGAGCTCCCATTCAGCTGGCGCAGTGGCTGAGGGCAGAGCCTGTTATTTTTGCCCCATTGACTGGTGAGGAGAAGGCCACAGAACCACCCTGTGCCCACTGCAGGTCGCACAGGTGGGAAGTCCTGACCCCAGCAGGGCTGACTCCGGAGCCGTCCACCTGGGTCACTGCCCCAGGGCACCCTGGCCTCATGTAAACAAATGTCAGAACCAGGAAGTAAGAGGAGGGTCTGGGGTCACATCCAACTCTCTGAAGGACAGAATCCCAGTCACCGGGGGGTGTCTGGTCTCAGTAACCCTCGCTGTGTCTGAGCTGAGGCAGAGCTCAGCTGACCTGTTCCTTGAGGGGCCGGAACCTAAGAGCCAAGAGAGGAGGGGCTGCTCTAAATCTGGTGGGAGTGAGGGTAGGAGTGAGGGTGGGTGGGTACCCCCTGGGAGCCAGAGGCAGGCAAAGTTCTCATCACGGTGGGCCCCAGACCCCAGGGGGCAGACCCCTGGGAGTGTGTGCCTGGGAGGCCAGAGGGGTGGAGGACAGACCCCAGGAGTGAAAGGACTCCCACCCCGGCCTGCCAGCTGCACCTGCCCTGGTTAAAGTGTCCGACGAACAAGCCCCCAATTAGAATGGGCCCATCCCACACCCTACCAATGGCTGTCTCTCAGGGAAGAGTGTAGGAGTGTCCTGCAGGGGGCTGAAGGCAGGAGAGGGTGGCGGGCACCAGGAGGCTTCAGGGACAAGGCGAGCAGGCAGGCTCAACAGGCATCCAGGAAGCCCGACGTGGCCGGAGGGCGGCAGGTGCGTGAGGTGCCAGGCAGGGCGGGGCCCCCCATGAGGCCTGTCCAAGTCTGCTGGACTGAGCACTGGGGGGCACCAGCATCCTCCGCACAGGGGTGCATGGAGCCAGGCTGGAGCCACAGGGACAGGCCCAGCTTTCACCGCCCGGTGGCCACATCCCAGTGCCCAGCAGGGCCCCTGGGCACCTCACACCTGGAGGGCAGCAGCCCCCACAGAGCTTGACGACAACCCCAGTGGTGCGGGCTCCAGGCCCACGGTGCGACAGCCTCTTTAGCCTCTTTCCTCTCTTGCGGCAGTGCCCTCACTTCAGCTCATTTGCTGACGAGCTCACTGACTACAAGACAAAGAATATGCTGGCCACACCCATCATGAATGGCAAAGACGTCGTGGCGGTGATCATGGCAGTGAACAAGCTCAACGGCCCATTCTTCACCAGCGAAGACGAAGATGTGAGTGTGGGGGGCACCTGGGCAGCCGCGCGTCTGCCTCCCTGCCTGCCTGCCCGCCCGCCTGTTCTGTGCTGCGCATCCACCTCTTTACCTGCCTGCCCGCCTGCCCGTGTGTTCTCTGCTGCGTGTCTGCCTCCTTACCTGCCTGCCCGCGTGTTCTGTGCTGCGTGTCTGCCTCCTTACCTGCCTGCCCGCGTGTTCTGTGCTGCGCGTCCACCTCCTTACCTGCCTGCCCGCCTGCCCGTGTGTTCTCTGCTGCGTGTCTGCCTCCTTACCTGCCTGCCCGCGTGTTCTGTGCTGCGTGTCTGCCTCCTTACCTGCCTGCCCGCGTGTTCTGTGCTGCGCGTCCACCTCCTTACCTGCCTGCCCGCCTGCCCGCGTGTTCTGTGCTGCGTGTCCACCTCCTTACCTGCCTGCCCGCCTGCCTGCGTGTTCTGTGCTGCGCGTCTGCCTCCCTGCCTGCCTCCCTGCCCGCCTGCCCGCGTGTTCTGTGCTGTGCGTCCACCTCCTTACCTGCCTGCCTGCCTGCCCGCGTGTTCTGTGCCACGCGTCTGCCTCCCTGCCTGCCTGCCCGTGTGTTCTGTGCTGTGCGTCCACCTCCTTACCTGCCTGCCTGCCTGCCTGCGTGTTCTGTGCCACGCGTCTGCCTCCCTGCCTGCCTGCCCGTGTGTTCTGTGCTGTGCGTCCACCTCCTTACCTGCCTGCCTGCCTGCCCGCGTGTTCTGTGCCACGCGTCTGCCTCCCTGCCTGCCTGCCCGCGTGTTCTGTGCTGCGCGTCTGCTGGGCTGCTGGGCTCCACGTGCTCATCTGCACATCGCTGTGCTCCTGTGTGTCTGTGCACACCTGTCTGTGTGTAAGAGAGAGAGATAGCTTGCGTGCCCACCCTGTGCACCTGAGCTTGTGTGTGCCAATCCATGTCTGCCTGTGGGGCACAGCTTCCTGGCGTGTCTGGGCACCCTCAGGCGAGCATGTTTCTCCTGCAAAATACCCACGGGGGCACATGTCTGAAAACTGGAATTTTAATTCCTCTTGTTGCAATTCCTGTTTCAGGTGTTCTTGAAGTACCTGAATTTTGCCACGTTGTACCTGAAGATCTATCACCTGAGCTACCTCCACAACTGCGAGACGCGCCGCGGCCAGGTACCCACACGCTGAGCACAGCTCTGCCCACGAGGGCCAGGGTCCCTCCGCCCATCTCGCTGCCTGCACAGAGGCGGGTGGTGGCAGGTGGTCTTGTGCTCACCTGGGTAGGTCCTGGGGTGGGCATTGCTCAGGGGAGAGGAGGGCTCCATGGCTTCTGTGGCTGTGCTGAGCTGCAATGGCCAGACCCATCTGCCACCTGCCTGCCATCTGGCCAGAGTGGGTGTGAGGCACCTGCAGAGGGGGAAAGGGGCACCTTTCCTAGAGGCTGCCCCCAACCTCCTTGGGAGAAGCCAGTATGAGTGACGAGTGAGCAGGGAGCAGAGGGGCTCCCTGGCAGGTCCAGCCCTGGTTGAGAGAGGGTGCAGGGGCAGGTCCGGCCCTGACTGAGAGAGGGTGTAGGGGCAGGTCCGGCCCTGGCTGAGAGAGGGTACGGGGGCAGGTCTGGCCCTGGCCGAGACGCTGGGGAGGGAGGCCTGAGGACCTTAAGGAGTCAGGTGTGCCGAGGTGCGTGGGAAAACGCAGGGGGATGACCTCCAGGGCAGGTGGTCCTCCCGTCTGAGACCCTGGCTCAGGGGAGACCTGGATGGATAGTGAGTGGGCTGGGGGAGGGAGGCTCTATGTTGGGGCTGGGAAGCCGTCCATGCAATGGCCTGGGGGCTGAGCCACAAAGGAGAACTGTGAAGACGGCGGTCACCTCCTGCCTTCTCCGTGTCTTGTTCTGCCTGCGGATGCTGCCTGGCCCTGGTCACCTGCTGCGAGCCTGCTGAACGTGGCGAGAGGCTGAGGTCTTTATCTCAGCATCTGGAGGAAGGCTGGGTTTAGGGGCCTCCTCCTGGCCCCAGGGCTGCCTCAGGGGCAGTCTGGAAAGGCGGTCAGGGCCCCTGGGGCATCCAGCCATCCAGCCAGTGGACACCTGTGAGAAAACCCCCCGGAGGGAAGTCTCAGCCCCAATCCAAGCAGGCCTCTCACGGCCAGGGCCGTGGGAACCAGGGACCAGGGAGAGCATCTGTGTAATGTATCTGGAATTCTTTTGCGTGAGAGATTTGTCTCTTCTCCTCATTTACTAATTTATTCAATCATTTATTTATGTCAGTGTGGACTTATGAGTATTGTATGCTTAGGTTATAATTCAATATGATTTTATTTATTTTCTTGCTCACGTGAGTCCAGCTTTGGCCACTGGAAGCTCTTTTACTTGGCTTCTGTGCCCTTTTTACGTGACCCCATCACTGTGGGGTTTTGCTTTGCTTTGTTTTTTGTTTTTTTTTTTATGTTTTTGGTTTTTGTTTTGTTTTGTTTTTGAGACAGGGTCCATCTGGGCTCGCTACAACCTCTGCCCCCCCGGTTCAAACGATTTCCTGCCTCAGCCTCCCGAGTAGCTGGGATCACAGACATGTGCCTCCAGGCCTGGCTAATTTTTGTATTTCTAGTAGAGACGGGGTTTCACCATGTTGGCCAGGCTGGTCTCCAACTTCTGACCTCAAGTGATCTGCCCACCTCAGCCTCCCAGAGTGCTGGGATTACTGGTTTGAGGCACCGCACCGAGCCTGGCTTGGTTTTGAAATGGATGCCCCTGTCTCATTGTGTATTTCCTGCCCTGGTCTTGCCATCAGCCACTTCTCCAGGGAGCCTGGTTCCTTCTGTTGGAAAGCAGTAACAGGAGCCGCGGCCTGGGGGCCGGCTGTGCTTGTTGCCGGGGTCACTGCTTCCAGGCCCTCTCGTCCGGCACAGCGAGAGGCAGCCGTGCTCTGCCAGCCCTCGCTCGTCCCCTGCGTGTGCGCAGAGCTGCAAATGTTCCTGCACGTGACCATCGCGCTCGAGCTGACGTCTCCAACCCTGGTCCACGACAGCGCGACACATTCTGGCTTCTTCCTCTTGCTGCTGTGTGAATTCCCATGCAACAGTGGGATGCCTGGGAGCTGTCCTCCGCACAGGCACTTAATTGTCTGATACCAGCGCAGGGGAATAGCCGCGTCAGGACTGTTCACCCACACCCCGTGGAGAACAGTGTTATCAAGTAGAATACGGGGTTGATGAAGAGTTTCTTTTGCCTTCAGTCTTACTGAGGCCAGAAGGCGGCTTGCTCTGTTCCTTCCTGCCAGTGACGAGTGAGCGTTCCTGCTGCTCTGCACCCTCACCAGCGTTTGGTGGAACTGTAGTCTGATGGGTGTATGGTAGCATCTCATTATTGCTGTAATTTACAATCCCCTAATGACAGATGATGTCGCACGTCTATTCATTTACATATTTGCCATCTGTACATCTTAATCTTTGGTGAGGTGTCTGTTCAGATCTTTTGCCCTGTTTGATGGGGTTGTGTTCTTAGCATTTGAAGAGTTTTGTTTTTATTTTATTTATTTATTTATTGGAGACAGGGTCTTACTCTTGTCATTCAGGTGGAGTGCAATAGTGAAATCTTGGCTCACTGCAACCTCCGCCTCCCAGGTTCAAGCGATTCTCCTGCCTCAGCCTCCAGAGTAGCTGGGATTACAGGCGCCCACCACCACGCCCAGCTAGTTTTTGTATTTTTAGTAGAGACGGGGTTTCACCATGTTGGCCAGGCTGGTCTCGAACTCCTGACCTCAAATGATCCTCCTGCCTCGGCCTCCTAAAGTGCTGTGATTACAAGTGTAAGCCACTGCACCCAACCAGAGTTTTTAAATATATTTTCAACACAAGTCCTTTATCAGATATGTTTGCTTTGAGAGCTTCTTGCTAAATTGGGGTCCCATTGAGGGCCCCAATGAGGGTCCCAGTAATGAGGGGTCCTCGTTACCCTAGCAGGTAATGAGGGGGGCTGGGCCTGGTGTTTATCCTGCACCTTTCACAGGATCTTCTTTCATTCAGTGGGCAGCCTCGTGCCTAATTATCCAGCCCTCAACCAGGGGCTCACTCACACAGGAAACTTGTTCATATTGGCAGGTGCCTGAGGCTTGTGTCTGACCCATGCCCAGGTCATGCCTACCTGGCCATCGCTCTGGCACAGGGAGCCCAACCCTCTGTTCCCTCCAGGGTCCCAGGGAAAAGCTGGCCTGGGGTAGCTCCTAGCTCTTCAGATGGAAGCACAAATTCAGTCCACCACTGTGATAGGAAACACGTGCAAAGATTTTTACTACAGGTCCTGGGCAGGAAAGGCACCGTGATTCTGGAGGGCAGTTTTGTTTTTTTGGGGGGTGTTTTTTTTTTTCTTGAGACAAGGCCTCACTCTGCTGCCCAGGCTGGAGTGCGGTGGTGCAATCATAGCTCACTGCAGCCTCAAACTCCTGGGCTCAACAGATCCTCCTGCCTCAGCCTCCCAAGCAGCTGGGACTACAGGTGCACCCCACCACACCTGGGTAATTATTTTTTTTTTAGAGACAGGGTCTTGCTGTGTTGCCCAGGATGGCAGAAGGGCAGTTCTGTGATGTTTTTCTTGGGGTCCACAGTTCACAGGAGGCAGAAATGGCAAGTCAGGCAGAGCAGGGGCTCTGCTAGCAGCAAACATGAGGGAATAGAGAGCAGGTCCCTTAAGTTCATGGGCAAATGTCTGAACAGCCTTTTCTAAAGGAAAGGGGGAGAAGTGGGGAGCCCAGGCTTCTGGGCAGGAGAGATGCCTCTAAGTTCTTATGGCTGCCATCGGCTTGAGCCACTGAGGTGCAGAACTGGAAACTGTCAAGGGTGACTAAGCCCTGCTTCTGGCATGAGAAAGTTAAACTTGTATTCAAAAGTGATGCTGAGGCCGGGCACGGTGGCTCATGTCTGCAATCCCAGCACTTAGGGAGGCCGAGGCGGGCAGATCACCTGAGGTCAAGAGTTTGAGACCAGCCTGGGCAACACGGTGAAACCCTGTCTCTACTAAAATACAAAAAATTAGCCAGACATGGTGGCGCATGCCTGTAGTCCCAGCTACTCGGGAGGCTGAGGCAGGAGAATCGCTTGAACCCAGGAGCTGGGTCTCCCCCTCAGGTCCTCCTCCCCAAGACCTGCAGTGAGCCGAGATCACCCCACTGTACTCCAGCCTGGGCGACAGAGCGAGACTCCATCTCCAAAAAAATAAAAAAAGTGATGCTGAGACCAGGAGCAGTGGCTCACCTCTACAGGCCCAGCACTTTGGAAGGCTGAGGTGGGAGAATCACTTGAGGCCAGGAATTTGAGATCAGCCTGGTCAATATAGTGAGACCCTATCTCTACAAAAAAAGAAGAGTGATTTGCAAATATTTTCTACCAAGATGTGGCTTGTCTTTTAACTCACTTTACACTGTATTTTGCAAAATAGTTTTAAATTTTATTATAATAAAGTCCAATTGGCCAGGCGTGGTGGCTCATGTAATCCCAGCACTTTGGGAGGCCAAGGCAGGCCAATCACCTGAGGTCAGGAGTTCAAGACCAGCCTGGCCAAGATGGTGAAACCCCATCTCTACTAAAAAAAATATGAAAATTAGCCAGGCATGGTGGCGGGCACCTGTAATCCCAGTTACTCAGGAGGCTGAGGCAAGAGAATCACTTGAACCTGGGAGACAGAGGTTGCAGTGAGCTGAGATCGCACCATTGCACCCCAGCCTGGACGACAGAGTGAGACTCCATCTTGGGAAAAAAAAAATCCAACTTAGCATTTTTTTTCCCTCATGGATTGTATTTTGTGTTGTATCTAAAAACTCATCACTAAACCCAAGGTCACCTACATTTTCTCTTATTGTCTGCTAGAGGTTGTATAGATTTGTATTTTACGTTAGATGTGTGATTCATTTTCTGAAAGGTGTGTAAGGACTGCATCTAGATTAATTTTTTGTGTTGTTGTTGGCATGTGGAAGTCCAGTTGATCCAGCACCATATGTAGAAAAAGCCTACCTTTTCTCCGTCGTATTGCTTTTGCTCTTTTGTCAAAGATCACCTGGCTCTGTTGGTGAGTCTATTCCTGAGCTCTTTATTCTGTTCCACTGTTGTATGTGTTTATTCATTCATGATACCAGACCATCTTGATCACTGTAGGTTTAGAGTAAGTCTTGAAGTTGGGAATGTCAGCGCTCTAGTTGTCTTTCTTCTGCAGTATTGTGCTAGCTATTCTGGGTTTGTTGCCTTTCCACATAAACCTTAAGAGTCAGTTTGTCAATATCCACAAAGTAGCTTACTGGTATTGTAATTGGGACTGTATTAAATCTGTAGATCAAGTTGGGAAAAATTGCCATCTTAGAAATAATGTATCTTCCAATTGATAAACACAGAATATCTCTTCATTTATTTAGATCTTTGATTCCTTTTATCAGAATTTTGCAGTTTCTGCATACAAATCCATAATTTTATTAGATTTGTACCTAAGTATTTCATTTTCCCATGGTAATGTAAGAGATATTGGGTTCTTAATTTCAAATTCCAATTCTTCATTGCTGTTATAAAGCAAAGCAATGGACCTTTGTATGTTAACTTTGTATCCTGGGCAGAGAAGAGGTGAGGGTGAGGCGGTCAGCGCAGGAGCCAGGTCAGGCTGGGCAGGGGGTCCCTGAGTGCCTGAGGCCTCACCTTCTCCTTGGTCATGTCCAGGGGGCTCACCAAGTACCGTCACAGCCACACTTTTAAAACCAAGGTCTATTGGGCTGTGCGGCAGGGGCAGGCCACCTAGGCGTCCCAGCTCCTGGGGGACCCATGAGGCCCTGACCACAGCCCCGCACACAGCCGTCAGAGACACACGTTTTTTGTTTTTTGTTTTTTGTTTTCTGAGACAGAGTCTCACTCTGTCACCCAAGCTAGAGTGCAGTGGTGCAATCTCAGCTCACTGCAACCTCCACCTCCCGGGTTCAAGCGACTCTCCTGCCTCAGCCTCCCAAGTAGCTGAGACTACTGATGTGCATCACCATGCCCACCTAATTTTTGTATTTTTAGTAGAGATGGGGTTTCACCATGTTGGCCAGGCTGGTCTTAAACTCCTGACCTCAGGTGATCTGCCCACATCAGCCTCCCAAAGTGCTGGAATTACAGGCCTGAGCCACCATACCAAGCCAGGAGTTTTTTATTGATTATTGGTGTTTTTACCTAGACAATCATGTCATCTGCAAACAAAGATAGTTTTATTTCTTCCTTCTCAATCTATATACATTGTATTTCTTTTTCTTGCCTTATTGCACTAGCTAGGACTTCAAGTATAATGTTGAATGTGAGTGGTGAGAGGAGGGAGATATCTTTGCCTTATTCCCAATCTTAGGAGAAAGCATCCACTTTCTCACCATTAAGAATGACATCACCCAGCTGGGCATGGTGGCTCATGCCTATAATCCCAGCACTTTGGGAGGCCAAGGTGGGTGGATCACCTGAGGTCGGGAGTTTGAGATCAGCCTGACCAACATGGAGAAAAACCCCCATCTCTACTAAAAATACAAAAAATTAGCCAGGCATGGTGGTGCATGCCTATAATTCCAGCTACTTGGGAGGCTGAGACAGGAAAATCGCTTGAACCTGGGAGGCAGAGGTTGTGGTGAGCCAAGATCATGCCATTGCACTCCAGCCTGGGCAACAAGAGTAAACTCCGTCTGAAAAAAAACAAAACTAAACTAAAAAAAGAATGACATCACCCAGCATGGTGGCGCATGCCTATAATCCCAGCACTCCGGAAGGCTAAGGCAGGCAGATAGCTTGAGCCCAGGAGCTTGAGACCAGCCTGGGCAACATGGCGAAACACCATCTCTACAAAAAATGCAAAAAAGTTAGCCAGGTGTGGTGGTGTGTGCCAGCAGTCCCAGCAACTCGCCACTGCACTCCAACCTGGACAACAGACACTGTCTCAAAAAAAAAAAAAAAAAAAAAAAAAGAATGCCCTTAGCTCTAGGGTTTTTGTTGAATTTTTAAAATCCACTTGAGGAAGTTCTCTCTATTTCTAGTTTGCTAAGTGTTTTTATTCAGAATGAGTGTTGGATTTTTCAAATTTTTTTCTGCATTGATTGATAACATCATGTATTTTTTGAACAAATTGTGAACGAGCTTTGCATACCTGGAATAAATGCCACCTGGTCATGTAGTGTAATTATTATTTTCATACATTGTTAAATCGGTCTTGCCATGTTTTGTTAAGAATTTTGGCATCTATAAGCCGGGTGTGGTGGCTCACACCTATAATCCCAGCACTTTGGGAGGTTGAGGCGGGCGGATCACGAGGTCAAGAGATTGACACCATCCTGGCCAACATGGTGAAACCCCGTCTCTACTAAAAATGCAAAAATTAGCTGGGTATGGTGGCAGACATCTGTAGTCCCAGCTACTCAGGAGGCTGAGGCAGGAGAATCACTTGAACCCGGGAAGTGGAGGTTGCAGCGAGCCAAGATCATGCCACTGCACTCCAGCCAGGGAGACAGAGCGAGATTCCATCTCAAAAAAAGAAAAAAAAAAAGAATTTTTGCATCTATATTCATGAGCTACATTGGTCTGTAGTTTTTCTTTCTTATAATGTCTTTATCTGGTTTTGCTATTAGGATAATTTTGACCTCATTGAATGAGATAAGAGTGTTTCCTCTGCTTCTATTTTTTGGAAGGGATTGTAGTGAATTGACATAACATCTTTCCTAAATGTTTGGTCAGATTCACCAGTGAAACTATTAGGGACTGGTGCTTTCTTTTTGGATGATTATTAATTATTGATTCAATTTCTTTAATACTCAGAGAACTCTTCAGATTCTTCTAATTCTCCTGGTGTGAGTCTTGGTAGTTTGTGTCTTTCTAGTGATCAGTCTATTTCATCTAAGTTAAAATCAAATTTTGAGGCATAGAGTTGTCATAATATTTATTATTTATTTTCTTCTGCTTGCTTTAGGCTTAATTTGAAGTTCTTTTTCTAGTTTCTTAAGCTTTGAGTGTTGATTTAGATCTTTCTTCTTGTTTATTATGTGCATTCAATACTATAAATTTCCCTCCAAGCACTGCTTTCCCTGCACCTGACAAATTCTGACAGGTTGTATATTTTTATTCTTATTTAGTTCAAAATCTTTTTTTTTTTTTTTTTTTTTGAGGGAGTCTCGCTCTGTAGCCAGGCTGGAGTGCAGTGGTGGGATCTCGGCTCACTGCAACCTCCACCTCCCGGGTTCATGCCATTCTCCTGCCTCAGCCTCCCGAGTAGCTGGAACTACAGACACACACCACCACACCCAACTAATTTTTGCATTTTTAGTAGAGACGGGGTTTCACCATGTTGGCCAGGATGGTCTCGATCTCTCGACCTCGTGATCTGCCCGCCTCGGCCTCCCAAAGTGCTGGGATTACAGGCGTGAGCCACCGTGCCCCTAGTTCAAAATCTTTTAAAAGGTCTCTTCAGACTCTGGCCCATCTGTTATTTGGAAGTGTGTTGTTAAATCCATTTTAAATTTTTCAGCTATATTTCTGTTATTGATTTCTAATTTAATTGCACTATGGTATAAGAACATATTTTTCATTATTTTTATTTTCAAAATTTTGTTAAGATGTGTTTTATGGCCTAGAATGTGGTTTATCTTGCTGTATGCTCCACGTGACCTTGAGAAGAATGGGTATTGTGCTGTTGGTGGATGAGGTAAATTATAGATGTCAATTATGTCCATTCGAATAACAGTGTTTTTGTTTTTTTTATTTTTATTTTTTTGAGACAGATTCTTTCTCTGTTGCCCAGGCTGGAGCGCAGTGGTGTGATCTCAGCTCACTGCAACCTCCACCTCGTGGATTCAGGTGATTCTCCCGCCTCAGCCTCCCGAGTAGCTGGGACTACAGGCACACGCCACCACGCCCACCTACTTTTTATATTTTTAGTAGAGACGGGATTTCCCCATGTTGCCCAGGTTGGTCTCGAACTCCCAGCCTCAGATGATCCGCCCACCTCGGCCTCCCAAAGTGCTGGGATGACAGGCGTGAGCCACCATGCCCGGCCCACAGTGTTGTTTAGTTCAGCAATGTCCTTACTGAGCCTCTGCCTGCTGGATGTGCTCATTCTGATAGAGGGTACTAAGTCTCCAACAGTAGTGGAGGATGCGTCTCTCCTTACAGCTCCATCAGCTTTTGCTTCATGTGTTTCGAAGCTTTGTTATTAGATGTGTGAACATGAATGATTTTTATGTCTTCATAGAGAAACAACCCCTTTATCATGTTGTCATGCCCCTTCCACCAACAATTTTCCTTGTTCTAAAGTACTCTTTGTCTAAATTAATATAGCTACCCCAGTGTCTTTGGATTATTATTAGCATAGCATATATTTCTTCATTCCTTACTTTTAAACTATGTGTGTCTTTATACTTACAGTGGGTTTTTTATAGACAACATATATAGGGTCAGGTCTTAGTTCTTTTTATCCGCTCTGAAAATCTGTCAAGTGGTGTATTTAGGCTAGTCACATTTTTTTTTTTTTTTTTTTTTTTGAGACGGAGTCTCGCTCTGTCGCCCAGGCTGGAGTGCAGTGGCGCGATCTCGGCTCACTGCAAGCTCCACGTCCCAGGTTCACGCCATTCTCCTGCCTCAGCCTCCCGAGTAGCTGGGACTACAGGCGCCCGCCACCACGCCCGGCTAATTTTTTGTATTTTTAGTAGAGACGGGGTTTCACCGTGTTAGCCAGGATGGTCTCGATCTCCTGACCTCGTGATCCGCCCGCCTCGGCCTCCCAAAGTGCTGGGATTACAGGCGTGAGCCACCGCGCCCGGCCAGGCTAGTCACATTTAAAGTGATTATTGATATAGTTGGATTAATATATACCATATTCTTAAACATTTTCTCTGTGTTGCACTTACTCTTTATTATTATCATCCCCTCTTTTTTTCTGCCTTCTCTGGTTTTAATTGAACGTCTTATCCCACACTCTCTCCTCTCTTAGCTTATCAGTTATACTTGTTTTTCCAAAAAATTTTAGCATTTCCCCAGAATTTGCAATAATCATTTATGACTACTCTAAGCCCTCTTCCAAATAGCATTATACTGCTTCACTTAGAGTGTGGCTATCTTACCACAATGTACCTACAACTTCTCACTTCCACCCTTATAAAATTTCTGCCATTTATTTTACTTATCCACGTGCTATAATCATGTAATACACTGTTACTATTATTACTTTGAACAAATAGCTATTATTAGAGAAATTAAGAAAAAGAAAATATGTTGCTTTCCTGTCATTTATTTATTTTCTGCTGCTCTTCCTTTTTTCACGCATATGCAAGTTTCTGATCTATCTCATTCTTCCTGTTTCCAAGGAACTTCTTTGAACATTTTCTGCTGGGCAAGTCCACTGGTAACACATTCCTCAGTTTCTGTTTATCTGAGAAAGTCTTTATTTCTCCTTCACTTCTTAAGGATAATTTTACTGTATACAGAATTATAAGTTAGCACATTTTTTTCTCAACACTTCCAATACTTCACTCTCCTCTTGCTCGCATCGTTTCTGATGAGATGTTTCCAACGTCTCGTTCCACTCTTGGTCAGATGTTCCCCCACCCCCAGCTTCCCTCGAGGTTTTCAGCTTGGTTGTCTGCAGTTTGAATATGACGTGCCTTAGGATCAGTTTTTTGGCATTTGTCTTTTTTGACAGTCACTGAGCATCCTAGACGCGCGGTTTGGTGTCTGTCAATACTTTTGGAAAATCTCAGCCATTATTACTTCCAACATGTCTTCTCCTTCGCTCTTTCTGCTCCTTCCGGCACCCGCCGCCCACTCGCACCTTCTGTATTTGTCTCTCTGCTCCGCTCGCTCCGCTCGTGGTTCCCTCTGCGTTTCTGTGTTCGCGCTCCCGGCCCCCTTCCTCAGACACGCGCAGCCTCCGGCCGGGCGGCGGCGCACTGCGTTTCCACCTCGCATTTCCTGTACTCCAGCGCGCCTTGTCCTTCCCAGAGCGTCCATCTCTTTGCTTATGTTACCATCTGCTCCGGTGCGCTGCCTCCGTTTTCTAGTAGCGCCTTTAGCATATTGATCATCATAATTTTCCTTTTTTTTTTTTGAGACATTGTCTTGCTCTGTGGCCCTGGCTGGAGTGCAGTGGCTCAATCTCGGCTCACTGCAGCCGCCGCTTCCTGGGTTCCAGTGATTCTCCTGCCTCAGCCTCCTGAGTAGCTGGGATTACAGGTGCCCACCACCGCGGCCCGGCTAATTTTTGTATTTTTAGTAGAGATGAGTGTCACCATGTTGGCCAGGCTGGTCTTGAACTCCTGACTTCAGTTGAACTGCCCGCCTCAGCCTCCCAAAGCACTAGAATTACAGGCATGCGCCACCTCGCCTGGCCTGATCATAGTAATTTTAAATTCCCAGTCTGATAATTCCCAACTTCGTGTCACATCTGAGTCTGGTTCTGAGGCTTGCTTTGCCTTTTTGGACTGTTGCTTTTTCTTGCCTTTTAGCATGACTTATAATTTTTGGCCAAAGCAGGGACTGGGGCAAATCAGCCTTGAGTGTGGGATTTGGGGTCCATCTGGCCGGGAGCTGGGCTGTATTGAATGAACATTTGCTGCAGCTGAGGGTGACAGCAGCTTCCGCGCCCTTGTTTATGGTTTGTTTTTGCTTCTGTATTAGCTTGAGCTGCCATAACAAAATACCACACACCGAGCACCTGAGACAGTGGGCATTCGTTTCTGACACTTCTGGAGGCTGTGAAGTTCCAGATGAAGGTGCTGACCAGGTTCCATTTCTGGCGAGGGCTCTCTCCCTGGCTTGCTGTGTCCTCGTCCCATAAGGGCACGTCTCGTAGGGGCCCCAGGCTCGTGACCTCACCTAACCCTAATCATCCCCCAGGGCCCCACCTCCACTCACCATCGCATCTCGGGTGAGGGCTTCACAGATGCATGGGGGGAGGGGCACGCAATCTAGTACACAGCGGGAACCACCCAGCAACAGACCTCAGTTTTAAAAGTGTGGCTCTGGCCAGGTGTGATGGCTCATGCCTGTAATCCCAGCACTTTGGGAGGCTGAGGCGCGCAGATCACCTGAGGTCAGGAGTTCGAGACCAGCCTGGCCAAAATGGTGAAACCCCATCTCTAGTAAAAAATACAAAAAATTAGCTGGGCGTGGTGGTGCATGCCTATAACCCCAGCTACTCAGGAGGCTGAGGCAGGAAAATTGCTTGAACCCGGGAGGCAGAGGTAGCAGTGAGCCAAGATCGCGCCACTGCACTTTAGCCTGGGCAACAAGAGCAAAACTCCATCTCGAAAAAAAAAAGAAAGAAAGAGCCAAGAGTCAGGCGTATTTGCCCGTTCTGTTGTCTGGTCACCCCAGCCCTAAACCAGGCAACAAGTGAATTACCAACACCTAGGAAACTCCTTGTTTCCAGCCTCTCAGTCTGCAGGCATGTGGAGACCAGCTCAAGGTTCTAACACGTGACCTTGTGTCTCCATGTGAGACTTTCGATTTTGCACCAGACATTGCCCAGTCCTAGGAAAAGCTGTTTCTGGGTCTTGCCCTCCGAACGGCATTTTTAGGCATCCTGACTTGCAGGAGGCACAGGCCTGCCTCACGGCTCTTTTTGAAAATAAAAGTTTGTGATGAGCAAAGATTGGCCCCCGCAGTCCGCCCAACGCCTGCACTTCGTCTGCCTCCTCCTTGAGCTGTGGAAGGAAAGCTGGTCACTGGGATTGAAGCAGCCTCTGGGCGCTCCCCCCTCCCTCTGTCCCGGGCCCTCACCTGGACAATCAGGAACTACCTTCTGTCCCAGGCACCCTCCAGCTGGAGGCCCCTGCCATTCCCTTTCTGAAAAGCCTCTCGGACACTCCCATCAGAGCCAACAGAGGCCGCAGGAAAGCCATGGGTTAGGCCCTACAGAGCTCAGGTTTCTCTCTGACCTGTCACGGCAGCTGCCTGTTCGGCTTAGTGGAGCAATTCTCACCGCCCAGCTGTCTGAGCTGCAGCAAAGCTGCATGAAAGGCCTGTGGGTGCAGGGCTGCAGCTCTCACCTTCAGGCCGGCCATGCGTCAGGACCCGGTGGCTCGCTGCAAGGGCGGAGGAGGTGCCCCGACTCAGGTCAGGCATGGGAGGAGCGGGGGAGCCTTCTGTCTCTGCAGGTCTGACTCCTGCCTCCTGTGAGGAAGCAGAGCCATTCAGAAGTGAGAGGCGGCCAGGAGGGGCGGGCGTGGTCTGTCCACACCGGGCAGTGGCGGGAGCCTGTTGAGCTGGCCAACTTCGGACTTAGGGCCCCACCATGATGAGCCAGATGGAGCTGTGGGGAGATCCACGCTGGCACAGCAGTCCGTCTGCCGTAGCGAAGCCCCGAGCACGGCCAACAGCGACCCACAGTGGGGCGGGGCGGGTGATCCTGGGTGTCTGTCGCCTTTCCTTTTAATACAGTGTTCTAGTTTATAGGTTACATGATTTAATTGACATAATGGCCATGATTGAATTGTCATAATGGCTATGTTTAATGGCTGGCTCTCAGAATGCCTGAGGATTCAACAACCAGCTCTGAGAAGCTCACCATGAGATGAAGCCCTCTGCCCTGATGCCAGGACACACACTAGATTTGTCAAGGCCCTGGGCCCAGGGGGAAACGTCTCCAGAAACAAGGCTCCTGGGGCTGGGGCTTCAGTAGGGCCGAGGCCCGTCCTAGCGACCAGGCCTCCAAGGGACGCTGGGGCCACCTGCTGCTGCTTTGAAAGTGAAGGAGCGCCATTCTTGGATTCCCCAGGCACTCGCTGGGGTCCCTTATGCTGACCACAGCCTGGGAAGACTGTTCACTGGTGGACCCACAAAGGCCTGGGAAGACTGTTCGCTGGTGGACCCACAGAGGCCTGGGAAGACTGTTCGCTGGTGGACCCACAAAGGCCTGGGGTTGGGACCGCGTAGGCCTGAGCGCTTGCCTCCCACCACAGCTATGGCCCAGGGCTCAGGGTCGGGGGGAGACTCTGGCCCTACTCCACTGGCTGGGCAGCCAGTGGGGATCCCATCTGCCCTGGCCCCTCAGGACCTCCTGGCCCCTCCTTCCCATAAGTAATGAGAGGGCCATGAGGCTGAGCAGCTCCCCTTCCAGGGCCATATGCGTCTCTGTGCCTTCTGCCCCCCATGTCAGTGGATCCCTCATTTCTGAGTACACGGGGTGGCCACCGCTGTCACCCTGGTTTCACCCTGGAGCATTAAACCTGACCCCAGTCAATGCAGGAGGGACACAACCTCAGCTTCCATGCAGCCCAGAAGCCCAGGCTGCTCGAACCATCCCCGGGGCCTTGTGGATGCAGCAGGTGTATCCTGTACCGGGGTGCTGGGACGCTGGGCACGGGCTTGGGGCAGGAGGGGCCCCCGCTCCCTGAGGAGGGGACAAGTCTGGAAAACTCCAGGGCGGGCCTCCAGCCACACCTTGAAAAGGGGGTAGGTCCCACCCAGCACTGGATGTTTGGCTTAACAAGTTCCCAACATTTTAAAGTCGAGACAATTCACGTAAGAATTAGGGTTTCTACATCTCTTGAAAGGCTGAGAGCTCAACACTGCTGGGTGTCCGGCCCCCCCTGTCCCCACTGCCCAGGACAGGCAGACCCCAGGTGCGAAGCCTCACAGCCTGCTTCCTCCACACAGGCAACAGCCTCCATCAGAGGCCTCAGGGCTCCCCTTCGATCTGGAGTTGGAATTGAGGGATGCTGCCCAGGAAGATGCCAGGGACACCTGCGTGGGCAGAGAGGGCCCAGGAAGGCCCCAAGCGTGGGGTCAGGGCACCGAGGGGACAGAGTGGAGGGGGTCCCCCAGCCCAGAACCACCCAGGCACCAAGACTCCCAGCAGTCAGGACAGAAACAGCTCCGACACCCACACACAGGGAGGGGGGCCGGCAGGGAGGGCTGGCGTCTGGAGGCTGCGGAGGCGAGAAGGCTGGTTGGGGAGGCTGCGTAGATGCCGTTTCAGAGCAGGCCAGGGTCGGAGGTTGGAAGAGCCATTCCGGAGGGCAGGGGGTGTTGACGGGGGCACAGAGGAATGCCCTGAGCCCGAGCCGGCAGCGAAAATCCACCCGCCACACGCTGAAGACGCCTGCACTTCAGTCAGTTGCTGTGTGCACCAGCAGGCTTTTAACCGGAAAATTAAAAATGAAAACAAGGAGGACGGCAGAAGCCTCAGGGTGGGGCTGCTGGGCTGGGACCACCTTGAACTCAGTGCCTCCCCTCACTGAGGTGCCGATGTCAACGGCAGTGGGGCTGTCACAGGCAGGACGGGCTGAGGCGGCGATGTCAACGGCAGTGGGGCTGTCACAGGCGGGGCAGGGGCTGAGGTGGCGATGTCAACAGCAGTGGGGCCGTCACAGGCAGGACAGGGCTGAGGCGCCGATGTCAACAGCAGTGGGGCCGTCACAGGCGGGGCAGGGGCTGAGGCGGCGATGTCAACGGCAGTGGGGCCGTCACAGGCGGGGCAGGGGCTGAGGCGGCGATGTCAACAGCAGTGGGGCCGTCACAGGCGGGGCAGGGGCTGACCCGTGGGGTCAGACTGAATGGGGAGTGGGGGCCCCAGGGGTTGGTGGGTCCTCAGGGGGGGCCTCCTGGAAAGGACTTGAGGCCAGGCCTTGGGAGGAGGAGGGCCTGGGATGAGGGCCTGGAGGCAGAGGCCAGAGCCCGTGCGAAGGCGCTGAGTTCGGCAGGAGACAGACTGAGTGTGGGAGGGACGCAGAGGGCGCAGAGGGTGGGGCCGGGCCTCCACCTGCGGCTCTGGGTGAACCAGTCACGCGAGGAGAATGCACCTGGCGATTCCACACATCTACAGCGAGTCTCCTGAGCCGCAGGCGCCGGGGCTGTGGAGAGCCGTCTCCATTCAGCAGGCGCCAGGGCTATGGGGAGCCGTCTCCATTCAGCAGGCTCTGGAGCTATGAAGAGCCGTCTCCATTCAGCAGGCGCCGGGGCTATGGGGAGCCGTCTCCATTCAGCAGGTGCCGGGGCTGTGGAGAGTGCTAGGGCGGTCGCCATCTGCACCTGCTGTTTTCCCAAGTCCTGTTCTGGACCCACTAACTCCAGTGACTGAGCTGACTTCTTCACACGGGCATGGGGCCAAAGCTCCTGACCAGTGCAGGGACACGGGGGGTGGGACATACTCAGATAGGGGCTGGGAAGGCTGGGAGCTTCTGCTGAGGGTGGCACCAGCAGCAGCTCCATGACTGTGACTGCGGCCAGGGCGGCTCCACGACGGTGACTGGGGTCAGGGCAGGAGAGTGTGGAGGCCAGTGAGGAGGGTCCACACCCATCGGTGAGGCAGGAGTCAGGGTAGGCTGCAGACCCGGGCGGAGATTGCGAGGCAGGGGTCAGGGTCACTGGAGAAACATGGCTCAGGAAAGGCTTCAGGGAGAAAAAGGTGTTGGACGAGAGAGGCTGGTGCTCAGGGGCTGCAGGGGGGCCGGGCCTCAGCAGGGAGGGAGGGAGGGACTCTGGGAACAGCAGAGCCGGCACTGAGGATGCTGCCAGGGAAGGGCACTGACGTGCATGGACCTGGAGGATGCCACTGGCCAAAAGCTAGGATCTCACTCACATGTGGGATCCGAAAACCCTGAATTCATGGAAACAGAGAGTGGAAAGGGGGTTGCAGGAGGCCGGGGCAGGAAGAGAGATAGAGAAAGCAGAGACGTTGGTGAAAGGGTGCAAAGCGTTCGTTAGCTGGAGCTGTGGGCTTCAAGGTCAGCCGCGCTGTGTGGCGGCCACCACTGCCGTTAACCACAGTACACAGGGTGCTCGGTAAGTGCAGTTCTGCTTCCGAGGATTTATGATGTGGGAAAAGTTTTAAATTAAAAATAAGAATAAGAATGTAAAACAATACAGTAGAACAGCCGTTTTCATGGCCTTGCCTTGCACTGGGTGCTAAGTCATCGGAGATGATTTGAAGTCCTGGGGGTGCGTGTGCAACCTCTGTACAAACTCTAGGCCATTTCACATCCGGGACTTGAACATCCTCGGATTTTGTTATCAGAGCGGCGTCCTGGAACCAATTTCCCTGAGGATGCCGAGGGATGACTGTATTGTATACCAAATTGCTAGAAAATAGACTTGTAATGTTCTCACCACAAAAAAAACAAGTTGGTGAGGTGATGGATATGTTGATTAGCTTAATTGAATCTTTCTGCAACAAATACTTACATCAGAACATCACGCCAAACCCCATAAAACATAAACCCCATCAATACACACAATTATTCAACTGAAGATAAACTAAAATCAGTAAAATCAATGTACTGGGAAATAAAGCTACGAACATCTCACTGCCCTTGGCAACAGGAGAGCCTGGTCCTGTTCCCACCATGAGCTGAGTGCCAGGGGGTGGAACTTCAGAGGGCCTGGCAGGGAGAGAGCTGGGCTAGGACACCGCAGCGGAGGAGAGGGAGCTGGCACCATGCGGTAGAAGACCCAGCGGCCGCCGCGAGTGTGAGGAGGCAGGGCCTGGTGGGGCCTGGGTCTGGGCCTTGACCAAGGAGGCAGAGAAAGGTGGCCCAAGGAGGGCCCTGGGGTGAGTCTGAGCCTGGTGGCAGCGCTGACCCAGCAACCAGGGGCCTGTGCAGCGGGATGTCCTGAGTGGGGTCTGGCCAGGACCTCGTGGAGTGCGTCAGCAATGCTTCACTCTCAGACGCTTGGCGGAGGCCACAGGCGGCCTGACGTGCGGAAACCACGGCCCGATGTTCTCAAAGCCCTGCTCGCCGCAGGTGGTTCTGGAGCAGCCGGGCGGAGGAAGGGCTGGTCGGATGTTTGCCTGTCAAGCTCAAAGCGACAGATTCCACTTTCCACTCGTCCACTCCTGAGTGATCAGGGACACGACCGCAGCCTCGAGGCCTCACCGCCAGCCAGCTCCCGGGCCCCACAAGCTCAGATGAAACCTGGCCACGGAGCCACCAATCAGGGTCTGTGCCAGGCTCCACGGCTGGGCAGGTGGTCAGATCAGGGAGCGCACCTGTGTCAGGCTTGAGTTAAACCCCTGCTGCTGTGGTCAGACCGGCGTGAGGGTGGGAGTGGCCACAGGCCCACAGGTGTGCCCCTCCCTCCAGGTGCTGCTGTGGTCGGCCAACAAGGTGTTTGAGGAGCTGACGGACATCGAGAGGCAGTTCCACAAGGCCTTCTACACGGTGCGGGCCTACCTCAACTGCGAGCGGTACTCCGTGGGCCTCCTGGACATGACCAAGGAGAAGGTGAGGCTTCCGTGGCTCAGGGACCCCCTGCCTGGCCCGACCCAGGTCCCGCAGTGACCGCCCCACCCTCACCTCTTCTCTGCCCAGGAATTTTTTGACGTGTGGTCTGTGCTGATGGGAGAGTCCCAGCCGTACTCGGGCCCACGCACGCCTGATGGCCGGGTGAGTCTTAGGGGAGGGGCCCAGGGCCTGTCCACACGCCTCTGTTTCCCTGACTCCAACTCCAGGGCAGGAGAGGGAGGGATAGGGGTGGGGTTTAGGGAGGTGGGAACTGGCCGGTGGGACCCCGGGTGCCTGTCTGTGGTCTCCACCAGGCTCCCCTGCTGCTGCACTCCAGGGATGGGGTGTCCAGGGCTGGTCCCTGAATGAGGGCCGCCAGGCTGGTCGTGAAGACCCACGTCGGCTCTGATTGTGGGGGCTCCTGCTGCCCCATCTCCCCACGTGGGACCTCCTGTGCACGTGTAGGATGCGTGTGTGTGTGTGTGTGTGAGAGTACGGGCCCAGCTTGTGTGTGGGATTGTGCGGAACACAGACTGGGAAGACAGATGTAAACCGCGGCGTGTGATGCGTGTCCCGTGAGTATTGGGGACGGTCTGCATGTGTGTGCACCCTGAGCCTGTGCATGTGTGGACATGGGTGTGAGTGCACCCGCATTCGTAGAATACCTGCGCACGGCGGAGACATCTGTTCACGTGTGTACACATGCACGGTTACGTGTGTGGGGGTGTGCATGCGTGTGGCTGTGTGTAGCTGCATGTAGCTGTGTGTGTG
Source organism: Homo sapiens (assembly GCF_000001405.40). Classification (NCBI taxonomy): domain Eukaryota; kingdom Metazoa; phylum Chordata; class Mammalia; order Primates; family Hominidae; genus Homo; species Homo sapiens. The sequence goes on from NC_000004.12 coordinate 654,764, forward strand.
TGTGTGAGCCCCTCAGAGCTTGGCCAGGCAGCCCCCCGACCAGTGTCTTCTGCTTCTCAGGAAATTGTCTTCTACAAAGTGATCGACTACGTCCTCCACGGCAAGGAGGAGATCAAGGTCATTCCGTAAGTGCAGGATTTTACCAGAAGCGTCCCCGGGGGAGGGACCGCCCCTCAGACCCCGGCTCAGCCCCCAGGGCCGTCCTCCCAGGGCTTCCCACGGTGCAGTCAGCAGCACCGGCCTGGCCTGGCCCCACCTGTGGTGCTCTGTGTGCCGTGGGGCATAGTGGAGTTGGGGGTGAGACAGAAGCCGACTCACTGTTCTGGGAGATGGTGAGGAGGACGTGGGCTGCTGAGGAGCCCGAGTCACTGTGGACATCCAGAGTGGACATACAGGGGACCAGGCAAGCTGTCCAGGCGGCCTCGTCAGCAACAATTGAGCATGAAGGCCCCAGGATTTGACCCTGGCACCACCAGCCCCACCCAGACAGTGGAGCCTCCAGCCAGGAGGCCGAGTCTTGGCCCCGTGGGGCTGGAAGAGGAGGGGAACTCCAGTCCGGAGGTCAGGGCAGGACTCCAGCCAAGGGAGGGGCAGCTGGTGGCCCAGTGGCCCTGTGATCCCATAAGCCTATTGGGACCCCATCCCCAGGCCCCAAGCAGGAACCAGGATCCAGGTGCCAGGCTTGAGCACAAGTCAGGGTCAGGGTGGCAGGGCAGGCACCAACGCTGAGTCCTAGAAAGCAGGCTGAAGCCATACGGCCTCCGGAGAGGGAGGGGTTCCCAAGAGGGAGGGGCCCCAGCACGGCAGCCTGGGGAGGAGGAAGAAGGCAGCACAGCCGTCCTCCAACCCACGCCCTGGCCTCCTCGCCTCCTGAACCCCCTGGCACTCAGAGAAGAGAGTAAATGCTGAGGATGGCACATGAGCCAGAGACCCCCAGACCCCTGCACACACGCCCAGTCCATCTGACCCCAGTACACCTACATCCAGCGCAGCCTGGCCCCTCTGACCCCTGCACACACACGTGCAGCCCAGACCAGCCCCTCTGACCCCTGCACACACACGTGCAGCCTAGACCAGCCCCTCTCACCCCTGCACACAGACATCCAGTCCCTCTGACTCCTGCACGCGCACATCCAGCCCGGCGTGGCCTATCTGACCCCTGCTCTCTGCCCACAGCACACCCTCAGCCGATCACTGGGCCCTGGCCAGCGGCCTTCCAAGCTACGTGGCAGAAAGCGGCTTTGTGAGTCCCGTGCTGTCTGGAGTCCCCACAGCCTTGCCCTCACTGGGTGCGGCGATGTGTGCTTCTCCTTGTCTCTGCCACGTCCCGCCCTCCCGGCCAGCTCCACGTGCCTCAGTGAAGCCCCCAGCTGCCCTGCTTTACCTACTTAAAAGCTCACCTCAGGGCCACAGAGGCCATTTTAGATCATAACAGACCTTCCGCTGTTTTGGATGAAATCGTTTTTCTGATGCTTTTTCAGATTTGTAACATCATGAATGCTTCCGCTGACGAAATGTTCAAATTTCAGGTATCTGTCTGTGCCTTGGTAGAAATTATACTTACTTACAAAAGAGGAGATTTTGATTCAGCGATGATGAAGTGAATTCGTTTTTGCCACTTAAAAAACAACTTCAGCCAGGCATGGTGGCTCACGCCTGTAATCCCAGCACTTTGGGAGGCTGAGGCGGGTGGATCACCTGGGGCTGTGACCACAGCCCCCACACACGCCCGCAAGGCCGTGACCGCGGCCCCCACACACCCCTGCGAGGCCGTGACCGCGGCCCCCACACACCCCTGCGAGGCCGTGACCGCGGCCCCCACACACCCCTGCGAGGCCGTGACCGCCGCCCCACACACATGCCCATGAAACCACTCCTGGTGGGAAAACGGCCTCTACCTCCTCCGGTGGGAAAATATCATGACACAAAAACCATGGACACAAACTCCAAATGCAGAGAGGGAGAGAGGGAATGCAGAGAGCAGAGACAGGAACACGAGCCCAGCCGTCACGGCTCTAGGGGAGAAGACATGAGGTCACTCTCCCCGGCCACACGCCCGGGCCAGGGCCAGCCTCAGGGCGGAGCTCAGCTCTGGACACCGCTCCCGCAGGAAGGGGCCCTGGACGACTCCGGGTGGCTCATCAAGAATGTGCTGTCCATGCCCATCGTCAACAAGAAGGAGGAGATTGTGGGAGTCGCCACATTTTACAACAGGAAAGACGGGAAGCCCTTTGACGAACAGGACGAGGTTCTCATGGAGGTAAGCACCTGGGCAGACGTGGTTCCGCCGGGGATGCCCTGCGAGGGGTGGGGCCTGTGCGGTGTGGGGGCCTCCCCGCCAAGCATTCGGCTGTGTGCGTGTGCTCATGTGTGTGCGGTATGCATGCGGCCAGGGAGAGGACGACAAAGGGCCCCCCCGGGAGCAGGAGCCTCTGCAGAGCACCCGGGAGACCCCACACAGAAGCACTGCGACACCATGGTGGCAGCCCCAGGACCTGCCCGCCGAGCCACGGGGCCTGGCACACAGGCACATGGGAGGGGGCGCGCCGGGAGCGCTGAGCGCCAGTGACACTGCCATCCCCTCCAGTCCCTGACACAGTTCCTGGGCTGGTCAGTGATGAACACCGACACCTACGACAAGATGAACAAGCTGGAGAACCGCAAGGACATCGCACAGGACATGGTCCTTTACCACGTGAAGTGCGACAGGGACGAGATCCAGCTCATCCTGGTGCGGCGGGGCAGGACGTCCAGGGGTCACCCAGGGGTCACGGCTGTGTGGCAGGGGCAGGTCGTCCAGGGGTCACCCAGGGGTCTCGGCTGTGTGGTGGGGGCAGGTCATCCAGGGGTCACCCAGGGGTCACGGCTGTGCGGTGGGGGCAGGTCGTCCAGGGGTCACCCAGGGGTCACGGCTGTGCGGTGGGGGCAGGTCGTCCAGGGGTCACCCAGGGGTCACAGCTGTGCGGCGGGGGCAGGGCATCCAGGGGTCACCCAGGGGTCATGGCTGTGCAGCAGAGGCAGGTCATCCAGGGCTCACCCAGGGGTCATGGCTGTGCGGCGGGGGCAGGTCGTCCAGGGGTCACCCAGGGGTCACGGCTGTGCGGCAGGGGCAGGTCGTCCAGGGGTCACCCAGGGGTCATGGCTGTGTGGCACAGGCAGGTCGTCCAGGGGTCCATTGAGGGGTCACAGGGGTCATGGCTGTGCAGCAGAGGCAGGTCATCCAGGGCTCACCCAGGGGTCATGGCTGTGCGGTGGGGGCAGGTCATCCAGGGGTCACGGCTGTGTGGTGGGGGCAGGTCGTCCAGGGGTCCATCCAGGGGTCACCCAGAGGTCATGGCTCTGCGGCGGGGGCAGGTCACCAGGGGTCACAGCTGTGCGGTGGGGACAGGTCACCAGGGGTCATGGCTGTATGGTGGGGGCAAGTCGCCAGGGGTCACGGCTGTGTGGCGGGGGCAGGTCACCCAGGGGTCATGGATCTGTGGCAGGGACAGGTCACCAGGGGTCACGGCTGTGCGGCGGGGGCAGGTCGTCCAGGGGTCACAGGTGTGCGGGGCAGGTCACCCAAGGGTCATGGCTGTGTGGTGGGGGCAGGTCACCCAGGGGTCACAGGTGTGCGGGGCAGGTCGTCCAGGGGTCACGGCTGTGTGGCAGGGGCAGGTCACCCAGGGGTCATGGCTGTGCGGTGGGGGCAGGTCACCCAGGGGTCACAGCTGTGTGGGGCAGGTCACCCAGGGGTCACGGCTCCCTCTGTGCAGTGGGCGGCCAGGTTACCCAGGGGTCACAGCTCTCTCTGTGTGGTGGGGACACGGCCCTGGGGCCAGAGCTGAGTACAGCCCTGGCATGCCCCCGAGGTCCCTCTGTCTGCACGGCCCTGGCATCCCTTCCCTGTGCTCAATCTCCCCAGCCAGGGGCCTTGCATGGCCAGAGCCCTCCTGGTCATCATGAGAGAGTCCCATCATTATACCTGAGGACTGCGTAAGGCAGTGCCCGAGAGAGGACAGGTGGGAAAGTCAGCAGGCCATGCACACGGTCATTTGTCTCCAGATCAGAGGCCGCCAGGGCCTTCCCAGGGTGAAAGCACAAGCTCTTGACAGCACCTTCCTCTAGCTCACACGGGGTGGACGCACCGCCGTCACCTTGTCCCACATGCGAAGCTCTTTCTCGTGACACATCTGTGTCTCTGTGTAGCCAACCAGAGCGCGCCTGGGGAAGGAGCCTGCTGACTGCGATGAGGACGAGCTGGGCGAAATCCTGGTAAGAACCTTGCTCCCGTCCCTCCCATGGAGGCCGGCCACGTGTGAGGCTGGGAGGAAGAGTTCTGCATTCTCCGGGACCCGACGGTGCTTTGCACACACGGTCATCAGGGATGTTGGTGCTGTGTGTGTATACTTGTGTATCTAAGCACCTTAGTGTACGTGTGTGTACATAAGCCTGGCTTTCAGTCTCAGCCAGTGTGTCCCTGAGTGTGTTTGCATGGCCAGAATGTGGCTTTGATGTCTGCACTCCTGAGTGTATCTTCGTGTCTTCCTGTCTCCTCTGTGCTTTGCCAGATGTTTAGTTTTCACCGGATGTTTAGTGGGCCTGACTTGGACTCTGTGTCCATCTATGTCATCTCTGCTCTCAGAGTGCCTAGGTGCCTGCAACTCCCAGTGTGTGTGCATCCGCATGTGTGCACGCACATGGGTGTCTGTGTGCATGTGTGTGCACATGTGGGTGTCTGTGTGTGCACAAGTGTGTACGTGTGTGTGCATGTAGGTGTGTGTGCACACGTGGGCGTCTGCACAGGTGTGTACATGTGTGCACATGTGGGTGTGTGTGTGCACATGTGGGTATGTGTGTGCGTGTGTGCATTGTATGAATGTGCACATGTGTACACATGTGTGTGCACATGTGTGCCCACGAGTATGTGTGTGCATGTGTGTGCACATGGGCGTTTGTGTGTGTGTGCCCGTGTGTGCACCCATGTGTGTGTGCTCACATGTGCACAGGGGGTGTGTATTGTGTGTGCATGTGTGTGCACATGGATATATATAGACACATGCTTGTGTGTGTCTCCTAGAGACGATTGCTGGATCAATGTGGGGATTATGTGGTGTCCCCATCACCCTGTGTCTGCCTATGCAATTTAGCCAGAATCTCCCGGGGCCACGAGCCTTGTGAGTAGGCCTTGGACTGAGCATGGGAATGTGCCTGGTGGGTCTGAAAGTCCACTGTTGTGTGTGTTACCTCATGGCTGTGTGTGTGAGCCTACATGCGTGAGTCTGCACGTGTGTGCCTGCATGTCTGTGGGTGTGCCTGGGTGCTCATGTGTGTGCCTGTGTGTCCACACCGGTGCCTTTGTATTCATGGGAGTGGCCGTGTATCCAGGTGTGCCTGTGTCACGTGTGTCTGTATCCGTGTGTGTGTGTGTTTCTTTTCATGTGCACACCTTTGTGTTTTCTTGTCTCAACAACATCACCCTGTCCACCCAACTGGGCAAGTTCTTCACTGTTGGGCCACAGGGTACAAGAGGGGAGAGTGAGGCTGAGCCAGGGGGGCGTGTGAGCAGCCTGGGATACAGGCTGGAGCGCCAGGAATGACACATCTCCTCAGAGATGCCTGAGGTGTCTGAGGCTTGGCAGGGGATCTGGAGAGAAGAAAGGATGAGAAGCAAGTGGGGGCTGTGGCAGGCCAACCTCCCTCAGCCCACAATCCCTCCCACAGAAGGAGGAGCTGCCAGGGCCCACCACATTTGACATCTACGAATTCCACTTCTCTGACCTGGAGTGCACCGAACTGGACCTGGTCAAATGTGGCATCCAGATGTACTACGAGCTGGGCGTGGTCCGAAAGTTCCAGATCCCCCAGGAGGTGGGAGACACCGCAGGGCGCATAGTCAGGTCCCTGAGGCCGCCCAGGACATGGGGGTGGGGATGTGATCAGGGCCTCAGGTGCCCCAGAAGGTGAGGGGGATGGGATTGGGGGTTCCAGATCCCACAGGAAGTTTAGAGGGCCGACATGTTCATCACAGAACAGGTAAAATGCACACGGGAAGTAAGCATAAAACAAATAATTGGATGGCTGGGTGGATGGCTGGATTGATGGATGGCTGGATGGGTGAAAAGCAGGGAGGAAGGAGGGAGGTTAGGAAGGAAGGAAGGCCAACAGGCAAGCAGAAAGAAACAAAGGAAGAATAAATGAATGGATGGGTGGATGCCAATGGTAGTTGGATAGTTGGATAAATGGATGGGTGGGTGGGCCAATGGTAGTTGGATGGTTGGATAAATGGATGGATGGGTGAGTGGGCCAATGGTAGTTAGATGGTTGGATAAGTGAATGGATAGGTGGATGGATGGAGAAGTGGGTGGATGAGTGATAGATGAGTAGGTGGGTCAATTAATGAATTAATAGATGGGTCAATGAATGGGTGAATGGATGGGTGGACAGCAGATGGATGGTGAATGGATAGATTTAAAGTTTTATTATTAGGAGTTCCAAGCAATTTGATCATTAGGCACATCATCTGGCAATAACAGGGGATTTGGTGTGGGGTGCTGAGGAGATAGAAGCATCCCATCACCTAAACAGAAAGCACAAAGTGGCCCCCCTGGTTTGGCCACAGCAGCACTCCTCGGAGACCCCCTGGGGAGGCGGGATGGCTTTCCCAGCCCTCGTCCACAGCTCTGTGCCCTCCCTGGGTTCTCCTGCCCTGCCCTGCTTCCAACATCTCAAGGGGCTTCCCACAGCCCTAGGAAGAGAATCCTCTTTTCTCATGCCCCTCTGAGAACAGGTGCAGCAGGCCAGCATTTTCAAAAGAAGTTTTACTAAATACTAAGGGAAAACACTCAAGAAAAAATGTATAGAAAATATTTGCAGAATAAAAAATATTTCCAAATAATTTTCTGACCCTAAAAATCACAATGGCCGCAGGAAGAGCCTCCTGGCGATGTCCGCAGGGCAAGAGAGACCAGCATTCTCTTGCCCTGCGGACATCGGTTCTCCCACCCCAGCCTGCAGCCCACACATTCTGCTCATTCAAATGTCCATGCCTAAAACCAACATCTTAAAATATGCTGCATCCCCAGGGGTCCTCCTCCCAGCTTGAGGCCAGGCAGTCGGATGGAGGCTGGGCGGCCCCTGAAGGCTGGGGCTGTTCTCAGCTCCTGCCCTACCTGGCTCCACCCCATAGGTGCCAATGTGGCAGCCCCTACCCAGGAAGGCCAGCAGAGGCCAGTGGGAAACGCAGGGATGGGGAAGATCGGGAAGTCCAGGAGACGGTGTGGGGATGATGGCACGGAGCAGGGCTTCCACTGTGAAGTCAGCCACAGGTGCCGCTCTGGCGGGACTTACACGCTTGCCGCCGGAGCCCTGTGTCCTCTCGGCTCCCCCAGGTCCTGGTGCGGTTCCTGTTCTCCATCAGCAAAGGGTACCGGAGAATCACCTACCACAACTGGCGCCACGGCTTCAACGTGGCCCAGACGATGTTCACGCTGCTCATGGTACGTGGCTGCCAGAATCACCAGGGTTGTGCAGGCCCTCCTGGTACCAAGGGCAGCACTCAAGCACCCCGAGGGATGAGATGGGGGTCCTCCCAGGGCAGAAGGATGGAGGAGGGCAACGCCCTCTGACACCGTGCACCGCGCACCCCAGCCCTGCGGTGGTCGGAGGTCCAACCTCCAACCCGACGCCTAGGTCATCCCAACCCCTCACCACTCCCCACCCTGCTGGAGCCAGGACCGGTGAGCAAGGTGGCCCTGTCTCTACAGACCGGCAAACTGAAGAGCTACTACACGGACCTGGAGGCCTTCGCCATGGTGACAGCCGGCCTGTGCCATGACATCGACCACCGCGGCACCAACAACCTGTACCAGATGAAGTAGGCACCTCAGGGCGGGCATGTGAATTAGCCCTAAATCAACTCCACGCCCTTGGCGTGAATTAGGCTTCGCATAGCAGGCTATGTAGAAAGTGGAGTCCACGGCCAGGCCCCGTACTCCAGCACTGTGGGAGGCCAAGGCGAGGGGATTGCTTGAGCCCAGGAGTTCGAGACCAGCCTGGGCAACATGGCAAGAGCTCTCCTCTACAAAAACTTAAAAAAAAAAAAAAAAAAAAAAGCTGTGTATGGTGGCGCACACCTGTGGTCCCAGCTACTTAGGAGGCTGAGGTGGGAGGATCACTTGAGCCCAGGAGGTCAAGGCTGTATTGAGCCATGATTGCACCACTGCACTCCAGAGTGGGTGACAGAGGCAGACCCTGTCTCAAAAAAAAGAAAGTGGGGCCCATCTGGGGGGGCTGCAGAGCGCAGGGTGGGCCAAGGGCAGGTCCCACGGGCCTCACCTCCACCACCTGTGTAACAGGTCCCAGAACCCCTTGGCTAAGCTCCACGGCTCCTCGATTTTGGAGCGGCACCACCTGGAGTTTGGGAAGTTCCTGCTCTCGGAGGAGGTTGGTATACTCACCCTCGGTTTCTGCTGTGGGCGCTGGGGACGCAGCGTCCGCAGGACGGCAGGGCCGTATCCTGCGGAGCAGGGTTCTGATGCAGCGGGTGAGCACTGGGTGTGTGAGCACTGGGGGAGGGCGGCAGAGAAGGCGGAGGGCCGAGGCTGAGGGCAGGTGCATCGGAGGCCCTGGGAAAACGCTTGTGGGGAAGACAACTGGAAAGGGCCCCTCATGGGGTGGGGTGGAAGCCGAAGGGGAAGCGGCCCGGGACCCACCAGCGGGGGAATGAAGGGCAGCCGAGCCCTGAGCGGCCCCCAAGGACCTGGACACTCAGTGGACCCCTCCCTGCGCTCCCCGGTGGTGACCTCTGAGGCCATCTGCGTCCCAAGCCGACGATGGAGCCGCTGGTGGAGAGCTGGGCACCCTGAGGAGGGCCCTGAGCAGCAGGCGGATTAGGGGTCCCGCCCACCGAGGGCCCGAGGGCGGGGGCGTGAGAGGCACAGGCAGCCGAGGCGGAAGGGGCGGGGTCCCCGGGCACCCTGAGAGGTGGCCGCAGGGCGCCTGACGCGCTGGGCATAACCTCCGCAGACCCTGAACATCTACCAGAACCTGAACCGGCGGCAGCACGAGCACGTGATCCACCTGATGGACATCGCCATCATCGCCACGGACCTGGCCCTGTACTTCAAGTGCGCGCCTTCCGGGAGGGGGCGCCTCGCGGGGCGGGCGGGTAGCCTGGGACCCCCGGCAGACACGGGGGCGCAGCGGCGGCACAGCCCGGGGGACGCAGCCCCGGATTCCGTCCCTGCCCGCCGGCCCCGCGCACCCCGGATGGGGCCTCGCTCGGGCTCCGCGCCTCCCTGCAGACGGGCGCTTGGGGCGGGGTCTCCACACTTGCTCCCACCTGCACCTCCCTTGTTCCCTGGGTTCAGGAAGAGAGCGATGTTTCAGAAGATCGTGGATGAGTCCAAGAACTACCAGGACAAGAAGAGCTGGGTGGAGTACCTGTCCCTGGAGACGACCCGGAAGGAGATCGTCATGTGAGCGCGGGCGGAGGGGGCACGAGGGGTCCTTCCCTCGCAGGGACCGGGCCCACTCACCAGCTGGTTAACCCTGCAGCCCTCCCCAGACGCTCTGGAGCAGGAAGAGCCCGTCGCGGCAGCTTGTCGAGGGCTGTGAAACAAATGCGCCGTCCTTATTTCCCCCCAGCTCTCAGGGAGATGGTGCAGAGCTGGGGAGCACACAGGCCCTGCATTGGTCTGTAGCCCTTGGCAGTAACTTACTTCATTTTGACCTTCCACTTTTTCACCTGTAAAATGGTGATTCACAACCAGCCCCTCCCCAGGCTGGTCCCAGGGACCCAGTGAGAAAATACACATAAACCCAGCACTTGGGAGGCCGAGGGGAGTGGATCACCTGAGGTCAGGAGTTCGAGATCAGCCTGGCCAACATGGTGAAACCCCGTCTCTACCGAAAATACAAAAATTAGCCGGGCGTGGTGGCGGGCGCCTGTAATCCCAGCTACTCGGGAGGCTGAGGCACAAGAATCGGGAGGCGGAGGTTGCAGTGAGCTGAGATTGCGCCATTGCACTCCAGCCTGGGCAACAGAGCAAGACTCCATCTCAAAAAAGAAAACACATATAAACCACCTGCCCTCAGGAGACGCCCATCAGCACTCGTGCCCGGTTTGTGTCTGCAGGGCCATGATGATGACAGCCTGCGACCTGTCTGCCATCACCAAGCCCTGGGAAGTCCAGAGCAAGGTTAGAACAGAGGGCCCTCCAGACCCAGAGTCAGTGCCTCTCAGCACATGGGACTGCCGGGCGGGCGGGAGCCTCGGATGGCAACGGACCATTGTTTGCAAGGAGCTCTGAGGGCCACCTCGGGGCCAGGCCAGGGCGGCAAGGATGGGGGTACTGCAGTGTGTCTACATGGCTCAACCGGAGCCCTGTGTGGTGGGGACCCCGGGGGTCTGGGGCGGAGAAGACCGAGGCTCGGAGCCTCACGGGGCGGGCCCGGGCCCTTCCGCGTGGGCTCAGAGCTCCACAGACAGCTGCCTTCCTGTGCCTCCAGGTCGCACTTCTCGTGGCTGCTGAGTTCTGGGAGCAAGGTGACTTGGAAAGGACAGTCTTGGATCAGCAGCCCATTGTGAGTGCTGCTTCTGGAACCTTCCACTCCTGAAACGGGTGTTAGAGACCCCTCTTGGTCCTCAGGAGCCTCAGGTCCTGGCTTGGTCTCAGGCAGGGGGTTCTGAGGTCGTGGGGTCCTTATCTCACTTTGTGGGATCATGTGACATGCGTGTGGGTGGCTCGGACCTGGGTACAGCTGTGGCTTGGGTGATGCTTATGCAGAGGTGACGTCGTTGGCACTGGAGGAACCAGGGCCACCCGCTCATCACCAGGAGCCTCTGGGTCCAGGCAGCTCTGCAGGTGAACCCCAGCAGGGCCGCGAGCCATGCACCAAGAAAGCCCTGGGGAGGGTGCTGGGGCAGAGAACGCATGGGGGGCGTCCCGGGCCCACACAGTGGTATGATGGACAATGCCAGGGTCCTCAGGTCAGCAGCGGGGTCTGGATACCTCCTGGCAGCAGGAGAGGTGCCAGCAAATGGGAGAGTCAGGATAGGCGCCAGGAACAGGAGAGGCAGGGCTGCCCCAGCCCCACGTGGACCAGGTGGGAGCTGTGGTTTCTCACACACCCGCTCTGGTGGGCGGCGAGGGGCTCTCTGGAGCCTGCAGTGGAGAGGGCTTAGGCCAGGTGCAGCCTCGGCAGGAAAGGGGGCATTGGTTGGTCAGCAAAGCCCCACAGGGGAAGGACAGGCAGCAGGTCCATCCCCCGCGCCCGGCCTCTAGAGTCCTGCATGGTTCACCCTCCACCAGGACGCTGTGAGGGGACGGACAGCCCAGGGCACTCGGGGTCTGACACTAGAAACAGCTCCAGAGCACGTCTGTGTCTGCCCCAGGCGAGTGCACAGCGAGGTCCTGGTCAGCCGAGTGTCTGGGCAGTGCAGCCCAGCCCGGCTCAGCACTGTGTACAGCCCATCCCCCTCCCCGCCTCTCCCCAGCTGCAGTAAGGGTCCCCAGAGCCAAGAGGGGGCTGCCCTCAGGGGACCACGGGCTGGAGCCAACAGCAGCTGTGGGAAGAAGCTGCCCACAGTTCCTAGGAGCTGTGGAGCCGCTGGCCAAGGGAGAGGGTGTCAGCTTCCCCTCCCGAGAGCCAGTTTCTGTCAGGCAGGCTCGTCCCAGGCTGTGTCTCCATGAGCACATCTGAGTGAGGGGGTCGGGGGGCTGGGCGGGGCCCCAGGAGCTGCCTCCCTGGTCACTGTTCTCCCGCCCTCTGTTCCTCCCACCAGCCTATGATGGACCGGAACAAGGCGGCCGAGCTCCCCAAGCTGCAAGTGGGCTTCATCGACTTCGTGTGCACATTCGTGTACAAGGCGAGTGGTTCACGGGTGTTCCGAGCTGACTGGGGCAGGGTGGCTGGGAGCAGGCAAGGGGGCGCGGGCTGGAGTCGCGTGGACTCACACGGGCCCGGCGGTGTCCTCACTGGAGTAGGGATGCCAGTGCCAGCTTCGTGCCGCTCTTGAGTGGGGCAAATGGGGAGGAACATCAGTTTCCGGACCCCCACAGGTGCCCCAGCCCATCCTCACCCTGCTGTGCCCCTGGAAGCTCTGAGCCCTTTCCCAGCCCAGAATGTCCTCTGCTAGCCTCCAGGCCTACCCCAGAAGTTCTCCCTCAGTGCCCTCCGCCGTGGCCAGCACACTGTTTTGGGGGCCTTGGCTGCAGCTCTGTGGGTTCATTTGTTCCATGTTTGTGAACCCTCGAGGCGGGGCTGGGTCGGCCTGTCTGCTGGTGCACCCGCCCACAGGGGCGTTTGGAACAGCAGAAGGAGCCACATCCCTGCCAATCTGCCACAGTCCGATGCCAGCTGAGTCTCTGAGGACGCAAGGCGGACATGGAGGGGGAGACTCGATGGGGCAGGGGTCTGACCGTGGGGCCCTGTGTGATGCCCATAAGAGCCAGCTGCCTCCGGCCACACTCCCTGGTGATGGAATCCACGCCCCAAGGAGGATGCCACGGGTTCCACATGAAGTTGTCCCGGAGTGGGCTGTGCCCACTCCCCGCCCCATCCTACCCACCCCGGGTCGTCAGTGCTGGGGAGAAGGTGGGACAAGGGTGGATATTTGGGCCTGAAGTGGCCACAGGTCACGGCCCCACTGCAGGTGCCCCCCACTGCCTTCCCCACCCCGCCACACTCCATGTGTGATGTGCGCGAGTGCACGCGTGTGCTGTGCTTGCATGATGTGTGCCGTGTGTGTGTGGGAGGGACGGGAGAAGGCACTGCAGGGGCTGCCTGCTGTCCGCCTGTGCCCACCACCCCTCTGCCTGGCACCCTGCCCCCACCCCCTGAGCTGTTCTGCTCATTCTTGGGTTCCTCTCCCTGCAACACTGCACCCTAAGCATGCATACCCTAAAGCTCCCGGCTTCAATGTCACCAACACAGCCCCCGAGGTTTCTCCCTTCACAGGGCTCTGCTGGGAAGGTGCCCCCTCCGTGGCGCTCCCTCCTCCTGCCAGGCAGTTCATCCCCTACGAGGGGGATGAGCTGGGGAAGGGCTATCTTACTCTGGAGAGAGCAGGCAGGACAGGACTGGTGGTGACTTCTCGACTCCCCTCAGGAGTTCTCTCGTTTCCACGAAGAGATCCTGCCCATGTTCGACCGACTGCAGAACAATAGGAAAGAGTGGAAGGCGCTGGCTGATGAGTATGAGGCCAAAGTGAAGGCTCTGGAGGAGAAGGAGGAGGAGGAGAGGGTGGCAGCCAAGAAAGGTCTGGCTCTGTGTGGCCTGTGGGGCAGGGACTCGGTGACTCTCCCAAGGCAAAATGAAAAGACAGGGCACAGAGCAGAGTTAAAATGGAGAAAAGCAGAGCCACTTTCAAGAAGCCTCGAGGTGGACAGGGCCACAGTGCAGGGAGAGAGGCCACGGCGGGGGAGAGTGGCAGCTGACTCCACCTCGGTAGCAAACCCGGACTGAAAAATTTCCTCTGTTCCTAGCCAGTGAACCCCATTTTTCAAGAAAGAAGTAACCATATCTTATGTCCTTTATAAAGGACTTAGTTGCAACAAGTCAGCACACCCCCAAGTTCAAATCCCAAAGGCATCGTGGTCTTGCCATTGGCCCGCACTTGGCTACCTTAGCTCTGAGGTTTGGCTTGCTATTCCCGCTGCTCCCAGTATCCCATGCTATTCCCGCTACCCCATGCTGCTCCCACTACCCCATGCTGCTCCCACTACCCCATGCTGCTCCCACTACCCCATGCTATTCCCCTACCCCATGCTAGTACCACTACCCCATGCTATTCCCGCTACCCCATGCTATTCCCCTACCCCATGCTAGTACCACTACCCCATGCTATTCCCGCTACCCCATGCTATTCCCCTACCCCATGCTATTCCCGCTACCCCATGCTGCTCCCACTACCCCACGCTATTCCCCTACCCCATGCTATTCCCGCTATGCCATGCTATTCCCCTACCCCATGCTATTCCTGCTATGCCATGCTATTCCCCTACCCCATGCTATTCCCCTACCCCATGCTGCTCCCACTACCCCACGCTATTCCCCTACCCCATGCTGCTCCCACTACCCCACGCTATTCCCCTACCCCATGCTATTCCCGCTATGCCATGCTATTCCCGCTACCCCATGCTATTCCCCTACCCCATGCTGCTCCCACTACCCCACGCTATTCCCCTACCCCATGCTGCTCCCACTACCCCACGCTATTCCCCTACCCCATGCTGCTCCCACTACCCCACGCTATTCCCCTACCCCATGCTATTCCCGCTATGCCATGCTATTCCCGCTACCCCATGCTATTCCCCTACCCCATGCTGCTCCCACTACCCCACGCTATTCCCCTACCCCATGCTGCTCCCACTACCCCACGCTATTCCCCTACCCCATGCTGCTCCCACTACCCCACGCTATTCCCCTACCCCATGCTATTCCCGCTATGCCATGCTATTCCCGCTACCCCATGCTATTCCCCTACCCTATGCTGCTCCCACTACCCCATGCTATTCCCACTACTCCATGCTGCTGCCACTACCCCATGCTAGTCCCACTACCCCATGCTATTCCCGCTACCCCATGCTATTCCCCTACCCCATGCTATTCCCACTACCCCATGCTATTCCCCTACCCCATGCTATCCCCCTACCCCATGCTATTCCCGCTACCCCATGCTATTCCCCTACCCCATGCTATTCCCACTACCCCATGCTATTCCCACTACGCCATGCTATTCCCGCTACCCCATGCTATTCCCACTACCCCATGCTATTCCCGCTACCCCATGCTATTCCCGCTACGCCATGCTATTCCCACTACCCCATGCTATTCCCGCTACCCCATGCTATTCCCGCTACCCCATGCTATTCCCGCTACCCCATGCTATTCCCCTACCCCATGCTATTCCCGCTACGCCATGCTATTCCCGCTACCCCATGCTATTCCCGCTACCCCATGCTATTCCCGCTACCCCATGCTATTCCCGCTACCCCATGCTATTCCCCTACCCCATGCTATCCCCCTACCCCATGCTATTCCCGCTATCCTATGCTACATAAACAAGGCGACTTCAGGACTATGGAAGGCCAGGATGAGCATAATCAGGGCACAGTGTCAACAGAGGCTAAAGCACTAAGAAAGGCTCAGCCCAGCTAATCGGCTTGGGCTGGTCACAGACCCAGGTGCTGTCCTTCCTCCTGCAGGGGTTGGTAGAGGTCACACCAGGCAGGAGGGAAGGAATAGGGCTGGTGTGCACAGGTGGTTCCACTCACCATCTTCTGTCTTCTCTTGCAGTAGGCACAGAAATTTGCAATGGCGGCCCAGCACCCAAGTCTTCAACCTGCTGTATCCTGTGAGCACTGGTCCCATGGGGACCCTATGGCTCCCTCAATCTTCACCCACTAGGATTTGGGTTCTGCCTGTGGCTATTTGCTACAAGAGGTTAGGAAGCCCAAGAAAATGACTGAAGATCATTCTGGATATTTTAATTTTTTTTTTTTTTTTTTTTTGAGATGGAGTCTTGCTCTGTCACCCAGGCTGGAGTGCCGTGGCACGATCTCAGCTCACTGCAACCTCCACCTCCCAGGTTCAAGCGATTCTCGTGCCTCAGCCTCCTGAGTAGCTGGGACTACAGGCGCCCACCACCACACATGGCTAATTTTTGTATTTTCAGTACAGATGGGGTTTCACCATATTGGGCAGGCTGGTCTCGAACTCCTGACCTCAGGTGATCACCCGCCTCAGCTTCCTGAAGTGCTGGGATTACAGGCATGAGCCACCACGCCCAGCCTGTTTTTATAAACTGAAGCCAACTGTGAATAAACTGTAGCCTACATTACTCATCCATTTTTGGATAGTTACCACTGGGAGACCTTTGAAAAGGGTCCATGAACTCTGAAATCACTGAGAACATTTGCAGCCACACATGTACATATGTGTACACAGGTAGACAGATGGACACAGGCCGTTTCTCATCCAGTTTAGGAAAACACACATGCTCAGGAATTCAGAATAAAATAAACAGAAAACTACTTGCCCATTATCTGTGGTAAAATGATAGCGGAAGCCACACTACATTTGACCCATCAGAAAATTCTGCCAGAGAGGTCAAGGCCATGAGTAAAGCGGCCATCCAACTTCAGTGGTCTGAGCGGAAATGATCTGTAATAAACACCATGTAGAGTGGCTCTGATGGCCCCAGACGGCACCAGGAGGGCAGTGCAGGGCTGGATGCCGAAGCCCGTGCACCCCCATGATTAAATATTGGTGAGCCTGGAGTGAAGGACAGAGGCAAAGAAACGGACTTCCCAGTTGAAATCGGTATTATGTTAAATTCAGGATGTTCAACTCATGATGTGAGCTCCAAGGCATTTGCTCCCAACACTAGATGACGCTTAACTAGATGGGCTCATTGGGGTGGGCGTGGGAGAGCAGCAGACATGCCCAGCACAGCCATGGGGCTGCAGGAAGGGGGTGCTGGGTTTTTTGCTTGAGACAGTCTCACTCTGTCACCCAGCCTGGAGTGGAGTGGTGTGATCTTGGCTCAATGCAACCTCCACCTTCCGGGTTCAAGCAATTCTCCTGCCTCAGCCTCCTGAGTAGCTGGGATTACAGGCACCCATCACCACAACCAGCTAATTTTTGTATTTTTAGTAAAGACAAGGTTTCGCCATGTTGGCCAGGCTGGTCTTGAACTCCTGACCTCAAGTGATCTGCCCACCTTGGCCTCCCAAAGTGCTGGGATTACAGGTGTGAACCACCGTGCCCAGCCTTTTCATCTCACTGGTCAGAGACCCCTGGTATCCAGAGCCTGGGTCTGGGATGAGGGGCTCTTAAGAGGTTCTGAGGGATCCTGCAAACAGCCCCTCTGGACGCCAGGACAGGATGTGAAAGTATCTTGCTCACTCAAAGCTCACCTTAACCAAATGTCCTGAAAAGCTTATAGGCTGCTTCTCCCTTTGGCCTTATATTTGCAAACGAACTCATTTTACAAACTGGGGCTCCAAGCCTAGATTTGCTCAAGGCACATAACTGGGAAGTAGCAAATTCAATCTGTCCATTGCAAACCACCAGGCCAAGGGTTTGGGTTGTTGGCAAGCTCACAGCCAGGAGGGGCGAGAAGCCCAGGAAGCCTGCTGGGGAGGGAAGTGGCTCAGGCACCACAAGACCACCTCCCTGCACAACTCAAACAGCACTCAGGCCCTGTGCTCAGGAGGTCACATCACCAGACTTTTAGTCCCAAGTCTGACCTGGCCACTTCCTGGGATCAAAGGGAGGATTTGTGAAATGGCAGGTTGGGGCGAGGGGTTATTGTGGAGGAGGACCCAGCTTCCCAACTGTAAGGGCGTCAGTCAGTGCCTACCCCTCCCCATCCAGGGGTCTGGGCTGCTGAGAGCAGCAGCCTAGAACTCAGAATCAAGACAACCCCAGTACTCATGAGGCCCCCAGCTGACTGACTCCATTACAGACGGCCTTTGGGGCTCCCCACCTGGATGCCCCAGACAGAACAGGCAGCGCGCATCTGTCCTTCCCACTGTGTTTACATGATGCATTCTGGGTCTGTGAATGGTAATGTGGATTCTTTTGAAACCCCCTCCCTGTCTTCCACCTCACGTGAACTGGGAGGTGGACAGAACTTCAACCTAGGAATTCCACAACCAGCGACAGCAAATGAGGAGCCGGAGTATCACACAACACAGGAAGCTTTATTCATCCGCTGCTGGTCCAAAGAGTGGGTCGCAGGGTCACTCACTTTAATATGCTGTCATCTTGGGCCGGAAGGTTAGAAGAAAAGCACATGTTACCACTCAGGCAACCTAAAAAGACCACTTCAGCTTCCCAGTTATTTTTTTTTTTTTTTTTTTTGTTTTGAGACGGAGTCTCGCTCTGTCACCCAATGGCGCAATCTCAGCTCACTGCAACCTCTGCATCCCAGGTTAAAGCGATTCTCCCACCTCAGCCTTCTGAGTAGCTGGGATTACATGCACCCGCCATCATGCCTGGCTAATTTTTTTTAGACAGAATTTCACTTTGCTGCTCAGGCTGGAGTGCAGTGGCGTGATCTCAGCTCACTGCAACCTCCGCCTCCCGGGTTCAAGCAATTCTCATGCCTCAGCTTTCTGAGTAGCTGGGATTACAGGTGCCTGCCACCATGCCCGGCTGATTTTTTGTATTTTAGTAGAAATGGGGTTTCACCATCTTGCCCAGGCTGGTCTCGAACTCCAGAGCTCAGGCAATCTGCCTGTCTCAGCCTCCCAAAGTGCTAGGATTACAGGCATGAGCCACCGCACCGGGCCATGCCCGGCTAATTTTTGTAGAGACAGGGTTGCACCATGTTGGTCAGGCTGGTCTTGAACTCCTAACCTCAGGTGATCTGCCCGCCTTGGCCTCCCAAAGTGCTGGGATACAGGCATGAGCCACCACGCCTGGCCAGCTTCCCCATTTTTAAACAATCCGCATCTACTTAGCTCTGCTTAAATGTCCTCCTCCATTTTCCTTATCCCTGCACAAACCTGGGAGGGACAATCTATAAGAGCCAGTGTCACTCGTACCTTCTGCCAATTCTCTGGCAATCCGTTTCAGTTCATCCTGCTTCTTCTTCTCTTCTGCTGCTATCCTCCTCTCCTCTTCTGCCCGAGGTTTTAGGTAATCTGTTTGGCGGAATGCAGGAGAATAAAATTCACTGGAAATGCTGTACAAAAGGAACTGAGTCCACAGGTCAAGGTATCTTCAGCGACGCTGTAAACCAGACGCACCTGCTGTTCCCGCTCTTTATGTTAATGCGAGTCAACGCCTGACCTTCACCCTGACGAGTCCAACCCAGAGGCTACAGGGCCCCTGCTGCCCACCCGCTCACGCACTGGCTCACTCGTCCTCTGCGAACAGGGACTGCCTCCCATCAAGACCTCAGCACTCGAACAGCCATTTAGCACCCGTTTTCACCAAGAAGCAGCCGTTTTCGAGTCCCCCGCCCGGGCCTCAGAAGCCTGAGCTTTGGGTGAGCTGATTCCACTATCGGGGTCACGCTCGGTGGAGGACACGGTCCTGCAGCCTCGCATGCGTCCCAAGCCCCCTTCCAGAGCTGGAGTTCTCCAAATAGCACAGGAGCTCCACAGGAAAGCCGAGCAGACCCCGCCCCGGCCCCGCCCGCGGTCACTCACTGTAGCGCGTGGCTCCGTAGGCCACACCGAGGAACAGGGCGGAGTAGCGGCCGAGCTGCGAAAGAGGTTGGTCAGAGGCGGCGCGAAACGGGGCTCGCGGGACGGGGGTCGCGGGAGGAGGGGGGGCGGGGTCGCTGGGCAGAGGTCGCAGGAGGGGTGGGGGTCCGGTCGCCGGGCGAGGGTCACGGGGCGAGGATCATGGGGGCGGGGGCCGGGGGTCGCAGCCCGCGGGGTCGGAGCTGCGGGGCGGGACACGGGGGGGCCCAGAGCACTGGGCGGCGGCTGCAAAGCCTGGATCACCTTGATGAGCGGAGAGACCTGCACCGGTGGCACCATCTTGTCCCTGACCTCCGCACCGGAAGCACAACCTGCAGACGGAGCAGGATGCCGCACAAGCCAGCAAAGCCTTGGAGGCAAAGGCGGAGCTGGGCGCACGCATGCGCCGTCAGCGGCGAGAGAGCGGGGGGCCGCGCCCCCTGGCGACCGAAGGGTGACTGCGCGCCCCCGCGCGGCGGTGACGTCACGTGAGGCGCACGCGCACAAAGGCTGGGGAGTGCGCGGAGGATCATCGGCTGCGCCTGCGCAGTTGCTGCGTGAGGCGGGATCTGCGCCGAGTGGGCGGGGGGTTTCCTTTCCCCGCAGGGCTGGGGGTCCGCTGTTTCCCCGCGCTGCTGCCGAGGCCCCGCCGTCCGCGTCCTGGCCGTGTGTCCACACCCCAGACTGCGGGCCGGGGCGCACTCTGTCTTCTTGCGCGGAGCGTCGGAGGCCTGAGGTCAGGGCGGCTCGGGCGGGTCCAGCCCCGCGGACCGCGCCCACCCGAGGGTGGCCTGGGCAGGGACCTGGGGGTCCTGGGAGCGGAGTGTGAGCCGAGTGCAGGTGGCTCCCCGGGCAGGTCCTTCTCCTACAAGGCAGTAGTGTCTGTCGCCGGCCGGGCCGCGTTGGATTCCGCGGCCCGCGGGAGCATGGCCTCCAGGCCCCTCTTCCTGCGGCTGCTCTGCCCGGGAGCACGGGGCGCCCTTCATCCCGGAGCTGGAGCTTCCTCACCCCAGGATGCCCCATCACTTCTGTCCCGAAGAGGGGCTGGGATCTTCTTGGGAAGACCAGCCCCCAACAGAGGCTGCTCCCTGGGTCCCCCGACTCCAGGCCTCAGGACTCCACGGCTCCAAGGGCCTGCCCCGGCCCAGGCCTGGGGACCACTGAGCCCCACACTGGTCTTTGCTGGCCTCTGTCCACCTCCCGGTAGCTGTGTGTCTCCCACAGCTGCCCAGAGATGGGGCCTGCGGTGCCTATGCAGCCTCCCCGCTGTGCCCGAAGTGCTGACCCGCCAGCCCCATGGACACCAGGCTTGGAGTCTAGGCAGGAGCCTGGCACCCCCTCCACGTTCTGGGTCTTCCTGGCGGCAGCCATGCTGCCCGTGCTGGGCCACCCTCGGGCCCCCTTTGGCCCCATGCAGTAGTGACGCAAGGCCTCCTGTGTCCCCTCCTGGCCCTGCACTGCTACAGGCAGAAGCAACTGGAGAACTATGGCTCGGGTCTCGCTAAGGTGCAGCATCACAAACTCCAGGACTCTTGAAGCAAGCATGGGGAGGACCCGTGATCCTGGCGGCCTGGGCTACCTGTCCGGGCCTAAGTCGCCTCTGCCCCCTCTCCTGGCTTGCTCTGGGGTCCAGGGCCTGGGCCTCTCTGGCTGAGAAACTAGGAAGTCACTGGGCTCTGTTTCCTGAGCTGGGTATACCAAGGCCAGTCCTATAGGGCAGGGGTCCCCAACCCCCAGGTGCAGACCAGTACCAGCTTGTGGCCCGTTAGGAACCGGGCAGCACAGGACGAGGTGAGGGAGCATGATTGCCCGAGCTCCACCCACTTTCAGATCAGCCTGGGCATCAGATTCCCATAGGAGCGTGAACCCTACTGTGAGCTGCGCACTTGGATCTGGATTGCGCTCTGGTGAGAATCTAATGCCTGATGAACTGAGGTGGAATAGTTTCATCCCGAAACCTTCCTCCCCAACACGGAAAAACTGTCCTCCGTGAAACCTGTCCCAGGCGCCAAAAAGGTTAGGTACTTGCTGTAGGGCCACCTGATCTTTTCTCCAGCTTCTGTGAGGTTGGCTGGCAGTCCCTGAAGACTCCTGCCTGAGGCCTCTGCCTGAACCCTGTCCTCAGGGGGCCAGAAGCAAACTCCAGCCCTCCCCGTGTCTACTGCTCGCTGAGGAAGCCGCAGGTGCACACTGGATCCACAAGGCACAGAACCATCTTGGCCCTCGGCAAGCCCCCGCTTCCGCCAGGGCAGACGGCCTCAGGTGACAATGGGTTTTCCCTTCACTGGAGTTTAAAATAATCCAGACTCCTCAGCAACTCCTGCTTCCAGAATCAAAAATAAGTGTCTCTGGGGCCCAAGGTAGGGGGTGAGGGGGACATACCAGCAGCTTCCACCAGAGGTGGGGCGGGGCAGGGCACCAGCAGAGAAAACATGCGGGCAAACACACACGGCCTGGGGAAAACCCCCTGAAGCCAATGGAGACTTGCCTTTGCTCAAGGCCTTTCCTGAGAGCTTAGTGGTGGGACGGGTCCCACCTGGCTCAGCACACCGCCCGCAGGGGCCTCTGCAGCTGTCAGGTCAGCTGTGGGTGCAGAAGCCGATACTCCCCCGGCTCAGGCTTGCTGCTATCTTTAGCACTGTGCTCAGACTCCAGTGGCCTGGGAACCCTCTGCAGGGGGCTCTGCAGCCCTTCTCACATTCCCGGTGGCCTCGGGGGGCCTCCCAACCATGCTTCCCCCCTCGGTGTGGTTCTCCCCACTCCTGCAGCCCAGCAGTGCCCCTTCAGGATCACACCCAGACCCCACTGGACTGGCAGCAGGGGATGCCCTGGCCCTTGCTCCCAGCCCCAGGGTTCCACATCTGGTCACCTGACACCTTGCAGTCGGCCCCAGGTCCCTCCTGGGCAGGTCATGCCTCCAGGGTCCTCAACCTCAGGAGTCAGTGCTTCATAGAGGCCGCTGGACCTGGGGATGGCACCAGGCAGCATCTCAGGGGACGCCAACTGTGACCATGTGTCCCTCAGGGGGTAGGACCTCTGCTCAAGAGACATGCAAGTGGCACCTGTCTTTTTAGCCTTGCAGACACGGTGGCGCCCCCAGGGATCCCACCTGCTGTTGTGGCTGCATATAGTCACTCCCACCACTGCCCCTGCAGCACCGAGGGGCAGGTGCCCTGGGTCCTGTTACCTACTGCGTCCCACGCAGACGCAGGCCTGGGGGGCTCCAAAAGCTTGTTCTCCACTCAGCCTGTAGGCCTCCTCCTTGATCCTGCTTGGCCTGCAGACCCTCCTCCCACCCCTTGAACCAGGGCATCTGGATGCTGACTCTGTGGTGGCCTCTGATGTCTGACACCACCAACAGACCCTGGGCCAGGTCCCTACCCCAGACTCTGTGCCTGAGGCCATGGTATAGTGGGGAAGACCAGGCTCAGGGCCCTAGAGTCCCCCTCCCAGCCCATCTGAGCAACGTGGCCATCTCCATGGCTCCTCCAACCCAGAAATGTCATCACCCATGGGCCAGGCAAGGAGCTCCCAGCCATGAGGTCAGACGGGGTGGTCCCAGGGCCAAGGCTATGGACTGACTTCTGTCACCAAGGCAGGGAGGGGCGTGGACACCCCTGACAGACAGAGTGTGCTTGGCAGAAGCCCGGTGACCAGCTGCAGTCACCCACAGCAGCGTTGTGCAAATCTAGAAAAAGTGCCCCTTCCTCTGGCTCCTGCAGTTCCAGGGTGCCCAGGCCCCCAGCCAAGAGCGTGTACAGGTGGCCCTGCTGACACACAGAATCCTTGGGAGAACAAAGCCTCCCCGGGGTTCGGGGACAGGTGGATGGGAGGTAGTCCTGGCCAGAGGTATCTGGGGAGGCTGGGGGCCTTGCGGGGTGAGGCAGGGCAAGGGTGTGAGTCACTGCCAGGCTGCCAAAGCTCACTCTGCAGCTGTCCAGTCCCCTGGGGTAGCCCCAAGCCTGTCCTTGTAGGGAGTGGCAGCCGGAGTCTGAACTGTCCTGGGGGACCAAGCAGGAGCTTAAGATGGGCAAGACCTGGGGCCCTGGGCAGACGCATCAAAGCAGGCAGAAGCAGGCATGGTGAGCAGGCCGCCGTGCATGCCTGGGGCAGGCGTGTGGGTGTGAGCTGTGCTGTGCATGTGTACATGCGCACAGACGAGCGTGGGCGTGTCCGTGCTTGCGTGTGAATGCAGGTGTGGGCGTGTGCTCTGCCTGCATATGTGTGTGCATGAGCGTGTGTATGTGCGTGTGTGTGACCTTGCGGGTGTGGGCTGTGCTGTGTTGTGGGAAGTACGTGCCTCACGTTGCTCTCCTGGTGAGAGTCCGGAGCAGGATGAGGGGGTTCCTGGCTTTCACAAAATCCCGGTACCCAGAACAAGCCCACCCAGAGTCCACTTGCCCCTCAAGCCTTCAGAGGCCAAGCTGGCTCCTGCTGGACGGCGATCCCTGACCACTGTGCTCTGTGGGCCTTCTGGAAGCCACTGTCCCTCCCCCAGTCCCTGTGCTGAAGCCAGACACCTGCAGCCGTCCTGCCCCCAACCCCAGCTACCCAGGCCTGAGGCTGGCATGCTCCTCAGCTGTCTGGCCCCCTCCAGCCCGAAGGGCTGAGGTCCACCCTTCATCTGAGTTAAGTCTCTCAAAACTCTGGGTGCCCTGGAGGGTTTCGTCAGCCAGCCCAGGACCCTCAGCCATGGTGCTCCCACCGCAGGCCAGCAGGAAGACCAAGAAGAAGGAAGGGGGTGCCCTCCGGGCCCAGAGAGCCTCATCCAATGTCTTCTCCAACTTTGAGCAGACTCAGATCCAGGAGTTCAAGGAGGTGAGACTTTCCTGCTTCACTGGGAGCCCCCACCCCCAGGAGCCTGTGCTGGGAAGACCCCATGTGGGCTGGCTCCAGGGCCAGCAGGAGTGGAAGCCTATCCTCAGTCAGGGGTGCTGAGGAACCGGGAGCAGGGGGCGGGGCAGAGCCCAGCCGGGTTGGCAGCACAGCAGCCCTGACCTTGGTCCCCAGGCATTCACACTCATGGATCAGAACCGAGATGGCTTCATTGACAAGGAGGACCTGAAGGACACCTATGCCTCCCTGGGTAGGTACCCAGGCAGAACGCCTCAGAGCCCTTGGAGGAGGCGAACACAGAGGTCCTCCAGCTCCAGACGCCGCGGCCCCTCCTCGAATGGAGCCAGGGCCCGCGCCTCAGAGGCCCACCAACGGCCCTGAAGCTGCAAGGTGATGGCCCTGGCCGCCCTTGGTTCCATCAGAGCTGGCAGAGAGCATCCCAGGGTGAGACAGGGTGGGTGGGACAGCCCAAGCCTGGAAACTCAGAGTGGGCTTTGAGGCAGCAGGCTCCAGGGAGGGGCTGACTCTCTGGTAGGACGCCACAGGCAGGCAGGCGGCTTGCCCCCAGGCAGGACCACAGAGCTGACAGAGGGCATGGAGACCCTGCCCGGCCAGACCACAGAGCTGACAGAGGGCGTGGAGACGCTGCCCAGCCTCTGCAGCACAGCCCGAGTGTGGTGGGGCACACTGCCCTCCCCAGCTTCAGTCCTCCCTGCGGCACATTCTGTTCCCAGCAGCTGCCTCTGACCTGAGGCAGGAGGGCAGGGGGCTTCGGTCCTGCCCTGGGAGCTGGGGAGTGATTTCTCCTTGGGGTGGGAGGGTCGCAAGTGACCCACCTTCCTCTCGGCCCTGCTTATGCCCAGAATTAAGAACAGCAGATCCCAGCACCTTCCCAGGCTCTGTGTCACCTCCCTCTCCCTCAGCACTTAGTCCTGGGGCTCACGGTTTGGGGTGAGGTGGACACAGCCAGCCAGATGCACCCACTGCCCCACGTGCCTGGGCCAAGCGTCTCCTTCCCGCTCCCTCCCCACCCTTCCCATCTGCCTGCCTGGCCCTGTGCTGGGGTCACCTGCTGGTGGCACAGGGCAGGCAACAAGCCCTGCCCTGTGATGCCCCCATGTCTGTAACAGGCAAGACCAACGTCAAGGACGACGAGCTGGACGCCATGCTCAAAGAGGCCTCGGGGCCCATCAACTTCACCATGTTTCTGAACCTGTTTGGGGAGAAGCTGAGCGGTGAGCACCGGTGGGGCAGGCCTGGCCCTCCTAGCTAATTCCTAACAGTTAGAGATCCGGACATTTCACGTAAAAATCTCTCTTTTCCAATCTCTGGAGAAGCCCTAGGGCCTGGCACTCTGGGAGCCAACAACTGTGGGGCCCCGTCAGCCACCCCAGAGCCATGTGCTCAGGCCCGCCCTCCTGCCCCACGTGCTGTGTGACCCGCCGTCGACACCTCTGTCCCTCACTCATGCAGCACTCACCCCCAGCTCCAGGCCTGGGCTGACCCTGGGCACCCCAAAACTCACTACACCCCAGGGCAGGAGTGCCCGACAAGGCCTCCTTGGGGCTCAGGAAAGGAGAAGGCCTTCAGGCAGAGGCCACCTTGTGGGCAGAGGCTTGGAGTCTCCCCCTGCTTGGGGCAGGGGTCTCCCCTCCTGCCATCTGCCCTTGGCAGCCACGGGACTGCCACCCTGACGGCCCTGGGCTGAAGGTGCCTTTGTGGCAGGTACCGACGCCGAGGAGACCATTCTTAACGCCTTCAAGATGCTGGACCCGGACGGGAAAGGGAAAATCAACAAGGAGTAGTGAGTGCCCGGGCGGCCAGGGCGGCCCGGCTTCCGGGGAACCCCAGTGATCTCATCCTGTCCCAAAAGGGACAGTCAGCCACCAGATGCCACGCCCACCTCCCCACCTCTGACCAGCTTCAGGGCCATGAGGAGCGAACCCAGGATCCCAGCTGAGTGGGAGGCCAGCCCTGCTCACACAGGGACCAGCGCCTGTGCCCGGTGGGGGTGGGGCGGCTTCCCCTCAGCCCACTCCTCCATCTTCAGCTCCTGCTAGGCGCCGGGGAAAGTACCAGGCGCTGGCCTGTAACCTCCTTCCGGCTCTGTCCCCATCAGCGGCTCCCCCAGAAGTGATGGCCCCTGAGTGTGTGTTGGGAAGGGACCTGCCCCAGGGCCACACTCCAGCGGGAAGGGCGGGAGTGCAGTGAGCGAGTACAACCTGGGGCCCCTGGAGCACCTGAGCCCCACCGAGAAGGCTCCTGCACCCCCGCATCAGCCCGCGCTGACCCCTTTCCTCGTCCTCAGCATCAAGCGTCTGCTGATGTCCCAGGCTGACAAGATGACGGCGGAAGAGGTCTGGCCCGCGGCTTCCCTGCCAAGCCCACGAGGGGAGGGCGGGGCTCCCGGGGTCAGCTGGGTGGAGGGGGACGCGGAGCCCGAGGAGCAGCGCCGCGGTTAGGACCCAGGACAGAACAGGCCCCCGGGGGGCTCCCGAAGTGCCCGTCTGAGGGACGGAACTGGCTCAGAGGGATCAGGTCAGCGGTTGGAGACCCCTCCCCTCCGTTAGATCAGCGGCTGGAGACCCCTCCGCGGCCTGAGCGTCTGTCCCAGCCGGAGGGGCGGGGCTCACAGCTGTGCGGTCCGGAGCCGCCCCCCACCCCCGACGCGCCGCTCCCAGCCCCAGCGGGCGAGACTAATGCCGGGCCACCCCTCAGGACCCCCGCACCTCCCCCAGACCCCACACGGTCCTCCCCGACGCTGCTGAAGGGCCGAGCCCGACACGTGCGCCCAGACTGTGGCTGCAGCCGCCGCCGCCCCGCCCCCTCCAGCGCCGCCCCGCCCCCTCCAGCGCCGCCCCGCCCCCTCCAGCGCCGCCCCGCCCCCTCCAGCGCCGCCCCGCCCCCTCCAGCGCCGCCCCGCCCCCTCCAGCGCCGCCCCGCCCCCTCCAGCGCCGCCCCGCCCCCTCCAGCGCCGCCCTCACCCCGCACCCGGGCCCCTCCCCGCTCCCCCTCCCGCGGCGCAGAAACCACACCCGGGGCCGCTGCAGGTGCGCGCTTGTAATTCGCTCCCGGAGCCCGCAAGGAGCCCTTTCGCCCCCGCCCGCAGGTGGACCAGATGTTCCAGTTCGCCTCCATCGATGTGGCGGGCAACCTGGACTACAAGGCGCTCAGCTACGTGATCACCCACGGGGAGGAGAAGGAGGAGTGAGACCCAGCCGGGTCAATAAACCTGGACGCTTGGACCCTGCCTGCGAGTCTGCCGGGGCGGGAGGGCGCGTCGGTGGCTGCTGGGCCTTGCGCACGGGGAGTCGCTCGGTGGCAGGCTGGGTGGGGGCTCCCGGGCCCTCTGGGGTCCTCTAGCGAGGCCCCCCTCGCCGTGCACTCCGGAGTCGCCGTGCTGGGCCCCAGGACCCCAGCCCTTCCTGCTCCCCCTCGGTCCACACCCGGCCCTGAGTCTGCGCCGCCCACGGCGTTACGGGTGGAGGGGGGCTCCCCAGACTCGGCCTGCAGGCGCCGGTATGGGGTGTGGAAGAAGACCGCCAGGATGCAGCTGAAGAAGGTGCACAGGCCGGCCATCAGCAGCAGAGACACTGGGGACACATAGCACAGCTGTCCCCACAGCCAAGCCCAGGGGCCACAGATGGGCAGAGCCCAATGCTGGCCTATGGTGACCCCACTACCCTTGACCACAGAGTGACCCCAGACGGAGAGCCCACTCGCAGCTCTTGACAGCCCTGAGGGGGTGTTTGCAGACCCAGGTCCTGAGAGAGGTCACTAGCATGGGGTCTGGGATATGGGTGTGCCAGCCCCATCTCTGATCTCGGCCACACCTGTCCTGGCTCACCTGTCCTATTGCCCGGGGACTCCCTGCGTGGTGCTCACCTGTCCTGCTGTTTAGGGCTCCCCACGTAGGGTTCACCTGTCCCGCTCCCAGGGAATCTTCACATGGGGCTCACCTGTCCTGTTCCCTGGGGACTCCCCATGTGAGGCTCACCTGTCCAGTCAAGTGGATCCTCCCCCTGCTGGCAGGTGGACAAGGACGGCTCCGAGCGTCGCACAGTCAGTGCCGTCATTGCCAGCATGATGAGTATTCCCTCGGCCTGCCTGGACACACGTGGCCCTCAGCCCCCGCTGCACTGCCCACCCCCTCGGAGCCAGGTGCCACCTTGGGAAATGTTGACATCGGTGCTGTCCCTTGTGCCACCACCCTCCTGAAGGCAGCACGCAGCCTCGGTCATGGGCCCTATCAGCCGGCCCGGCCTGCACACAGCAGGTGCTCAGAACCTGCTCGGCCCTTGCCAGAGCAGGCAGGTTCCCCACCTCCCCGAAAAGGGGCCTGGACCACATGGTGCAACCCCAGGGGTGTAGGGGTGGAGCAAGGGGAGTATCTCTGGGGTTGCAGCAGGGGCAGATGGACACTCACCCCAGCACAAAGATCATGCCTGTGGCAGCCCCCTCCCCCACGGGGAAGGAACACTCGACCGCCAACTCCATGGCCACGGGGCCCACCGAGAAGCCAAACAGCCCGAGCAGCGAGCAGGTGGCAGCCAGGGCAAGGGTCTGTCCCTGCAGCTGGGACACCTGGGAGCAGCGGAACGGCAGGCAGACAGGTGGAGGGGGTGGCAGTCAGAACTGGACCTGGCTTCACGGGACATGGGACACGGGGCAGGAGAACCCATCCCACCCCGGGGCCACCCTGGCTGGCAGAGGCTGGGCATGAGACAGTCCAGACCTCTGTTCCAGCCAAGCCGCCAACCGCCCTCTCCGGGCCTCACCACCCACCCACCCCCACAGGGCAGTCTTGGCTTGAGGAGACCCTCACCAGGGCAAAGGGCACGCAGGCCAGAGAGAACAGGCACAGGCCAATCTTGGTGGCCTCAGTGAAGTGCTTGGTCCGGTCCACATAGGGGCCGAGAGCCAGTGCCCCCAGGATCCCAAACGTGATGAAGAGAGCGCCACAGAGGCCGGAAAACCCCTGGAGGAGGCGAGAAGAGGCCAGGGCCCCAAGAGGCCACCATTATCCTAGGTGCATGCCGTCAGGGCAGGGGGCTCAGTGTAGGGCCGTGTGCTGTGCCCAAGGCCCAGGCATAGCAACACAGCTTCCAGACGCACCGCTGGCTGCCTGCGGGGTAGGGTTTCCTGCCTTGTGTTTCCCACCCCACCCCAGAGCAAAGCAATCGCTAAAGGGAAGAGCCTGTCTCCACAGAGGCCCCACAGGGCCGTGGTGCCTGTGGCCCTGGCAAAGGTGGAAACATGCCCCCAATCCTACACTGAGCACTGATCCCAGAAGGCAGAGGGCAGAGGGCCAGCTCGGAGATATGCGAGCAGAGCAAGGCCCTCCCCGCTGCACGTCTGGATACCAGAAGGTGGCGCTGTCCTGCAGACCCACAGGGGCGGGGCCTTGCTGGGAAGGGGCACTGGGAGCCCTGGGGGCCCCACCTTCCCATCCACAGGGCACCGTCAGTCCCTCCGCTCCGTCCCACAGCTGCCCCACCCCACTGCAGCTGTGCCCACCACCTCCACTGCCTGTGGACATAATGTCACACAGGGCATCTCGGGAGGGCCCACAGCACAGAAGGGTGTCAATGTGGCCCCCGCCAGGGTCGGACACTGGGCACCCTGGAGGCGGCGGTGACTCCATGGCCATATGGGGCGGATGACAGAGGCAGGGTCCCCAGGGGTGGGGCCAGGCTCACACTGGAGTGGCCGCTTGCACAGAGGATCTGCTCCAGGAGGGCTGAGAAGCTGGCAGAGATCCCGATCATTCCCCCCAAGCACACAGCCAGGATGACATAGGCCTTGTTCCACATGAGCTGCTGGGAAAGAGCGTCTCAGCCCCGGAGCCCGGGGGCCCTTCCCAAACCCATCGCCTCCTCAGCCTCTTGCCCCCACCCCCAAATCCACCCTACCCCGGGGATCCCACGGCACTGACCAGCTTGAGCCCATCCAGGAACTTCTCTGAGGTGGAGCTGGCAGCCCCGGCAGAGGGCGGGGTGGGGGGCACACTCTCCCACAGGCAGATGGTGGACAGCAGGCAGACGACGCCAGCAGGGATGGTATAGACACCGAGCTGGGGAGGGGTGTGTGTGCACAAGGAGACCACGCAGACTGGCACCCACACACGCCGCAGCCCTGCCTGTCCCAGGCGCCACCTCCCAGCTCCTCCTGCCCCACCACCGGCTGCCTCCCAACCTCTGGTCTGCAGCTGCCCTTTGCGAGGCCCAGGCTGGGAGGGGCCTGCTCCAGGGGCTCATGGGGACCCCTGGCTGTCAACGCATCCCTCACCAGTGACACCCTCCTGGCTGATGTTAGCCCAGCACCCCCAGGCTCCAGACTTACATCTCACTGCCAGCTGCACAGCCCATGATAGGGCTCAACACACAGACACAGGTGGGTGCAGAGGCACACGTGCATACAGACTCACGCTCAGTACATACCCCCAAGCACAAACACACCACCCGCACCTGATACACATGCACGAGCACACACAGGTACACACCACACATGTGCACAGACACACAGACACATATGCACACATCACACAATACACATGGGCACAGGAACAGAGACACGCACCGCACACACCACACACACTCAATACACACAGGCAGGCATAGAAACATCACACACTGGCCGGGCGCGGTGGCTCACGCCTGTCATCCTAGCACTTTGGGAAGCCGAGGCAGACGGATCATGAGGTCAGGAGTTCGAGACCAGCCTGGCCAACATGGTGAAACCCCAACTCTACCAAAAATACAAAAAAAAAAAAATTAGCCAAGCATGGTGGCGCACGCCTGTAGTCCCAGCTACTCGGGAAGATGAGGCAGGGGAATTGCTTAAACCCAGTAGGCGGAGGTTGCAGTGAGCCGAGATCGCGCCACTGCAATTCAGCCTGAGCGACAGGCTGAGACTCCTTCTCGGGTGGCGGGGCGGGGGACGGGAATCACACACGGGCACAGGAACACGGACACACTTGGGATCAGGAACACACAGACGTGCATGCGCACACACCACACAGACCAGGCACGGGCGTCTCATGACCCCTCACCATTAACGGAATGTCCTCACCCTTCTTGACCAGCACAGGGGACAGCACATTGGCCACAAGGACGCCCAGAGGGTTCGCTGGGTGGGCGGATGCACAAAGTGTCAGCTCGGCTGTGGCCTGGCTTCATCGCCAGCCCACAGGCAGAACCTTCCGGGCCCCAGCTCCTCCACCCTGGCCAGAGAGCCTGGGGAGCCGAGCGTCTGTGTGGACCCTGAGGTGAGCCCAGGCAGGCGGCCTCCCTCCCCGGAACTCACACATGGTGGCGAGCATGTTGGCCGTGGCTCGCTGGTGCTCTGGGAACCACAAGGCAGCCAGCTTGGCTGGAGAGAAGATGACCAGGCTCTGGGCAAGGGCACAGAGGCTCTGGCCACCCATGAGGAAGGCAAATGGGTTTTGGGTCCCAACAACCATGCAGGGCACCATGCGTAGCACACTCCCGGCAAAGTTCAGCCACGCACCCAGGATGGTCTGCGAGGAGGGGGTCGGGGACCGGGTCAGGAACGCTGCCACCAGCCCAAGTGCCTGCCCCGTCCCCCGAGCACCTGGACCTCCCACTGCCGCCACCTCGACGG
Source organism: Homo sapiens (assembly GCF_000001405.40). Lineage (NCBI taxonomy): Eukaryota > Metazoa > Chordata > Mammalia > Primates > Hominidae > Homo > Homo sapiens. Next base: position 686,407 of record NC_000004.12, read on the forward strand.
CTCTGCCGGGGTCCCCAGCTGTTGGGACTGGTGGGCCCCGGTCTGGGGAGGCCTTGACTCTCCTACCCAAATGCGGGGGCCCCTGCACTGTCCCGGAGCGGGCCATGGTGTGGGGTCTGACTCACCGCCGCACGGAGCCCGACGGAGTCCAGGATCCAGATGGCCGCCACGCCAAATGGGGTGGATACCACGAGGTAGACCAGTGACAGCCAGTTGATCTGCTCCATGGACAGGACCAAGTCCTCAGCAATGACGTCAGCCACAGGTGCAAAGCTGAGCCACAGCTGCAGGGGTCAGGCGGGAGTCAGCGCAGGGCCACAGACCCCGGACCTACCTGCTGTGGCCCCAGCCAGCCCGAGGGGGTCAGAGTGCCAGCAGCCCCGTGAGGCCGAGGGGACACAGCGAGCTGGACACGGGGCCTTCCTGCCCAAGGAGAGCGCCACCCTGCCTCCCCCGAGGGCGGGCACCCAGCGCAGGGTCAGAGAGCATGCCCTGACCGGGGACCAGCCTGGGGGGCAGACACTGAGGCCAAGGACCTGGCCAGAGCCCACAGGACCACGAGCCCTGCCCAGACCAGACCTGGCGCTCCAAGGCAGGGAAAGGTGGGCGTGACGGGGTCTCAGCTAGAACCTCTGGGACTGCAGGCCAGCCCCACCCAAGGCCAGCCTGACCTTCCCTCCTGCAGGGCCCAGGTGTTTGGGCAGAATGTTGCCAGAGCGGGCACCATTCCCCAGCCACAGGCATTATCAAGTACTAGAGCTCTTCACCCCACGGACGTCCAGCACACAGCACAAGTGCACGCTGCGGCCGAGGGGAAGGCCTCCTAGGAGAGGTGAGACTGGCTCATCCCTGAGGGAGGCCAAAGTGGAGCGGGTCACCGGGGCTCACTCCGGGAGGCAGGAGGCCGTGTCACTCAAGGTCAACTTCCATGAGTCGACTGAGCTCCAGGCCACACCCTCGGACACAGCAGCCAGACCCAGGCTCCGCCCGGACAAGGTCTGACTCAGCCCACGGGACAGGACAGGGAGCTTGGGCAACAGCCGCCCTGTCTTCCTTTTTCTGCAGGACGGGGCCAGGCACAGAACGAGCTCCCCAGGCCCAGCTGGTGCCTGCCTGGCCGAGCCCGGGAGAGAAAGCCCACCCTGCGGAGCCGAGCCCGCCGCTCCAGCCTCAGCCCTGTCCTGGTTCCTCGGGGGCCTGAGTGGGGCCCACAGCTGACTCACTGAGAAGAGATGCGTCTGAAGCGTGCGGGGCAACGTGGGAGGACGATCTGTCTGACTCCCTTCCTCATCTCCCAGCCTCGACCCTGCCTGCGCTCGCCCCCTTGGGTCCTTTGAGTCTCATCCAGAGCACTGGGCTGCCTTCCGGGGTGGGTGTTGACCCAAGCTCTGCTCCGCCTGGCCCTCATGCTGCTGGTTGGAACCCGGGATCCCTGGTCACTGGCTGCAGATGAGTAACCTCCAGCCTCAAGGGCACTTGGCTGGAGTGAACATGGTGCTTACGGCTCACTGTGGTGACCCAGGCAGAGACCATGACGACTCTTGGTGTCAGGGTGAGATTTCTGTGTGCTCCATGATGACTCGTGGATATTAATAAAACAGTGAAGAACTGCAGCAGGAGGCCCTTGACTGTCCAAGGAACGCCCCACACCTACGACACCCACTGACTCTTGGACCATGAAACCAGCCCTGCACCCTCAGACACTCCACCCAAAGCCAGTTATGGCTTCCCCAGTGCCTGGACATGGTGGGCCAGGACGCCAAGCCACAGCAGTGAGTTACGGCTCGTGCCAGCATTGTGGGCAGCAGGCAGCCCCTGGGCCCATCCAGCAGATCCCGGGCCTGTCTCGGCCAGAGGCTGGCCCTCCATACCCAGCCAGCAAAGGAGGAGGGGAGAGGCCCCGGGGTCCACCTGGAAGAGCCCTGACCCAGGCCTGAGAGTGACTCCTGCCCCTGCCCCCGAGCTTCCTGACCATCCCCGTGACCTGGCGCCTCCCTGAGCTGTGGGTCCTGCTGCCAACTCTAGCTGTTCATTGCACGTTGGCCAGATACTGCCTGACCAGTTCCTGAGGCTCCGGGGGATGGCTGATGAGGGCACACAGGGCGGGAAAGGCTGCAGCGTGCAACACCTGAAGGGGGTGGGGGCAGGACGGAACCCAGCCCAGCCCAGGAGCCGCCCCTCACTCAGAGTCAGGTGGAGGGGAGGGCGGCTCCAAGCGCGCCTCTGCTGTGTGCCTGCTGTCCTGGGGCTGGGAGGCGTGGAAGGAGAGAGGGCCAACGCAGGGCCACCTGTATGTGACTGGCTGGGGAAGAGGGACCCAGGCTGGAGCCACTGAAGGCTGGGAAGGGCTGGGACTCCGTGACTGGCAGATCCCCCGGGGCACCCAGCCCTGCTCTGTGCCCTGGGCCCAGCCACCTCCAGGACAGACAGTGCCCCCAGTGCCCGCAATCCCTAGCCACCTCCAGAAGGCACCCCCCGCCCCCAGCCAGCACCTGGCACCTCGGGCTGTGGCCACAGGAAAACAAAACCCGGCTGGTCCGAGGGACTGAGGGTCCCGGAGCCACCTGTCCCCGCCCCTGCCCCTACCGTGGCGTTGGAGCAGTTGAGCAGGCTGATCGCGAGCAGGAACACCCAGCGGCGCGCGTAGGTGCGGTGGCCCCGCTGCGCGCACAGGGCCCGGGGCTCGGCCAACCCCGTCTCGGCCTCCGTCGGCCCCGCCATCGTCGGCGGCCTCCACGGGTCTCCGCCGGTCCCGCCGGCCGCCCGGGCTTAAGGACCTTCCCGCGTGGGCCGGGACCGCCTGCGGGCGGAGGTGGGGCCGGGCCGGGCCGGGCCACGGGGGGCCAGTTCCGCCCCAAGGACTACGGAGGAGGGTCCCGCCCCGTCCCAGTTAAAGGAGACCCAAAAAAGCGGGGGAAGGGCGGGCAAAGGTGAAGTTGGACCCTCCTCCTTCGGCCTCAGGCTGGAAGTCCCTGCCACAAAAACCGAATGTCCCTTCCGGGAAGGGCCCCGGTCACAGCCTGTGTGCTTCTCAGCAGGAAAGGCGGCCTGGAAGTCACTCTGCCCAGCAGAAGCTCTGCACTTCCTGAAGGGGGCTGTGGACCCCAAGTTCCTGAGGTTCAAGCCAGCCACAGGGAGGGGCCAGAGGCCAGCCTGGAAGAAGAGGCTGGGCTGGCTTTGCGCAGAGCCTCAAATCAGACCAGTCCCTCTACAGCCCCTGCGGGAAGCAGGCATGGGGTAGGAGGGCGAGGGGCTGCAGGCCAAGGCTGGAGGGAAGGCCAGAAAGGCCTGTGGGCCCCACCCTGGGGTAGGCAGTCCGCCACACACGCACCGGATTGTTACCTGCATTTTACAATGGAGGACACGGCTCTCAGAGGAGTAGGCACAGGTTTCTGTTTGTTTAGGATGGAGAGGCCTGTGTGTTGGAAGGCAGAGGAGGGAGTTTCGGCTTAGTCTTTTCTGCAAGAACCTGCTGATCCCACAACTGTGCCTGGCCCACCCTGGGGGAACCCAAGAGGCTCCAGGCCCTGTTGCTGAGGCCAGTATAGGGGTGGGGTGGAGGCTGGCCTGGTCAGACGTGCAAACAGGATTTCCCCCAAACAGGGAGGCTCTCTTGACCCTTGAAACCATCCCCGTTTCCTGAACAGTATTATTCGTGGTTTTTGTCTTAAACATTCATCTCCTTTGCCAGGGCCTGTCCATTTTCCACACCTGAGTCTGAACAGGCTAATGATGAGGCCCCAGCTTTCACTGTGCAGTCTTCTGCAGGGATTGTGTGTGTGTCTCAGATAGAGCTCTCCACTTTGGGATTTTTTTTTTTTTGTAGAGTCTCATCCAGTAACAAAGAGAAAATGGAGCTCACCCGGGGTGTCCTGAGATGGGTGGGCCCCAAGGGGGTTCCATTCTCTGAGACGTGTGATGGAGCCCTGTGGTCCTCACTCTCTTTATCTCCTCTGCCTTCCCCACCGTCTAGCCTCCCCCCTCATCTTTGTTCCCCATTCCCCCACCAGTTCCTTCTGTTCTCCTTCTCCTCACCTCTTGCTCGCCCTGCCCTGAGGACCCAGCCCCCTCACAACCTTCCTCCATAGTCCAGTGCCAATGTTGGCCTAGGGCCTTCAACATCCCCTAACCCCACCTGGCAGAGGGGGAGTTGCAGTGCAGGCTTCCCTGTTGAGGGACCTCACTATTGTGGAGCACTGCCTCTGACAGGTGGTGTCTGAGCCTGTCACCATGAAATGGGGCAGCCACAGTAGCTACCTCCATCGTTCAGTCTCTGTTGAGCGTGCATTGTCGAGGGGTGTCACCATGAAACGGGGCAGCCACTGTAGCTACCTCCATTGTTCAGTCTCTGTTGAGCGTGCATTGTTGAGGGGCTCCTCCTCCCTACATGTCGGAACTCTTGGGTTGAGCAGGTGAGCTCAGCAACATTGCAGAATGCAAGATCAGCACACAACAATCGCTTGCATTGATGTATACCAACAAGAAACATGAAAACCAAAGTTAAAGACATTCATAATTACTCCAAGGAAAATTAAATACTTTGGTATAAACTTAGCAAACCATCTACAGAACTTGCATGCTAAAAATTACAAACCATGGGCCGGGTGCGGTGGCTCACGCCTGTAATCCCAGCACTTTGGGAGGCCAAGGCAGGTGGATCACAAGGTCAGGAGTTCAAGACCAGCCTGGCCAACATGGTGAAACCCAGTCTCTAGTAAAAATACAAAAATTAGCCAGGTGTGGTGACATGCACCTGTAGTCCCAGCTATTTGGGAGGCTGAGGTAAGAGAATCTCGAACCCGGGAAGCAGAGGTTGCAGTGAGCTGAGATCATGCCACTGCACTCCAGCCTGGGCAACAGAGTGAGACTCTGTCTCAAAAAAAAAAAAAAAAAATTACAAACCATGGCTGGGCGAGGTAGCTCACATCTATAATCCCAGCACTTTGGGAGGCCGAGGTGGGTGGATTACCTGAGGTCGGGAGTTCAAGACCAGCCTGGCCAATATGGTGAAACCGTCTTCACTAAAAATGCAACAGATTAGCTGGGCATGGTGGTGCATGCCTGTAATCCCAGCTACTCAGGAGGCTATATAAGGTGGGAATTGATTAAACCCGGGAGGCAGAGGTTGCAGTGAGCTAAGATCGTGCCACTGCACTCCAACCTGGGCAACAGAGGGAGACTCTGTCACAAAAAAAAAACAAAAATAAAACAAGGAAAAAAAAACAAGCTGTGCCCCAACCACCTTGAGCACGTGCCATCAGGACTGCCTGAGGCTATGTCACAGGTGTGTCCTTAACCTTGGCAAAATAAACTTTCTAAATGGGCTGGGCACGGTGGCTCACGCCTGTAATCCCAGCACTTTGGGAGGCCAAGGCAGGCAGATCACTTGAGGTCAGGAGTTTGAGACCAGCCTGGCCAAAATGATGAAACCCTGTCTCTACTAAAAATACAAAAATTAGCCGGGCGTGGCGGCGGGCACCTGTAGTCCCAGCTACTCGGGAGGCTGAGGCAGGAGAATGGTGTGAACCCAGGAGGCAGAGCTTGCAGTGAGCCGAGATTGCGTCACTGCACTCCAGCCTGGGCAACAGAGCGAGACTCCGTCTCAAAAAAAAAAAAAATTTAATTTTTTAAAAAATCGCATAGTATAAGTCCACTTATTTGGAAACAATGACTTTTTCCACTCTTGCATCTAATGAAACAGTTTTGTTTACATTTCTCCACAAGCACCTTCGGCACACTCACCTAAGCTGCCCGAGTTTTGGATCCGGGTACAGCACCATCCTGGGATCCTCACCCCAAGCCCAGAATTGCCTGTGTACGTTTACATGGTGACCTCCAGACAAAGGCACCCAGCGTCTTGCTTTCCAAAAGGATCTCTGGTCAGGTTTGGTAGCTCACGCCTGTCATCCCAGCACTTTGAGAGGCCAAGGCGGGCAAATTACCTGAGGTCAGGAGTTCGAGACCATCCTGGCCAACATGGTGAAACCCCGTCTCTACTAAAAATACAGAAAAAATTAGCTGGGCATGGTCTTGGGTGCCTGTAGTCCCAGCTACTCGGAAGGCTGAGGCAGGAGAATCGCTTGAACCAGGGAGGTGGAGGTTGCAGTGACCTGAGATGGCACCACTGCACTCCAGCCTGGGCGACAGAGCGAGACGCCGTCTCAAAAGAAAAAAAAAGAGAAAAGAAAAGGATCTTCAAAAGCTTATTTAAATAATCCTTAACATACACAGTTATGGCTAAATTTGCATTTCAATGCTGTTATCTCTCTTCTTTTAACCCAACATAGACTTCTGTCAGCATCCCAGACTAGCATTCGTTAATTGCGGGCTAATGTGTCTTTCCTAAACAGTATCTTGTTCAAAATCAAGCCACTGGAAACAGTTGCTCTGCCAAGGCTGAAGGAGGAGGCAGGCCGCCTTTTCCAGCCTGTCAGGGAGGAAACCTCACCTGCTGCGCTGAGACGGCCTGCCTGTCCTGCTGCTCCTCTGAGTGGTTTTTATCTGCTCCTCCCAGAGAACCTCAGCAATGTGAGGGCAGGAGCCGTCTGCCCACCCCGAAGCCCTGGGGGAAGGACTGCCCGGCACAGCTCCAGGGTAAAAACAGAAACCGTGGGACGCATGGCCTCTCTGCTGTGGGTCCCTCCACCGCCCCGGGCCTGCCAGACAGGTTCTTCCGCGGGGTGCCCACTTCCTGTGTGGAGCCTCCTTGACCCGTCTGGTTCCATGTGCCCCATCTCCACGCGCCTGCATGCCATCACTCCCACCCATCTCTGCGCCTCCCTCCAGGGCCCGGCTGCTGATAGCCCATGCGGGACAGCGCCCGTGGCCGGGACTGAGTCGGCACACCCAGACCCGGGTGCACAGGCTGCCCCAGAGTGACAACGTGAATGCATCCTCAAGCATGTGGAAGGCCCATCCTTTTACAGAGATGTGCACGGGAACATGAGCCTGTCTATTTACTTAGACAAGGGAGGGCCCTGGCCACGTCCAGGCCACAGAGGGAACATGAGCCTGTCTATTTACTTAGATGAGGGAGGGCTCTGGCCATGTCCAGGCCACATGCCACTCCAGTCGGACCTGCCAGAGAGGAGCCCTCCGTGTCCTCCTCCTCCCCTCCCCGTCCAGCGTGGAGGCTCCCGTGAGCCCCGAAGTCGGGGCCCCTTTAATCTGGAGTCTAGGGGGCCCCCTCTGTCTCTCCTTCACAGAGGATTTGGTATAAGCCGTGGAAGGACCTAGTGTTCTCATTTGTGTGTAAATGAAAATTAAAATTCTAAGCCCCCAACCAAAGGATGGACCCTCCCCTTGGCCAACAACATTCCAAATTATCCTGAAAAACTGCTTCAGGCCATGAGGGGAAATGGGAATCAGAGCAGCCTCACAAACATCAACACAGAGACCTTCAGTCTCCTTGAGTCTGATAAGCATTTACCATCTATTCTCTCCCAAGTCTTCTCCCTGGAGGCTTCATCTGCAATAAACCTTGCTCTCTACAACCTCTCATCTTAACCCAGGGATTCCTTTCTGTTTGATTCCAGGTCTTTAGATAGTAAGTCCTTCACCAATGGCCAATCAGAAAATCTTTAAATCTACCTGTGACCTGAAGCCCTCCACCTCCTCATGTTGTTCAGCCTTACCAGACTGAACCAATGTACATGTTACATGTATTGATCGATGTCTCATGCCTATTTAAAATGTATAAACCAAGCTGTGGGCTGGGCGCAGTGGCTCATGCCTATAATCCCAGCACTCTGGGAGGCCGAAGCGGGTGGATCACTCGAGGTCAGGAGTTTGAGACTAGCCTGGCCAACATGGTGAAACCCCATCTCTACTAAAAATACAAAAAATTAGCCAGGCGGGGTGGTGCGTGCCTGTAATCCCAGCTACTTGGGAGGCTGTAAAAAGTTAAGTAGAGCTTCCTCTTCAAAAACTTTCCTCCCCATCTAATTAGGAATAAATAGTAACTTCTCTTAGAAGCAAAATTTATTCAAAGACCTGTGCTAACATTCTTAAATATCTGCTAGCCATAATAAATAAATGAATGTACTTTTTTTTCTTAGCTCCCACAAGTTAGCCTAAATATTTGCCCTGGCATACTTATACTGGTCCCAGCAAGCATTAGGTCACAGTCTGTTCCTCTTCCTTATTTGAAGGTGTTTTTACCTTTCTCAGCATTCCACAAATTACTTCCTCCTTCCTTTGTTCTCCTCTGCCTTTGCCTCTTTTGAAAAGTTCTAAGTTGCTAGCCAATCGCGACCAATACAGAATGTGAGGTCCCGTTCCAGCCAATGGAAACCAGACACAGCAGTCGGGGGGACGCGTCAGGTTATAAATGACCCTGTCTCCTTTGTTCGGTGTACCTTCACGGCAAAACTGCTGGCGAGTGTGCCCTTTCTGCAGAAAGTAAGAAATGGCCTTGTTGAGTAAATTAAATTTATGTTCCAGTGCTATTTCTTTACAGCACCGGGGAACAAGCATTTCAAACAAGGCTGAGGCAGGAGAATCGTTTGAACTGGGGAGGCGGAGGTTGCAGTGAACTGAGATCTTGCCACTGCACTCCAGCCTGAGTGACAGAGTGAGGCTCTCGTCTCAAAAAAAAAAAAAAGAAGGTGAAGAAGAATTTTTGTGTGTGTGTGTGTGTGTGTGTAGGGTTTAAATAGTTAACTAATATTTTGTACATTGTGTGATCAGGTATCTACTTTCTTATCTACATGGTGTGAAATGAGTTTGTGTGTGTGTGTGTGTGTGTGTGTGTGTGTGTTATAAAATGAACATGTGTTAAATCAGAGACTTGAAGTGCCTGAGACTTTGCTCTGCTCACAAGCTAACAAGCTAGCCAGCCAATTTCACACATACGTGGACACGGGAAACATCAGTTCCCGTGGGTGGACGGGACGATGTGGGTGGAACTTGGACAGGCAGCAGGTGCATGTTGGGGAAGAACCCCAAGTTTAGGAAACTCTCTTATCCTTTTTTGTTTTTTCAGACGGAGTCTTGCTCTGTCGCCCAGGCTGGAGTGCAATGGCACAGGCTCGGCTCACTGCAACCTCCCCGTCCCGGGTTCAAGCGATTCTCCTGCCTCAGCCTCCTGAGTAGCTGGGATTATAGGCGCGTGCCACTACACCCAGTAATTTTTGTATTATTAGTAGAGATGGGGTTTCACCATGTCGGCCAGGCTGGTCTCGAACTCCTGACCCTGTGATCCACCCGCCTTGGCCTCTCAAAGTGCTGGGATTATAGCTGTGAGCCACCGCACCCGGCTGAAACTCTTTTTTCCTTTATGTGGCTGCTGGGGGCCTCCTCATCCTCGCTTCCAGAGAGACAAACCTGGTCTCTTCTCTGGTGTGTAAGTAAGCCTTCTCCAGGGACAGAGGTAGGTGGGAGGCGTTGTAGGGGTGGAGGAGGTCTTTGTCCTAGAGACGGGGTTTCACCGTGTTGGCGAGGCTGGTCTTGAACTCCTGACCTCAAGTGATCCACCCGCCTCAGCCTCCCAAAGTGCTGGGATTACAGGCGTGAGCCACCTTGCACAGCCTGGACAAACATTCTTAACGTGGTTTCAGTGACTCTGAGGACCTGGACCGTGGAGAAACATGAGGTGTGGAAAATTGCCTCCCAATAGGGTCTAACCTGCTTTAAGACTGTGAGATGGAGGCTGGGCGCGGTGGCTCACGCCTATAATCCCAGCACTTTGGGAGGCCGAGGCGGGCGGATGGATCACGAGGTCAGGAGATCAAGACCATCTTAGCTAACACAGTGAAACCCCATCTCTACTAAAAATACAAAAAATCAGCCGGGCGTGGTGGCAGGCACCTGTAATCCCAGCTACTCGGGAGGCTGAGGCAGGAGAATCGCTTGAACCTGGGAGGCGGAGGTTGCATGAGCCAAGATCGTGCCATTGCACTCCAGCCTGGGCAATAGAGCAAGACTCTGTCTCAAAAAAAAAAAAAAAAAATGCCAGGCGTGGTGGCTCACGCCTGTAATCCCAGTACTTTGGGAGGCTGAGGCGGGCAGATGACGAGGTCAGGAGATCGAGGCCATCCTGACTAACACGGTGAAACCCCATCTCTACTAAAAATACAAAAAATTAGCCTGTAGTCCCAGCTACTCAGGAGGCTGAAGCAAGAGAATGGCGTGAACCTGGGAGGTGGAGCTTGCAGTGTGAGTGGAGATCGCACCACTGCACTCCAGCCTGGGCGACAGAGCGAGATTCCGTCTCAAAATAAAATTTAAAAAAAAACTTTGAGATGGGTATTTAATGTTTTTGCCTGTCTTTTGGCAGGTAGGTATTGTGTGTGTGTGTGTGTGCGCGCGCACATGCCTGTGTGTAGTGTATGTGTCTAATTTCTCTGTGGGTATGACTGATATCTAACATTTTGTGTATAGTGTGGCATAACTACTTTGTGTATGTTATCAAATTTTTATTGAATATGTTGGAAATGAGCATCTATCTTTGTTTTTTGTTTTTGTTTTGTTTTTCTTTTTGAGATGGAGCTCCTTCTGTTGCCCAGGCTGGAGTGCAGTGGCGCGATCTCAGCTCACTGCAACCTCCACCTCCTGGGTTCAAGCGATTCTTCTGCCTCAGCCTCCCGAGTAGCTGGGATTACAGGCGCCTGCCACCACGTCTGGCTAATATTTGTATTTTTAGTAGAGACGGGGTTTCACCATGTTGACCAGGCTGGTCTGGAACTCCTGACCTCAGGTGATCCACCTGCCTCGGCCTCCGAAAGTACTGGGATTACAGGCGTGAGCCACTGCACCCAACCAATTTTGTTCTTTTTAAGGTTGTTTTGGCTATTCTGAGTCCCCTGAATTTCCATATAAATTTTAGGATCAGCTTGTCAATTTCTGAAAAAAGCTCATTAGGACTTTGATATGGATTGTGTTGAATGATTAGGTTGGAGACACCTTAACAATATTGTCTTCCCACCACGGACGCAGGACATCTTTCCATTTACTTAGACCTTCTTTAGATTCTTTTGGTCATGGTTTGTAGTTGTAGCTTTCAGAATATTAGTTTTGCACTCTTTGGCTACATTTATTTGCTTTTTAAAATTATTAGACTTTATGTTTCAGAGCAATTTTAGATTTACAGAAAAATCTATCAGAAAGTACGGCGTTCCCATATACCCCTCTCTCCCCCAAACCCTGCACTCCACTTCCCTGTTATCTACATCTCGCATGAGTTTGGTACTTTTGTTAGGATTGATGAACCGATATCGACACGATCTTCTTAACCGAAGTCCATCCTGAAGTCCACACTGGATGCTCTTTGTGCGGTGTGTTCTATATTGGTTAGTTAGTTAGTTTGTTTGAGACAGAGTCTCCCTCTCTCGCCCAGGCTAGAGTGCAGTGGTACGACCTCGGCTCACTGCAATCTCCGCCTCCCGGGTTCAAAGGATTCTCCTGCCTCAGCCTCCCAAGTAACTGGGATTATAGGCATGTGCCACCACGTCCGCCTAATTTTTGTATTTTTAGTAGAGACGGTTTTGCCATGTTGGCCAGGTCTCAAAACTCCTGACCTCAAGTGATCCGCCTGCATCAGCCTCCCAAAGTGCTGGGATTACAGGCGCGAGCCACCGTGCCTGGCCGTTGACATTCGATGTTTAACCTACACAGTTAACTGCACATTATTCCAAGATAGGCCAAGTCCATGCAGTGTCTCCAGGCTCTTCTGAGCAGGCCGGGGCTTTAGAGCGTGCTCCCTGCTCACCACACCACACGCAGCTTTCTGGTGGTCATTGCTGAGTTTTAGTTTTGTGTAAAAACACGCACACACAGGCCGGGCGCGGTGGTTCACGCCTGTAATCCCAGCACTTTGAGAGGCTGAGGCAGGCGGATCACCTGAGGTCAGGAGTTCGAGACCCGCCCAACCAACATGGTGAAACCCCGTCTCTATTAAAAATACAAAATTAAACTCCGTCTCTACTAAAAATACAAAAAATTAGCCGGACATGGTGGCACATGCCTGTAATCCCAGCTACTCAGGAGGCTGAGGCAGGAGAATCACTTGAGCCCGGGAGGCGGAGGTTGCAGTGAGCCGAGATCGCGCCACTGCACTCAAGCCTGGGGGACAAGAGCGAGACTCCGTCTGAAAACAAACAAAACAAAACAAAAAACTACACACACACACACACACACACACACACACACACACACAGGTGAACGGCTGGAATTATTTCTCCGGCGATGGTTAAATGATACTTGGGTTCAGTTGTTGGTGATGTGCCAGCTGCTCAGGGTCTGGTTCTTCTGACTCTTTTGTGGGCGTCCTGCCTCCCCATATCCGGCATCCTACCAGGCGTCCGAGCATGTTCCTAGCACGGTGTTTGCGTCTCCACCTGCAGAGTCAGGTTAGTCCTCAAGTCTGAAGCTCCTCACGACTCTCTCTTCCTCTGCTCTTGTGAGATCATCACGTCTGCGATTTCAGCCCTGCCTGGCTCCCCTGCGCTTCCACTGCTTCCCTGCCTCCCTGTCCTCAGCAGCGTCACTTACAGCCACACCAAGCTCTTCAACTGGTTTGTGAATTACCTCATGGACTGGTTTTCGTGTGTGTCCAGGACTATAAATTTTATTTCCAAGATTTCCACCTGGTTGATTGAAACAGGCATTCACTGATGCGTTCACCCAACAAACTCCCATGAGGCCTCCTCTGCAGGGCACCTGCGGGCACTTCCGGCTCCCAGAGGGGCCTGGCGTCTGGAGGGAGAAGTGGAAGGAGACTGAAGGGCGCCTGAGGTGGGCAGGCGGCACAAGCAGCAAGCGAGGGCGGCAATCTTTTTTTTTTTTTTTTTTGAGATGGAGTCTCGCTCTGTCGCCCAGGCTGGAGTGCAGTGGCACTATCTTGGCTCACTGCAACCTCTGCCTCCTGAGTTCAAGCAATTCTCCTGCCTCAGCCTCCCAGGTAGCTGGGATTCCAGGTGCCCACCACCACGCCCAGCTAATTTTTTTTGTATATTTAGTACAGATGGGGTTTCACCATGTTGGCCAGGCTGGTCTCAAACTCCTGACCTCAGGTGATCCACCCACTTTGACCTCCCAAAGGGTTGGGATTATAGGCGTGAACCACCGGGCCCGGCTGATTTTCAACATTACCAAATATCTAATCAGTGTCCCTCACCACGATTGTTGCGTAATGTGCTTCGTTTCGTTTTCAGTTTGCGTGACTCAGGATGCAAATCAAGCCATAGGTCTACACTCACTTCCTCTCGATTGTTTCTCTCATTGTATCTTCTTCAATCCCCTGCACAGCTGGTTGTGGAAGAAACAGTTCCTAGTCCTGAGAGTTTCTGCTGACATTCCAAGGCATCTCCCGCCTGTCCCCGAATTCTATAAATCAGTGTGAGACCCGGAGGCCTAATCAGTGTCTTAGTGTGGGTCCCCAAGAAGCAGAGCCTGAGCTAAGGGGCTTGGGGTGGGTTGGGCTGGGATCTTTCCTCGGGCGACCACCTTAGGGAGTCAGAAAGGGGCAGAGAGTGTGAAATGGGAAGAAACAGCAACGCTGAAGAAAAGGTGCATCCCAGGGCTGCCTGAGTCCCTGGGAGAGCTCCCCCTGCACCGTGGGCCCCAGCCAGAGAAGGCCTGGGACGAAGACCCACTGGGGGGCCTCCCACGGAGCAGCCAGAGGGGCGAGGCTGGGTGGGGGGACGGAGCACCTGCTGCACCTGTATTCAGGGTGGATTTTTAAGCAAGATCTCGTTGTAGCCGTGTCGCTTTCCTACCAGGAGGCCCATGACATCCGGCTGTCTCTCTGGTAATGTTCATATCAATGACGGTTGTTACCTGTGTCATTATCTCACTGGGGCTGTGACGGGGGAGAGTTTATTCTATACTTTCTTCATTTACCAGCTGCAATGTTCCTAGAGAGAAGCCAGCACTCGCCAGATCTTTGGCCACCCCGAGGTGTCGTGTGCATAAGGGAAGATGAGAGGCTGGTTGACGCCCACCCTTCACCAGTTTTGTAAATAACAAGCTGGCGCCCCAGAACCCATCCACAGCAGCTTTTTCAGTGGCATTATGCATTCGTGGTGCAAGCATCCTTACTGTGCTTCAATCAGTGGCTTCAGTCGTGGCCGGCGCACACTGATGGAGTTTCTTCCTCGTCGCGGGTCATATTTTCCTCTTTGCATGTCTGATGACTTTTGATTAGATGCAGGCGTTGTTCACTTTCCCTGTTGAGTTCTGAGTATATTTGCATTCCTATTAAATATCCCTGTGTTTTGCTCTGGACACAAAGTCAAGTTACTTGGAGACACATTGGTCCTTCCAGCCTTCTGAGCTTTGGAGTCTGGACCAGCGCAGAGTTCGCTCCTGTCCCACAGCTGACCGCCCTGCCTGGTGCCCCTGGGACGACGAGGACATCCTGGGGCCGGAGGGGGTGCAAAGACTCCCAGCCCTGTTCCGCCAGCTTCTTTCCAGAGTCCTTGCCAGCTCCGGGCAGCTCCCACATGCCTGCCCCATCCTGGAGCTCTGGCTGTGGGCAGTCCCTCCTCTCCGTCCCTGCCCTGTGGACTCTGGTGTGTGGGCCTCCCTGACTCCCAGCTTTGCCTCCTCCGCCCAGCTCCTCTCCCTGAGTTGCAGCCAGGAGGCTTCCTTTAGGCCTCGCCCCATTTGCTCCTCTCTCAGGCACCATGTCCTGTGCTCCCTGATGCCCAGTGTCTGAAGATCGTTGGATGTATTTTGTCCACTGTTTCAGCTGCTTCGGGAAAGAGGGTAAACTCACGCCCTGCACACACATGCCGATGGCACAGAGATTGAGGCTGTGAGCTTTGCCTCCCCCTGGTGTGAAAATACGTCATCTTCTGGCTTTGCAGTCAGTGCTGTGCACCTCAGTTTTGATCTGCCTTGTAGTTTTATGAGTCTCATGAGGGAATTCGGGGAGATACAAAATTCTTGCTACTGCCACCATCTTCCCAGAATCCACAGGGATTTATTTATTTATTTATTTTATTTTGAGACAGGGTCTTCCTCTGTCATCTGGGCTGGAGTACAGCGGTGCAATCTCGGCTCACTGCAACCTCCACCTGCTGGGCTCAAGCAATCCTCCCACCTCAACCTCCCAAGGAGCTGAGGCCACAGATGCACACCACCATGCACCACCATGCCCAGATACTTGTTGTTGTTTATTTTTAGTATAAACAGGGTTTCACCATGTTGCTCAGGCTGGTCTTGAACTCCTGGGTTCAAATGATCCACCAGTCTCGGCCTTTCAAAGTGCTGGGGTTATAGGCATGAGCCACTGCACCCCACCTATTTTTATTTTTTTATTTTTTATTTTTTTTAAGAGACAGGGGCCAGGCATGGTGGCTCATGCCTGTAATCCCAGCACTTTGGGAGGCCGAGACAGGTGAATCACTTGAGGTCAGGAGTTCGAGACCAACCTGGCCAACATGCCAAGACTCCATCTCTACTAAAAATTCAAAAATTAGCCAGGTGTGGTGGCTTATGCCTGTAATCCCAGCTACTTGAGAGGCTGAGGCACGAGAATTGCTTGAACGTGGGAGGTGGAGGCTGCAGTGAGCCGAGATCGTGCCACTGCACTCCAGCCTGGGTGACAGTGTGAGACTCCATATCAAAGAAAAGAAAAGAAAAGAAAAGAAAAGAAAAGAAAAGAAAAGAAAAGAAAAGAAAAGAAAAGAAAAGAGATGGGGTCTCACTATGTTATTCCAGGCTGGTCTCAAACTCCTGCGCCCAAGTAATCCTCCCGCCTCAGCCTCCCAAAGTGCTGGGACTACAGGTGTGAGCCACACTGGCCTCCACAAAGCATTTTTAGGGCAGGCAAATGGGTAGAATGTTCAATGGTAAATGGGTAGAACTTCAATGGTCCCTGCTCCAGGTAAATGGCAGCAACTGTGAGCCCTTTTCTCATCTCGCAGGACAGCATATCCTGGATACCGGAGGTCACTCTGTAAGTAAGAGTGTGTGGTACCATCAGTCTCTTCTTTATCAGTCTTCTTTATCTTTATCTCTTCTTTATTCACTATCCAAGGTGTGGAGGTTCAAGAGTGTATCCGATTAACCGTGTGGATGGCCATGTTTTCAATTTTTCTGTTATACATTATGCTGCAATTAATAGCCTTGGTCATCCATCTTTTTTATTCCTGCCATTTATCTCTGGAATAAAGTCCTATTTGGGGGCCACTGGGCTGAAGGATAAATGCCCGTGTACTTTGCTGGATACTGTCAAACGCTCCTCTGCTCCCACCACTCACGTCTGAGAGCCCTGTTTCCTGACAGCCTTGCCAACAAGGTGAGTGAGTGTCAGGGAGAGCTCTGGGTGGAGTGAGCTTGGGGAAACAGGCAGAGGTGGGAGCAGGGACCTCAGAGGACGTCCTTATCATCACGCGCTGGGTGGAGCGCTCCCACTTGGGTGTGACGGGACCCGCTGGTTGGCTGCTCTGTTGAGGATTGACTGGGGGTGGGGGGCCCAAGGCTGTGGCACCAGTTCCAGCAGGACAGGGCGGGTTTGGGCCAGAGCAGCCTTGGAAAGCCATGGTTGGATGATGGGAAGTTTCCAAGACAGAGCTGGCAGGACTTTCTGATGAAAACAGAAGAGAGCAATTGGGAACAAGACCACATGTCTGTACCCCAGCAACAGAAAGGGTGGTGACAAAGGCAGTTGGATTTACCCCACAAAGTCCTGGAGCATTTGGTTGAGACATGGGGGTAGGCGCAGATGCCTGATGTGCTTAAGAGAGAACTCGGGGAGGGAAATTGGAGAAAGAGTTCCTGAAGAGTGACGCTGTGAAGACAGCAGAGAAGCACAGGGTCCAGCGAGCTCTTTCTGTTCTGCTCCATCCTCAAGGATGGGCAGACCCTCTGCCAGTTTGTGAGTGACCAGAATGATCTGCCAGAGAGGCACCCAATGGCCCTAGGAGGCCCTAGTGACTGGGTGGGCAGGGAGGGCGGACCGGCACCCTGGGGAAGGTTGGGGCACCCTCTGGGGGGGACAGGGGCCTCCCCTCTACTCCAGTCTGCTTGTGCCATGATTCCTGCCTCCCTTCTTTACAGCTCTGCTAAGGAATACGTGCCTGTATGTAATATGTGCACACCCCGAACTCACACCAGGACAGCACACACTGCCAACACCCTAGGCTTCTTTGGCCCCGATGCCTCCACCCTCGGGCCTTGGCTGAGTGAGGTCCCAGGAGGGTGCAGGTGGGAGACCTGGCTGGCTGCCGATGGGCCATGGATGGCCAGTTTGGGCATGAGAGGAAGAGGGTGCAGAGGACTCTGGGGTCTTGCCTCAGGACTGGCGGTGGGGGGTGGGGGGTCCTGGGGTACACAGCAGACTCAGGATGGCCTGGGGAAGCCATCCGGCCATGTGGCATTTAAGCTTCCTAATGACATTCAGCAGAAACAGAGCTGGACACAAGAGCCCAGGGCTCAGAGTCAAGGTCCGGGCACCGCTGGCACCCACCCAGGAGAGTAGTGGGAAGCCTAGGGGTAGGGTCTGCACCTCCTTGAGGAGGGGCCTGGGGCCTGGAGTGAGTTCTGAACTGCAGCTTACCACTCTGCCTCTTCCTGAGGCCACCACACTCAGCCCAGGACTGTTCCTGGCCTGCTGGCCACCCCCTGCCCCTTGCACCCCAGCACCAATACCTTGCCCCTGCCCTCCTTCTGGGATGATCCTCCAGTCCTCCCCTCCACATCTGGGGCCTGCCTCCACCAACTGAAAACTGCAGTCAGGGCTCTTGTGGAGGGCCAGCACCCCAGTACCCCAATCCCAGGCAGCCCTCTCCAGTGGGCCCCTCCCCTGCACTGGGCCACCCCATGGCTCCACGGAGCCCTCCCTGCCTCCCCTCCCCCGGGGGCAGCAGTGGCCACATTTAGTCCCTCCCCTTCACAGCAGCATGCCTGGGAATGCTGTACACATTCACATGTCTGCTGTCTGTCCTCCTCCCACCCGGATAACGTGTCCACCCAGTGCTGGAGATCTCAGCAGGCCCCCAGCCCTTCTCAGGCCCCTCTCAGCAGCGGACTCAAGCCGCTTCCCCACGTGCTGCACCATACCTGGGCCCGGGGCCCCCTGCCTGGTGGCTGCTCCCGGGGTCCAACTCTAGACTTCACGGGGACAGTCGCAGGGTCACTCCCTCAGCCACCACCTCTCCAGACGGGACGAGCTAATGACTCCCGACTCCTGCTCCATGCCTGCACCGCACAGCCTCGCAGCGAGTGCCCCTGGGCCTACGGGGCCTCCCCTCTCGCCACCAAGCCTCCACACTGCGCGGTGCCCCGCCGCCCGGAACCACAGTGGTCTCGCTTCCCACCCAAGACCCAACCTGCCCTCCCGTCCTGGGCCGCCAGCCCAGAACCCGCAAACCGGGAGACCCTAGGACCCCGCGTGCCTGCACGTCCGCCTCACCCCCGCACGCGCCCTCGGTCCTCGGATCCCGCCCTCTCAGGACAGTGCCAGTCCCACGAAGGCGCAAATGCCGCCCGTACTGCTCCACCCTGGCGGAGGGCACCCAGGTCGGAGAGTCCGCACGTGGGTGCCCTGTCCGTCCTGATGCTGAACATAACCTAAATACAAGCCTAAACATGACCAGACCCGAACCCCTGACCCTGACCCCACCCCTAATCCTGACCCTAACCCTAAACCCAACCCTAACCCTAAACCTAACCCCTAACTCTGACCCTACCCCTAATCCTGACCCTAACCGTAAAACCAACCCTAACCCTAACCCCTAATGCTGACCCTAACCCTAAATCCAGTCCTAACCCTGACTCTAACCCTAACCCTGACCCTAACCCTAAAACCCAACCCTAACCCTAACCCTGACCCTAACCCTAAACCCAACCCTAACCCTAGACCAGACCCTAACCCCTGACCCTGACCCCACCCCTAATCCTGACCCTAACCATAAACCCAACCCTAACCCTAACCCCTAATGCTGACCCTAGCCCTAAACCCAGTCCTAACCCTGACTCTAACCCCTAACCCTGACCCTAAACCTAAACCCAACCCTAACCCTGACTCTGACCCCTAACCCGACCCCTGACCCTAACACCGACCCTTAACCCTGCCGGGAGGGCGCTCAGTCCCGGCTCCCACAAAGGACAGCAGCACCCGTACTGGACGGCACCCCCGGAGGGACCCGGGCCTGAGGACTCTGCTGCTCCAGCGCCCCAGCTCACGATCGTCCAGGACCCGTCGGGTCCCTCAGCACAGCGCGGCCCTGTCGCTCTCCTGACCACGCCCCTCATGGCCCCGCCCTATGCCTCGCCCCTGGCCCTCGCGCCCCGCGGCTCCCTCCGCCGAGTCCAGGCCCGACGCGCCTGCGCCCTCTGAACACGCCCCTCCCCGCCCCTATCCCCACCCCTTACCGCCTGGCCCCGCCCACGCCCCTTGCCGCGGGGTGGGAGCCCAGACGCACACCGCGCATGCTCCGAGCGCGGCGCCCCCGACGCGGCGCTCGGCTCGGCTCGGGCATTTCCGCCTCTTTGTTTTAAACTCCGGACGGGCTTTTTTCTCCTCCTCTTGGGGGGGACCCAGAGGGAGCGGCGCCCCCTCCCCCCTCCGGCGCGGACCCCGCGTGCGCCTTGCTCGCCCGCAGCCCCGAGACCGCAGGTCAGTGAGTCCGCCCCGCCTGGCCTGGGCCCTCGGCGCCCGCTCCTCAGGCTGCGGCCTCGGCCCGTGTCCGGCCCGGAAGGCTCCGAACCCCGGGCCCGCGCTCCGTCGTCCCCGTCGGCCTGGCCCGGGAAGCCCTTGGCAGGCCCGGGAGGGCCGGCACCCCAGCCCAGTCAGGACTCCGGGAGGTCGAAGACCCCAGCCCAGGCAGGACTCCGGGAGGGCCAAGAGCCCAGCCCAGGCAGGACCCCGGGAGGGCTGGGACTCCAGCCTAGGCAGGACGCAGGGAGGGCAAGACCCCAGCCCAGGCAGGACTCCGGGAGGTCGAAGACCCCAGCCCAGGCAGGACCCAGGGAGGGCTGGGACAGCAGCCCAGGCAGGACGCAGGGAGGGCAAGACCCCAGTCCAGGCAGGACGCAGGGAGGGCAAGACCCCAGCCCAGGCAGGACTCCGGGAGGTCGAAGACCCCAGCCCAGGCAGGACCCAGGGAGGGCAAAGACCCCAGAACAGGGAGGGCCAAGACCCCAGACCAGGCAGGACCCCGGGAGGGCCAAGACCCCAGACCAGGCAGGACCCAGGGAGGGCGAAGACCCCAGCCCAGGCAGGACCGCGGGAGGGCAGGGACCCCAGACCAGGCAGGACCCCGGGAGGGCCAAGACCCCAGACCAGGCAGGACCCAGGGAGGGCGAAGACCCCAGCCCAGGCAGGACCGCGGGAGGGCAGGGACCCCAGACCAGGCAGGACCCTGGGAAGGTCGCGACCCCAGCCCAGGCAGGACCCAGGGAGGGCGAAGACCCCAGACCAGGCAGGACCCAGGTGAGGGCGAAGACCCCAGCCCAGGCAGGACCGCGGGAGGGCAGGGACCCCAGACCAGGCAGGACCCTGGGAAGGTCGCGACCCCAGCCCAGGCAGGACCCAGGGAGGGCGAAGACCCCAGACCAGGCAGGACCCAGGTGAGGGCAAAGACCCCAGCCCAGGCAGGACCGCGGGAGGGTAGGGACCCCAGCCCAGGCAGGACCCTGGGAAGGTCGCGACCCCAGCCCAGGCAGGACCCCGGGAGGGCTGGGTCTTCAGACCAGGCAGGACCTGAAGAGAGTTGGGCTCTGGGATTGCACAGGACCCCCAGAGTGCTAGGACACAATGACACATCATCCAGGAGGGTCTGACCCTGGGACAGGTCACCGAGAAGGGCTGGGACCCCAAGATGGGTCACCAAGGAGGGTCGGACCTGGCCACCTGGCAGGGCCCGGGGGGGCTAGGACCCTGGGAAGAATCACGGAGGAGGGCCAGACGTAGGGACCAGGCAGAATCCAAAGAATGCCAGGACCCCAGAATAGATCCCCCAGGAAGGTCCTGCCTTAAAGTGGGTCACAGACGAGGGCCAGGACCCCATGACCATAATTCAGGAGGACCTGACCCTGGAGCAGTCTTGTGAGTCCTGTGAGCACTGCTGGGACCCTGAGACTGCCCCGTCTCCCCCGGGACCCTGAGACAGCCCTGTTTTCCCCTGGGGGCCGGGACCCTGGGACAGCCTGTTTTCACCCGGGGGCCGGGACCCTGGGACAGCCCTGTTTTCCCCTGGGGGTCGGGACCCTGGGACAGCTCTGTTTTCCCCTGGGGGTCGGGACTCTGGGACAGCTCTGTTTTCCCCTGGGGGTCGGGACCCTGGGACAGCCCTGTTTTCCCCTGGGGGTCGGGACCCTGGGACAGCTCTGTTTTCCCCTGGGGGCCGGGACCCTGAGACAGCTCTGTTTTCACCTGGGGGCCGGGACCCTGAGACAGCTCTGTTTTCACCTGGGGGCCGGGACCCTGGGACAGCTCTGTTTTCCCCTGGGGGCCGGGACCCTGGGACAGCCCTGTTTTCCCCTGGGGGTCGGGACCCTGGGACAGCCCTGTTTTCACCTGGGGGTCGGGACCCTGAGACAGCCCTGTTTTCCCCTGGGGGTCGGGACCCTGGGACAGCCCTGTTTTCCCCTGGGGGCCGGGACCCTGGGACAGCCCTGTTTTCCCCTGGGGGTCGGGACCCTGGGACAGCCCTGTTTTCCCCTGGGGGCCGGGACCCTGGGACAGCCCTGTTTTCACCTGGGGGCCGGGACCCTGGGACAGCCCTGTTTTCACCTGGGGGCCGGGACCCTGAGACAGCCCTGTTTTCTCCCAGGGCCCGGCACCCTGAGACTGGACAGTGAGAAGGGCTCATGACATGGACAGGCTTCTAGATGACCAGGACCTCAAACGGGGTCACTTAGGGTCGGGACACTGGTGTGGACTGGGAAGAAGGCTAGGCTCTCAAAGAGGACCTGATGAGAGCTGGAACTTCCAGACAGGTCCTCAGAGGGCTGGGACTCCTGAACAAGTCACTGAGGAGCATGTAGGCCCCAAGACTGGACTGTAAGGAGTACTGGGACCCTCGGGGGGGAATCCAGCAGTGTCCTGAATCTGCCCAGTCCACTCAGCTGGATGCACCTGCTGTGAAGGCCAGGCATCTGGCATCCTGGTACCCGAGGCCCTTTCCATGAGACCCTGGGCCAGCCCCACAGCCCCTGCACATGAACCGCCTAGGTGATACCTGGGGTAGGTATGAGGCAGGGGCCTCAGGGTTCCAGGAGCTCCCAGCCCACAGGCTCCACACCTCAGGCTGGCACTGCACCCTCCCACTCAGCCCCTCGTCCGGGGCTGCTGTCCTGTCCTTGCCTTGGCTGTGGTCCGTGTCCAGCACCTTCAACCCCTCCTGCCCCTCTCCCCATCTTCAAGGTCATGTGAGTGCCCCACTTCCTCAGTGTAGAGGCGTTTCCAGTGTCCGGGAGACTTGGAGGAGGGGTGGGGTCTGAGCTGGGATGTGGACTCCTGGGCATATTTTGGGGACAGTTGGTCCAAGTCAGGAAAGTTGGAGCAGGCAAGGCTATTTCCCACTCCCTCTCTAGTAAGGGAAGGAATTAAAGGATCCTGGTGGTGATCGGGCTGGGGACGGGGGTTGGTTTATTTCTCTGAAACCTTTGAATCAGCCTTTTATCAAAAACTTGTGGGTGTTTTCCTTTAATTTGGAAGTGGTAATGAAAAAGTGGGGTGCATGAGGTATTCAGAAGCGAGCGGTCTATGCTGTCCTTTGACTAGGGAAGGGTTGTCTAGTGACATCTTGTCAGGGGTGTTTCCAGAGGGTGGTCATCCCAGGAACCCTGCTCCCAGAGGGTGCCGTGTGGCTGCTTGGTGTGCCGTACATTCCCCAAAAGAGTGAATGATGCATGAACGAATGAAAGGCAAGAGTGAATGATGCATGAACAAATGAATGAAAGGCAAGAGTGAATGATGCATGAACAAATGAATGAAAGGCAAGAGTGAATGATGCATGAACAAATGAATGAAAGGCAAGAGTGAATGATGCATGAACAAATGAATGAAAGGCAAGAGTGAATGATGCATGAACACATGAATGAAAGGCAAGAGTGAATGATGCATGAACAAATGAATGAAAGGCAAGAGTGAATGATCCATGAGCAAATGAATGAAAGGCAAGCGTGAATGATCCATGAACAAATGAATGAAAGGCAAGAGTGAATGATGTATGAACAAATGAATGAAAGGCAAGAGTGAGTGATGCATGAACAAATGAATGAAAGGCAGGGCCGCTCTTCAGAGACATCCCCTCGGATTAGGCGTGCGGGCTTGCCTGGAAGTTGGGCAGTACAATGAGGTGTAACCCTAAAACTCTGAGCTATCTAGACTCCCAAGAGAGACACTGAATTGGATGGTTCGGGATTTCATCTTTGCCACAGCTTCACTTCTTGGTTACTTAGGAGAAAACCGTGTTAGGTTTTCAGCTTAACATTTCAGGGTACTCAGTGTCAGCCACGTCGTGTCCCTGCGTGGTCAGCCTGGACCTAGAAGCTCTTACTCGCCCAGTGTAACCGCCAGGGACCTTTTTACTCAACACTTCCTTCTGATTTGCTCTTTTGACATATCCTTTACTGTTTTTTAAACTTCATTTGCTTTGTGAAATTGTGGAAGAGGCTTGTGAAGCTGAGTGTTCAGGTTTGTTTGGCTCTGTACTGTCTGGTTCCCAGGCTTTTAGAGGTGTGTTTTAGAGGTGTTTTTAGGCCGTGCTGAGTGGTTGTATTATTTATATATTGCTGTGTGGCAGATTACCCCAGAACCCCTGCCTTAAACCAACAGTCCGATGATAACTTACTGTTTCTGTGGGTTGGGAGACCAGGTGGGCTCTGGCTCAGGGACCTCCCATCTGGGGTTGTGTCTCCTCTGAAGGCTGGACTGGGGAGGGTCCGCAGCCAGGCTGTGTCACGTGACTGTGGGCTGGAGACCTCAGTTCCTTTCTCTATAGGGCAGCTCCGAGGGAGCCCATGCCTAGCCAGAGAGGGACAGGAAGGACGTCCCAGTGTTTGTGGAGTGACATTCTACCACTTTTGCCAAGAGTCATTCGGCCCCTACACACTTGAGGGGAGGGGACTCCAAAACGGTGAGCATACGATGGGCAGGTGGGGTCACTGGAACACTTAAAGCCTGCCCAGCACAGCGGTGCTGTGAGCCTGGCACCTCTCAGGGCACTGGAGAGACATCCCGTAAGTAAATCAGCGATTGCGTGTGGAGTGACGTGTTAAGATGAGGATGTGACTGTTCAGCTGTCTCTTTAATTGGTGTGGGTTTCTCCGATGTCACCGTCATGATTGAGATATTTGTGATACGTAAAAGAAGATAAATTACAGATAGAAAAGATTCTTAGGAATTAACTTGCAATTTGGCATACCAGTAGCAAGCCAAAAGACCCCCCCACAAATTAAATTACAAGGTGTGTGTCACTGATGTCAAATCCTTCCCAACAGCTTCAAGTGCAAGGATTTTTGCTGTTCCCAGAGTCCCCTCATTTTCTTCCTGCCAGTGATTTTGCTCCAGAAATTATCAACCGACTTCTGTTAAGTTTTCCTAAACCATTTTAAATATATGGGGGAAATGTTTTTACCAGTTACAGTAGACCTTGCGCTTGCAGTTATTTGTGACTTCATAAAAATGCCGTAGGAGACGTGAGACCTTGACCACACTGGACATTTGACCGGTGTGAGGACTTAGCTCCAGGGTCCAGGCACTACTGTGAGCCAGAGCCTCTGCTCCTAGCCCACACCCTCCACTGCACAGGGAGCCGGACCCCATGCCTCCTTCCGGTTCTGGGCTGGAGCTAGGGCCGGGAAGGGGGCCTGTTCTGGACTCTGGAGACCTCAGCCGCCCCTCCCACCATGCCGCACTCTCTAGACTACAGCGGCTCTGTGGCAAAATCGAGGAGCTGCAGGGTGCGGCAGGGGCCCTTTGCCGTGGGCTAGAATTCTTTACTTGGGTTTTTTTATTTGGATTATAAAGTGAGTCTTGTTTTGGTGTATGCTGTTACTCTTTATTAAATGGCAGGATTTATTTTGTTTGCAGCCTTATTTTTGGTTAATGGTTAGAATTGAAGTTGAAAATGTAATTTTTCTTTTTTTTTTCTTTTTTTTTTTTTTGAGACGGAGTCTCGCTCTGTCGCCCAGGCCGGACTGCGGACTGCAGTGGCGCAATCTCGGCTCACTGCAAGCTCCGCTTCCCGGGTTCACGCCATTCTCCTGCCTCAGCCTCCCGAGTAGCTGGGACTACAGGCGCCCGCCACCGCGCCCGGCTAATTTTTTGTATTTTTAGTAGAGACGGGGTTTCACCTTGTTAGCCAGGATGGTCTCGATCTCCTGACCTCATGATCCACCCGCCTCGGCCTCCCAAAGTGCTGGGATTACAGGCGTGAGCCACCGCACCCGGCCGAAAATGTAATTTTTCTACAGAATTAGGCAGGCGTGTGTAATTTTTCAACAAAAATTAGCCAGGCATGGTGGTGGGCACCTGTAATCCCAGCTACTTGGGAGGCTGAGGCAGGAGAATTGCTTGAACCCGGGAAGCGGAGTTTGCAGTGATCTGAGATTGCACTCCAGACTGGGCGAAGAGTGAGACTCTGTCTGAAAAAAAAATAAAAAGTAAAAAAAAAAAGAAAAGAAAATGTAATTTTTCTTTTACCATTGAAATATAGTGAGGTTTAGGGACAGTTTCCTATTGTTTATCTATTTTTTATTATGATACTTGCTGTTAATATAGCAAAAATATGGTACAATTCATTGTGCTTCAAAAATTGAAATTATTTTTAATTTCATACATTGATAGTTTATCACTGAATTTTAAAAATGTGAGGCCTTAAGAAAAACAAAACAAAACTATCTTTCCAGATCTGCCACGTTTCTCCCGACAGAACTGAATTATGCAAATGCCAAAATGACAAAGAACAATAGTGAATGTTGCCTAGGTGCATTTTTGTAGAATTATCCACTGAGTTAAGCAAAACTCCCATTGACAGGAACTCACACTCTAGAAAATATAGTCCTTCAACCTATTGTTATATTGACTTGCTTTTTTTTAAGATAAACTCTAATATTCGTGTTTGTTTGTTTGTTTTTGTTTTTTGTTTGTTTGTTTGTTTTGAGATGGAGTTTTGCTCTTGTAGCCCAGGCTGGAGTGCAGTGGCGCGATCTCGGCTCACTGCAACCTCCGCCTCCTGGTTCAAGTGATTCTCCTGCCTCAGCTCCCTAAGTAGCTGGGATTACAGGCGCCTGCCACCATGCCCGGCTAAGTTTTTGTATTTTTAGTAGAGATGGGGTTTTGCCATGTTGGCCAGGCTGGTCTCAAACTCCTGACCTCATGACCCGCCCGCCTTGGCCTCCCAAAGTGCTGGGATTACAGGCGTGAGCCACCGCGCCCGGCCAATAAACTCTAATATTTAGGTGCATTTAGAGAGTGGATTTGTTGGCTTGGTTTCTTTTTTCTTTTTTTCAAATTCATTGATATTTGCTGGGCTTTGCTACATTAACAGCAAATTCCAGATGTTTAATGAGAAATAGATGCAAAGAGGGGAAATCTGTCTGCAGACTTCCTTGAAACTCCCTCTAATCAGTGGGTCCCGTTGGCCTTGTGGGTCTTATGGGGGCTGTGAGCCTCGTGGGAGCTGTGGGCCTCATGGGGGCTGTATGGCCTTGTTGGGGGCCTGTGGGGCCTGTGGGCCCTGTGGGGGGCTGTGTACCTCCTGGGGGCTGTGGCCAAGTGGGTCCTATGTTCTTCGTGGGTCCTGTGTGGTCTGGTGGGGGCTGTGGCCTCGTGGGAGCTGTGGCTTTGTGAGTCCTGTGTGGCGTCATGGGGGCTGTGGCCTTGTGGGTCCTGTGTGGCCTGGTGGGGGCTGTGGCCTTGTGGGTCCTGTGTGGCCTGGTGGGGGCTGTGGCTTCATGGGTCCTGTGTGGTCTGGTGGGGGCTGTGGCCTCATGGGGGCTGTAGCCTTGTGGGTCCTGTGTGGCCTGGTGGGGGCTGTGGCTTTGTGGGTCCTGTGTGTCTCATGGGAGCCGTGGCCTTGTGGGTCCTGTGTGGCCTTGTGGGGGCTGTGGCCTCGTGGGGGCTGTGGCCTCATGGGTCTTGTGTGCCTTGTGGGGGCTATGGCCTCATGGGTCCTGTGTGGCCTGGTGGGGGCTGTGGCCTTGTGGGTCCTGTGTGGCCTCATGGGTCCTGTGTGGCCTCGTCAGGGCTGTGGCCTCATGGATCCTGTGTGGCCTCGTGGGGGGCTATGACTTTGTGCCTGTGTCTCCTGTCTGGGTCTTGTGAGCTGTCACATTTCCAGGTTCTTGATCAGGGCGTGGCCCGTATTAGATGCTCAATAAACAGTAACCGGAAGCTGATCCTCATGGATGCTGTGTGGAGCTGTTCTGAGGCGGCATGAGTATGAACTTGTTGGATTCCTGATGCCGCCCAGGAATCAGACCGTAAAAGCTGTGCTTATTTCGCAGTGTGAGCCTGGCACAGCAGAGGGCGCACAGGGCAGGCATCATTGGAATGTGGGGGCCACGAGGGCTCACCTTAAAATTTTTTAAATGTTAAGTGATTTTAATTTACTTTTTTACCCAAGTTTTTGTTAAGAAAAAAAATCGCAATACAGAAAAATGGAGAAAATTATACAGTGAGCACTTGCTGTGGTCCGAACGTCTGTGTCCCCCAGAATCCATGGGGGACCCTAACCCCCAAGGTGTCAGTGTCAGGCGTGGGGCCCTCGGAAGGCTCTGCCCTGATGACAGGACCAGCGCCCTTTCTGTCATTTGAGGACACGAGAGAAGGCACTGCCTGTGAGGACTCTGACCCCACCAGCCCCCAAATCTGCGAGCGCCTTGATTCTGGACTCCCAGCCTGCAGAACTGAGAGGTGCGTTCTGTGGTTTGTCAGCTGCTCGGCCTAAGGTGCTTCGGTCGCAGCCGCCTGAACAGACCAGGACGGCACCCTCTACTGCCCAGACCCACTCGTGGCCGTTCGGCCGCATTTGCTTCCTCTCCTTCTCTCAGTACATCCTGGACTCACCTGTGAGCGGCTCCGGACAGGAGCCTTGCTGGGAAGGTGAGTCCCACCTGAGAGCAAGAACTAGGGGAGGCCCCCACACCGCTACAACCCCACTGTGACCCTAGGACGGTGGCACCTACTTCACGGCGTTACCTGATTTTCAGGCCGCCTTACCTCTTCCCAGCTGTCTTGAGAATGTCTCCATGTTTTCCTGAACCAGAGTCAGCCAGGGCCTGTCCTTGCCCTGGAGGTCCTGGCCCTTCTGACCATGCCAGGTGAGACCCCCTGGCGTTGGAGGTCTTGTCTCCCTGTCCGTGGACCGGGCTCGCATCCTTCCCACCCCACTGCCTTCTGCCAGGCCAGCGGAGACATAGGCCCTGACGTCCTCTTCAGTCTCAGCTGGAGAAAGCTGCCCTGGAGGGACTCTTCTCACTAGGTCACGCAAACCTGGGCACTCCCGATTTTGAGGTAGCTTATTTGGGACCTTAATTACAGCTTCAAAAGTCCCTTTACAGCAGTCCATGGGTCAGTATGTCAGTAACAGAACTGGGCGTCGGTTCTGGGACCCTGTAGACACTGAGGGTGAGAACTGGGTGTCGGTGCTGGGACGCTGTAGACGCTGTGAGTGTGAGAACTGGGTGTCGGTGCTGGGACCCTGTAGACACTGAGTGTGAGAACTGGGCGTCGGTGCTGGGACCCTGTAGACACTGAGTGTGAGAACTGGGCGTCGGTGCTGGGACCCTGTAGACTCTGTGAGTGTGAGAACTGGGTGTCGGTGCTGGGACCCTGTAGACACTGAGTGTGAGAACTGGGCGTCGGTGCTGGGACCCTGTAGACACTGCGAGTGTGAGAACTGGGTGTTGGTGCTGGGACCCTGTAGACACTGAGTGTGAGAACTGGGTGTCGGTGCTGGGACCCTGTAGACACTCAATGTGAGAACTGGGAGTCGGTGCTGGGACCCTGTAGACACTGAGTGTGAGAACTGGGCGTCGGTGCTGGGACCTTGTAGACACTGTGAGTGTGAGAACCGGGCATCGGTGCTGGGACCCTGTAGACACTGAGTGTGAGCACTGGGCGTCGGTGCTGGGACCCTGTAGACACTGTGAGTGTGAGAACTGGGCGTCTGTGCTGGGACCCTATAGACACTGAGTGGGAGAACTGGGCGTCGGTGCTGGGACCCTGTAGACACTGAGTGTGAGAACTGGGTGTCGGTGCTGGGACCCTGTGGACACTGTGAGTGTGAGAACTGGGTGTCGGTGCTGGGACCCTGTAGACACTTAGTGTGAGAACTGGGCGTGGGTGCTGGGACCCTCTAGACACTGTGAGTGTGAGAACTGGGCGTCGGTGCTGGGACCCTGTAGACACTGAGTGTGAGAACTGGGTGTCGGTGCTGGGACCCTGTGGACACTGTGAGTGTGAGAACTGGGTGTCGGTGCTGGGACCCTGTAGACACTTAGTGTGAGAACTGGGCGTGGGTGCTGGGACCCTCTAGACACTGTGAGTGTGAGAACTGGGTGTCGGTGCTGGGACCCTGTGGACACTGAGGGTGAGAACTGGGCGTCGGTGCTGGGACCCTGTAGACACTGAGGGTGAGAACTGGGCGTCGGTGCTGGGACCCTGAAGACACTGAGTGTGAGAACTGGGCGTCGGTGCTGGGACCCTGTAGACACTGAGTGTGAGAACTGGGCGTCGGTGCTGGAACCCTGTAGACACTGTGAGTGTGAGAACCGGGCATCGGTGCTGGGACCCTGTAGACACTGAGGGTGAGAACTGGGTGTCAGTGCTGGGACCCTGTAGACACTGAGTGTGAGAACTGGGCGTCGGTGCTGGAACCCTGTAGACACTTAGTGTGAGAACTGGGCGTGGGTGCTGGGACCCTCTAGACACTGTGAGTGTGAGAACTGGGCGTCGGTGCTGGGACCCTGTAGACACTGAGTGTGAGAACTGGGCGTCGGTGCTGGGACCCTGTGGACACTGCGAGTGTGAGAACTGGGCGTCGGTGCTGGGACCCTGTGGACACTGTGAGTGTGAGAACTGGGCGTCGGTGCTGGGACCCTGTAGACACTGAGTGTGAGAACTGGGCGTCGGTGCTGGGACCCTGTGGACACTGCGAGTGTGAGAACTGGGTGTCGGTGCTGGGACCCTGTGGACACTGCGAGTGTGAGAACTGGGTGTCGGTGCTGGGACCCTGTGGACACTGCGAGTGTGAGAACTGGGCGTCGGTGCTGGGACCCTGTAGACACTGAGTGTGAGAACTGGGTGTCGGTGCTGGGACCCTGTAGACACTGAGTGTGAGAACTGGGTGTCGGTGCTGGGACCCTGTAGACACTGTGTGAGAACTGGGCGTCGGTGCTGGGACCCTGAAGACACTGAGTGTGAGAACTGGGCGTCGGTGCTGGGACCCTGTAGATACTGTGAGTGTGAGAACTGGGCGTCGGTGCTGGGACCCTGTAGATACTGTGAGTGTGAGAACTGGGCGTCGGTGCTGGGACCCTCTAGACACTGTGAGTGTGAGAACTGGGCGTCGGTGCTGGGCCCCTGTGGACACTGCGAGTGTGAGAACTGGGCGTGGGTGCTGGGACCCTGTAGACACTGTGAGTGTGAGAACTGGGCGTCGGTGCTGGGACCCTGTAGACACTGAGGGTGAGAACTGGGCGTCTGTGCTGGGACCCTGTAGACACTGAGGGTGAGAACTGGGCGTCGGTGCTGGGACCCTGTAGACACTGAGTGTGAGAACTGAGCGTCGGTGCTGGGACCCTGTAGACACTGAATGTGAGAACTGAGCGTCGGTGCTGGGACCCTGTAGACACTGAATGTGAGAACTGGGCGTCGGTGCTGGGACCCTGTAGACACTGAGTGTGAGAACTGAGCGTCGGTGCTGGGACCCTGTAGACACTGAATGTGAGAACTGAGCGTCGGTGCTGGGACCCTGTAGACACTGAATGTGAGAACTGGGCGTCGGTGCTGGGACCCTGTAGACACTGAGTGTGAGAACTGGGTGTCAGTGCTGGGACCCTGTGGACACTGTGAGTGTGTGCTTACTTTTTTTTTCAGTCTTGCTTTGTCACTCAGACTGGAGTGCAGTGGCAGGGTCTCGGCTCACTGTAACCTCCACTTCCTGAGTTCAAGGGATTCTCCCGTCTCAGCCTCCTGAGTAGCTGGGACTGCAGGTGCTTCCCACCACACCCAGCTAATTTTTGTATTTATATTAGCGACGGGGTTTCACTGTATTGGCCAAGCTGCTCTCAAGCCCCTGACCTCGTGATCTGCCCACCTTGGCCTTGCAAAGTGCTGGGATTACAAGTGTGAGCCACCGCGCCCGGCTGTGTGTGCTTACTTTCAAACAAGGTAGTCTCTGCAGCATACTGAGATGACATTGAGAAGAGGCTTGATAAGGTGCAGGAGGGCGTGTTCTGGGCACAGGGCGCCCTGAGCGAGAGGGCCGAGAATGTCCTGCGGTGATTGAGGAGTCCACGCGGCAGGGGCAGAGGGAGAGGCAAAGGCAGAGGGAGGTGTGGGCTGTTGGCAGGGCCAGGGCCTGACCTCGATGGCCCTGAGGAGCCTCTGCGTCCACTCAGGCTTGTGTGTTCGGGAATCCCGTGGGTGCTGCGTTGAGGTCAGTGGGGCCTGGTGTGGCAGAGGCGAGGGTGCTGTGTGGGTGCCGCGTGTCCTTCAAGGCACAGCAGATTGGTTTCTAGGGGGGCCCAGTGTGAGGGAGGCGCAGGTGGCTCAGAGGTGTCTGGGGCTCCCTGGGGTGCAAGGCTGTCAGAGGAGGTCAGGGCAGGGAAGTCCTGATGGACGTGCCGGCCGCCCACTGACGTGCAGCCGTCAGACGTCTGGATGGGAGTTCAAAGCAGGGTTGGGCCAGAGGTGCCTGGAGAGGAAACGTGGAGTCGGGGGGTCTGTGGGGTAGCCCCGGGGGCGGCGCTGGGGGCCGGACTGCTGAAGCGCCCCCGAGCTCCCTGGGTATAACCTGCCTGGGCCTCCTGGACAGCTGCAGGCCTGCGGGGCCTGGGTTGAGGGGGATGTCACTGAGCTACACTCTGAGGCTGGTAGTGACTCTCATCTGGGGTCCCACCTTAGTGAATGTACCTTAGGTCTTTGTATGAACGCAAATATTTGTATAAACACTTAATTTAAAAAATGAGAGCTGATGTGCGCCTGTAATCCCAGCTACTGAGAAATGTCAGCCCAGCAGTGAGGCCTGTCCAGTCTCAGCCCTGTCCGTGTGAGTGCTGTGCTCTGTGTGTGGCCCCCACAGTGCCACGGTCCACGGAGGTGGGGTCGGCTGGCTCTGGCTGGGAGTTGGGGGCCCAGTTGCTCTAATGCAGGCAACACCCTGAGTGGGGCTGGGAGTCAAGGACCAGGCTGGGGGCTCGATGTCACAGGTGTGGGCAGGAGCCCATGGCCCTCTGAGAGCTTTGTGGCCACGGTAGGGGCTGGGCCATGGGGGAGGCAACTTTACTGCCTGGGGTCAGTTCCTGCCTGGCCAGAGATGGAGCAGGGATGCTTACTGTCTTTCGAGTCATGGACCCTTTTGAGAATTAAATTCAAAGCGCTGTCATGTTGTAGCATTGTTTTTCATTTTCTTTTTTTTCTTTTTTCTTTTTTTAATTTTTTGAGTTAGAGTCTTGTGCTGTCACCCAGACTGGAGTGTAATGGCACTATCTTGGCTCATTGCAACCTCTGCTATACAGGTTCAAGCATTTCTCCTGCCTCAGGCTCCTGAGTAGCTGGGACTACAGGCACGTGCCACCATGCCCGGCTATTTTTTGTATTTTTAGTAGAGACGGTGTTTCACCATGTTGGTCAGGCTGGTGTCGAACTCCTGACCTTGTGATCTGCCTGCCTGGGCCTCCCAGAGTGCTGGGATTACAGGTGTGAGCCACCTCACCCGGCTGTTTTTCATTTTCTTAAAAAAACTTTTAGGGTGACATAGCTGTGCAGAGAACCATGTAAAGTTCCGTTTTCCTCCTAACCTGGTCGTCTCCAGCGGGAAGGAACAGAGAGTGCTTGGTGTGGTTCTGTGTGTCCGCACGAGGTTGATGAGAACCCTCGGTGCCTGGACTGTCTTCTCACCAGGCGCAGCTCAGGAACATGGTGGTGCCGGAGAGTGGTTTGTGTCTGTTCCTCCCTGGCTGCTGTGAGCCGCCCCCCCAGGTCCTGTGTCCTCCGCGCGGGTTGGCGAGGGAGCTGTGTGTGTCTGTGGTGCAGCTGCAATGCGGGGTCCCGTCAGGGAACAGGAGCGAGGCGTTTACGCCATAAGGAGGTGGAGAAGGGATGGTGTGTGAGTTTGGCAGGTGCTGAGGGCTACAGTGGAGCTGGAG